>NC_000004.12:8184483-8490980 GCF_000001405.40 Homo sapiens
ATCCTCCTGGCTTAGTCTCCTGAGTAGCTGGGACTACAGGCACATGCCACCACACCCAGCTAATTTTTTATTTTTTCTAGAGACAGGGTCTCATCATGTTGCTCAGGCTGGTCTCGAACCCCTGGGCTCACGTGATCCTCCCGCCTCAGCCTCCCAAAGTACTGGGATTACAGGTATGAGCCACTGTGGCCGGCTGGAAAGCAACTTTATCAGCCAGAGTGGAATGCATCTGTGGGGCTCCTTTTGCCTTCAGTTTCACAGACTTAGTGGAACTTTCTTCCTCTCACTTCAGTGAGATTGTCGTATACATTTGTGATACAGTTATTAATTGTTTTGTCAATCTCACGAGATTGTCGTATACATTTGTGATACAGTTAATTCTTTTGTCAATCTCATGAGATTGTCGTATACATTTGTGATACAGTTAATTGTTTTGTCAATCTCATGAGATTGTCGTATACATTTGTGATACAGTTAATTGTTTTGTCACATTTCACATTCATCCTGGGAGTCCCCTGTCTGCCTAGGTTTGTTCTTTTTTTTTTTTTTCTTTAAAATATGATTTGCGTACATAGGGTGCGGTGGCTCACACCTGTAATCCTAGCACTTTGGGAGGCTGAGGCGGGTGGATCACTTGAGGTCAGGAGTTCGACACCAGTCTGACCAACATGATCAAACCCCATCTCTACTAAAAATACAAAAATTAGCCAGGAGTGTTTGCGGGTGCCTGTAGTCGCAGCTACTCAGGAGGCTGAAGCAGGAGAATCACTTGAACCCGGGATGCGGAGGTTGTGGGGAGCCGAGATTGAGCAGTTACACTACAGCCTGGGCAACAAGAGCGAAACTCCGTCTCAAAAAAAACAAAAAAAGCGCACACATTAAGGCTCCCTGTGCTGTAAAGTTCAATGTCTTTTGGGAAATGGAGTCATGTATCTGTCATCACAGCATCATCCAGAATAGTTTCAGCACCGAGAACTCCCCTGTGGCTCACCGACTCAGCTCCCCACTGTTGCCAATGCATTCATCCTCCTGCGGTTTCTTTTCACAAGTGCAAACAGATGCGAACGCATCCTAACCCCACTTTCAGACAGAAAATGGAGCAGACACTCTGAAGCTTGCTTTTTTCTGCTTAATACGTCTCAGGGATCTTTCCTTGTTGGCACTCAGAGAAAGCCTTGCTTCTGTATCACAGCTGCTGGCTACCTGTTGTGTGGCTGCAGTGTGGTTTATCGGACACCCAGGTTACCTCCAAGGCATTGCTGTTAGAAATAAGCTGTATGGACAACCACGTACCCTGCTGTTTCAGAAGTCGACAGTCATCTGCAGGGTGAACTCCCAGGAGTGGGGTTGCTGGGCAAAGGGTCAGCACAGTCGTGGTTTTATGAGCGTTGGTCATTTGCCCTCAGATGGGCCCCACTGGCACCATGCTCTCTGCAGCCTGCCCAGGGTCTGCTCCTGGATGCCCAGTGCTGCCACTCCAGGAGGTGCCACAGGGTCCCCTTGGGGTCTTTTTGCACTCCCTGACAGGGGGACATTGAGCAACATTTCCTACATTTTACGGTGATAGGCAGGAGCTGTCCGCGCGGGCCCCTCGCTGTTTTACTGTGGAGTTGTCGATTTTTTCCTCTGGTGCTTGAAGTGGAGGTCAGCTTCTCAAGCGGGGTTTAATTAACAGCAGCTGCTGGCGGAGGGGCTGGGGCCAGCCTGACTCCGAACCAAGACCAGCAGCAAAATTTGCTTGTTGCACATTAAAAGTAATGGGAGTGAGGAACATCAGACAAACCCCAGTGCAAGCACAATCACAAAGATACCTGCCAGTTCTCCCCAGAACTGTCAAGGTCAGGAAAACAGGGACATCTGAAAAACCTTCCCGGCCAAAAGGCACCCCAAAAGACGAGGTGATGAAACCAGACGTGGTGTCCCCCATGGGCTTCTGCGTGGAGCAGAAGACGGATGTTAGGGGAAACTAAGGAAGTCGAGTCGAGTGTGAATTGTGAGTAAAAATAGCAGGTCCACGTTGGTTTACTGAATGTGACAGGTTACGCAGGTGTGAGATGGTCATCACGGGGGAGGCTGATGGGAGTTTATGCCAATGCCCTGCACTGGCTTCCCAACTTATCTATCTAAAACTTTAAAATAAAGTTTAGGTTAAAAAAACACTTTTAAAAAGCCCCTTGAGGCTGGGTGCGGTGGCTCACGCCTGTAATCCCAGCACTTTGGGAGATGGAGGTGGGTAGATCACTTGAGGTCAAAAGTTCAAGACCAGCCCGGCCAACATGGTGAAACCCCATCTCTACTAAAAATACAAAAATTAGCTGGGCGTGGTGGCGGGCACCTGTAATCCCAGCTACTCGGGAGGCTGAGGTGGGAGAATCGCTTGAACCCAGAAGGTGGAGGTTGCAGTGAGCCGAGATCATACCACTGCACTCCAGCCTGGGTGACAGGGCAAGACTACGTCTCAAAAAAAAAAAAAAAAAAGGACATGCTCCTGTAGGCACATTGCTGTGCCTTTGCCCATTCTGGGACTCCTGCCCGACTTCCCTTGCCCTCTCTGACACCTGCCATCCTTCAAAGCCCTGCTCAAATGTCACTGCCTCCAGGAAGCCTTCCCTGACTGCCAGGCACAGTTAATATCCTCACTCGTACCCTCTGCCACCCAACGCCACTCCTGTTCCACACTATCAGTTGGATTTGTCTGACGTGTTTCTCATATTAGACAGGGGATATGGGTTTGGGGGAGGAAGACCACGACAGCAAAGTGCACTCCTGCTCCCATCTTAGCAAGGACACCTGCTATCAACAGGCTTTGTCATTGATGCTGTTGACCCTGGTCACCTGGCTGAAGGGTGTTGGTTGGGTTTCCCCATTTCCACACTATCCTCTGTGGAAGGACGCCACCATGCGCATCCCACAATAAAGGAGTGGGGGTCATGCTCCGCCCACCAGCCTAAGTTAGTTGGAATTCTTTTGCCCGGGGGGGTCTGTCTGTCTCTTCTCCCCCATTTACCCAGCTATCCCATGACTTATTTGTACTGGTGTGGACTCATACATATTTGTTTTCTTTTCTTTTCTTTTTTTTTTTTTTTGGAGATGGAGTCTTGCTCTATCACCAGGCTGGAGTGCAGTGGCGTGATCTCAGCTCACTGCAACTTCCGCCTTCTGGGTTCAAGCAATTCTTCTGTGGCAGCTGCCCGAGTAGCTGGGATTACAGGCACGTGCCACCGCGCCCATCTAATTTTTGTATTTTTAGTAGAGACGGGGTTTCACCATATTGGCCAGGCTGCTCTTGAACTCCTGACCTTGTGATCCACTTGTCTCCGCCTCCCAAAGTGCTGGGATTACAGGCGTGAGCCACCGCATCCGGCCTACATATTTGTTTTCTACATGGGATTGACATTACCACTGCTTTACCTGTGTTTTGTTGCTCACTTTGTCCCAGTTTTGGCCACTGGGA
This sequence comes from Homo sapiens, assembly GCF_000001405.40. Classification (NCBI taxonomy): domain Eukaryota; kingdom Metazoa; phylum Chordata; class Mammalia; order Primates; family Hominidae; genus Homo; species Homo sapiens. Next base: position 8,187,938 of record NC_000004.12, read on the forward strand.
GCTCTTTCAGTTGATTCCTGTCTCCCTTTGTCACAGTTCCATCATTTCGGGGATCTATTGATCCATTTAACTATTGGTCGGTTGATGGATCACACTTCGTTACTTCCTGATGCGACAAGACACTCCACGCCCACTGTGTTTATTTCCTGCCAGGGAATGTATTTCACAAATATTTCACGTGTGGAGGCTGGCGCAGAGCCCCTCCTCCAGGCAGCCTCCCCAGCTCTCTACGGGCAGGACTGGGGCTGTGCAGTGCTCCCCTTTCCCAACCCCTCTGCAATGGCTGCTCTGGCCGAGCTGTCCCATCTGGCTCCATGGCTGTCTCCACCATGAGGCCGAGTCTGGGCTCTCTAGAGGGCAGTAGGCATCTGACTCATCCATGTCGGATGCTGAGCCAGGCCCAGCATCGGGCAGGCAGGTTGGATCTGGGCAACACCGCCTGCTGACCCTGCCCCACTGAATAATAATGACGACGACTGCTCTCCTTTGTGGGACCCCTCCCCTACGCTGGCAGGTGTTGGGCCTGGGCAGGGCCGTAAAGCAGCTCCCCAAGGTGCTTCAAACCTAGGCTTCAGAATCTGCTCTCCATCATTGGGTTGCACCCCAGCATGAGCTATGTGGGCCAGTGGGGGAGTTTCCCGGTCCCCCCTCTGTGGTACCTGGACCGCTACGCTACCCTTGGTGAGCAGGGGAGGGCTATGCCAGGGTAGAAGGGGTGAGGGATATATCCATCCTGCAGCAAGCAAGTGAGGGGAGACCCCGGGACCCACACCTGGCTGGACACCAAAGTGGTGGGCCACGCCCCTGTGACGCCACCTGGGAGACACCCCAGCGGGTTAGCAGGCATGTGAGGTAGCAGCTGTGGATGTTGGCCCAACAAGGGGCTGCTGCCTGGAGCCTGCACTGGGTACCCGTCACGAGGCAGCCACCTCCTCCCTGTCTCTCCGGTGTCCCAGGGGGAGGTGCAGCCAGTGCTGTAGCCAGATCCTGCCGGGCACTGCTCACAGGCACACGTGGCTCGACACATGAGGCGGGAGAGCTCAAACCTCACCTAGGGCAAGTCCGTGCCTGCTGCAAGCCGGTGGTTCCCTCCCACCCAGCTGCCCACACAGCTTTGCCTCAGCAGAAGTGCACTTGACTGGGCTCTGCCCCCTTCTGCGTGTCTGGCAGAGGTGAACCCGGCTCGGAATACATGGGGCTGTTGGCTCCCACCTGGCTTGGGCAGCCCGGCCCCCTGTCACTGGCACTTGGTTTGTTAGTCATTCAGCAAACGCTTGCAGAGTGTGGTGCTGTGCTGGGCACGTGGCCCACAGAGAGCAAGGCCCGCCAGTCTCCTCGCTGGAGGAGCCCGCAGTGCAGGGGACCTGCCTAGGAAGCAAGTGGTGGTGACAGATGATGGCCCCAGTCCCAGGAGGGGCGGAGCATGCTGAGTCTTTCCAGGGCGCAGGGCAAGGGCTGGCCGGGCCGGCGGCCGGGGTAGGCCTCTTTGAGGAGGCAACACACCGCCGTCACAGCCTGGAGGAGAAGGGGTGCCAGGAAGGAGTGGTGTGCAGAAGCCAGGGCAGGCATTGGGGGTGTGGGACAGCACAGGGTGGCCAGGGCCCCGCCAGGGGTGGGAGAGGGGAGAGCAGGGTGAGGCTGGCAAGGATGGCTTGGATGTAACCAGGTGGGGAAAGAGAGGGGTCATGCGCCAAGTGCCCTGTGGTGCCATCTGCTAAGATTCAGGGCCGGCGGGGGGCAGTAGGTGTCCAGTTCTGGCTGGGTGGTGTCTGGGCTGGCTACTGGCCATCAGAGAGGCAGACGGTGGCACTGGCACAGGCCCTCATTCTGAGCTGCAGCCTGGGGACCTCAGTGAAAGCAGATGGCTCTGAAGACCCCGCCGGCGTGAGCTCCCCGCACAGAGTGTGGCCCTTAGAGAAGGCATGACCTTTAGGGAGGAGGAGGCTGGGAAACGGGAGGTGTCCAAAGGGTGTGGTCAGCGGGTGGACCAGTGGCCCAGAGAGACATGGAAGAGGGAGCCGGGAAGGGACTGCTGGGCTTGGCCACGTGGAAAACACTGGTGACCTGTGCCTGGGTAGTTTTGGGGAGCGCGGCGTGGGTGCGTTGATGCGAGGCCAGGAAGTAGGGCCTGGAAAGTAGCACTTGAGGTTTTGCTGGGAGGCGGCAGCACTGGCCGCAGGTGCCTGCGATCACCAGTGTGCTCCCCGTGACATCTGGCCCAGTCCAGGTGGGTAGCAGGGAGTCTGCAGGAATCCCCCTTGGAGCCCTCCTCCCCTCTGCCTGCTGTGACCTCAGCCTCGGAGCCTCGAGCTCCCAGGAGATGGCTCCCAGCTGGGAGGACTTCACTCCTTCGGCGGAGTTGGGGGACTGTGTGCTTGGGTTGGGTTAATGACTGTGTAAGCCAAGGTCAGGATCAACCCCCATCACTGGGCTCTGCAGAATGCCAAAATTCCAGCTGGGGTCCCACCCCTGATTCAGGAAAGTTGGGGCTCTGAGGAGTTCGGGCCTATGGGATTGGAGGTCCTGGGGGGACTCATCTGTAAGCTGGGATCTGATGTCCCCGGGCTCTTGGGAGAATGGCAGCCTTGCAGCCCCTGCTGTGTGCCCTCATCTGGGACCTTCTCCTCTGTGCACTCTCTCGGTCACCCACACCCCACCAGCCGGCTGGTCCACAGGGTGTTTCTGAGGCTTGGCCTCTTCTGGCTCTGTGATCTTTTTTTGGAGACAGAGCCTGGCTCTGTCGCCCAGGCTGGAGTGCAGTAGTGTGGTTATCGCTCGCTGCAGCCTCCAACTCCTGGGCTCAAGCAATGCTCCCACCTCAGCCTCCCGAGCAGCTGGGACTACAGGCACGCACCACCATGCCCAGCTAATTTTTTTGTATTTTTTGTAGAGACGGGTTTCACCATGTTGCCCAGGCTGGTCTTGAACTCCTGGACTCAAGCGATCCTCCTGCCTCGGCCTCCTAAAGTGCTAGGATTACAGGCGTAATCCACTGCGCCCAGCCCTGGCTCTGTGATTTTACCCTCTCCGCACCTCTGTTCCTTGTGGTTTTAAAGGTGGAGATGCTGAGGACTGGCGGGAGCTGCAGGGCTGCTGTGGGGGCTCCTATGTAGGCAGTGAGGGCTCTTTGGTCAGCTTCCTCCAAGGAAGGAAGGTCCCTCTTCTGAAATCTCCTCTGGGGAAACAGCTCGCTTCCCTCACCACCCCCAGATGAGGAGCACTGTGCTAAGGAGTCTCAGGCACCTGGTCAGCAGGTCAGGCAGACCCAGGGAGAAGGAAGGACTGTGGACCTGCTGGGCCGCAGAGTCAGCGATTCCCTGGGCTCCAGGCTGACGCCTGCCCCGACAAATCAGGACATTCCGGCCAGTTCGGGGGTGGGTGTCTTCAGTTCCAGCCCAGGCACGAGAACTGCTGACCACTTCCTGCAGGCCTCCGACCCGGCGGCCCAGCCACCCATCCGGCTGGGGTGGCCATCAGTCATCTGGAAAGCCTATGAGCCCCGTGTCCTCGTTTTGCAAAGAGCAGTTCCTGAAATCATGGGGCCTAGAGCTCTGCTCTTCTGATCAGGGGCCGGTTTCAGCAGCAAAGGCCAGAAATAACACATGGTGTGAGCGCTGCTGAATAGGGCACCGTCCTAGCCCTTTCCGGGGGATGACTCATCATGCTACCATTCCAGCACCAGCTGGTACGGGGCTCCAGGCTAGCGGCTTATCATGCCGGCCCGGATACACCCGTCCTCAAACTTGGGTGCGCAGAGGAATCAACTCAGGAAGGAACCTCAGGAGAGATTTGTGCAGGTCCTTCCCCCCATTCTTGGGTCTGAGTAGGGCTTGATAATGCCTTGGGAGGTGTGCGGGGCCATCTTTGCTTGTTTGTGTTTCTGGGAAACACTGCGTTCAGCAGAGACAGCATTTTATACAGGAGGAATCGGAGGCCGGGAAAGATGACGGGGCTGCTCAGCGTGGAGCTGGGGTCCGGCCGGGCTGTGTTTTCCAGGGGCAGGAGCTGATCTCTGAGTTACATTTATTTATTTATTTATTTATTTATTTATTTATTTATTTATTATTTTTGAGACGGAGTCTTGCTCTGTCACCCAGGCTGGAGTGCAATGGCGCGATCTCGGCTCACTGCCACCTCGGCCTCCCAGGTTCAAGTGATTCTCTCACCTCTGCCTCCCAAGTAGCTAAGATTACAGGCACCTGCCACCACACTCAGCTAATTTTTGTATTTTTTTTTATTAGAGATGGGATTTCACCATGTGGGCCAGGCTGGTCCCGAACTCCTGACCTCAAGTGATCTGCACCCCCCTCGGCCTCCCAAAGTGCTGGGATTACAGGCGTGAGCCACTGCGCCCGGCCCTCAGTCACCTTTAAAATGAAAGGGCCACGGAATCACCAGGAACTCTCCTTCCTGTGACCTTGGGTAAAGGTCATTTTCGCCCTGCCCCTCAGTCTCCCCATTTGTAAGCCTGAAGGTTGTAAATTACAATCTTCTTATCCAACCACTTGTCTTTATTTTATTTTATTTTATTTTATTTTATTTTATTTTATTTTATTTTATTTCATTTTATTTTTGAGATGGAGTCTCACTCTGTTGCCCAGGCTGGAGTGCCGTGGCATGATCTCAGCTCACTGCAACCTCTGCCTACTGGGTTCAAGCAATTCTCCCGCCTCAGCCTCCTGAGTAGCTGGGATCACAGGCGTGTGCCACAACGCCCAGCTAATTTTTGTATTTTTAGTAGAGGTGGGGTTTCACTGTGTTGGTCAGGCTGGTCTCAAACTCCTGACCTCGTGATCCACCTGCCTTGGTCTCCCTAAGTGCTGGGATTACAGGCGTGAGCCACGGTGCCCGGCCCACTTGTCTTTATTTGTTGCCTTCTCTTCTGCTCCGAGTTTAGGTTCATGTCGCCACCTGGTGATTGGCTTCTCTGTGCATATATTTGCACAGTTGCAGGCATGACCAGGGTGGAGCAGTGAAGCGGGGCCTGACGTGATGTACCATGTTTCAAGCCTGTTTCACAGCACAAGACAGCCTCAGCTCTGTGGTCCACAAACCACATGACCACATCTGGCCCCCTGTCTTGTATAATAGATAGTTTTCTTGGCATATGGCCACACCTGTTCACTTACTGCTATCTGTCTGCTTTCCTGCTGTAAGGGCAGGGTTGTGACGGACCTGATGGCTGGCAAAGCCAAATACGCATCCCCCGGCCCTACCCAGAGCACGTTTGCCTCCCCTCTTCTAGAACGACCTTGGAGGCTCCTGCGCGCCTGTTTCTGCTGGACAGGGCCAATGGGAGAACCAGCAGCCTGCGAAAGTGGGGAGAGTATGGGTAGCCTCTAGCCCCTGGCCTCCGCATTCCTGAGAGTCACTTTTATGGCATTGTAGATTAACCCCTTGGGGTGCAAGCATGCTGGCCTCTCCTTGGCTACCAGTGTCCATAGTCCCCTGAAGTGGCTGTGGGAGCCACTTCACTGCCTGCCAGGAGCACAATTGTTTGAGCTGGCCCTGACCCCTGAGAAACCCTTTACGCCCCTGCTTTGCCTGGTTCCTCTCCCTCCAAGTCTCAGCCCAGATGCCTCCTCTTTCAGGAAGCCTTCCTTGATTTCATCCTCCTCTCTTTCCTCCCAGGCCTCCCTTTGCTGCTGCACCAATCATGCTTTGCCATCCTGATCTGTTTCCCAGTCAGTTTCCTCCACTTGTCTGTAAGCTCCTCCTGTGAGCAGCCAAACCATGGGACAGGTAGGGTCCCACAAAGCAGAGCTGAGATGGGGGTGCTGCCATCGCCAGTGGCAGGTGGGGCTCCAAGCTGCAAAAAGCAGCATTACCTGGAGGTGGGGAGTGGGACCGACCCTCAGAAGTGCAGTTTCCTGTGAGGGATGCAGTCCCCAGGACCCCTGCTGGTATGGGGGCAGGTCCGGATCACCTTCTGAGCCCAAGATGATTCACTGCAGAGAACTGAAGATGCTCTGAGACAGTGTGATGAAGCCAGAAACTGCCTGTGCCTTCCTATGACTGCAGCTGTCATCATTTGCTGCAGGAGGCTGAAAAACGCAAAGACAAAAGCCACCACCCGTGCGGGAGGTAGAAGGCAGGGCCCCTGCTCCCCAGCCAGCACCCCTGGCTTGAGTTGCAGCCTGGGGCTCGGGCCTCAGGGAGCCTGGTCAGCACTCAGGGTGTGCCTCCGAGGCTCTGGCTAGGAGCTGTCCTGGGACCTTCGAGATGGATAATTAAAAGGGGCGGCGGGGGGTGTTGGTGGTGGCGCTAAAAAGCCACAGCTGAAGGGTGTGGCTGGGGGCTTCACGCTGCTCTGTCCCAGGTGGGCCAGATTTGGGCTTTCCTGAAGGAAGGACACAGGAACAGATTTGGTAGCTTCTTTGAGCGACCTGGGAGAGTCACAGAAAAAGTCTGAAGGCGCACTCGCGTTTCCCAGGCCATCGTGGCCATGCCTGCCGCTTCTAGTGCTGGCTAGAAATCGTGTCCTGGCACCTTGTCTGCCCAGACTCCTGAGCAGCCAGACCCTGGGATGGGAAGCACTTGCTGAAAATGAGCTTGTTCCGCCCTCAGGGAAAGCCTCTGGTCAGGGTGGCTTGTTTTGTTTTCTCTCTAACTCTAACATACCTGTTCAGCAGCTTCCCAGCCCGGAGCAGGCCAGAAACGGGGAACAATCTGGTGTAAAAGGCAGGTGGGGAGATGGAGAAACTCTAAGACTATCCCCTCACCCTGGCGATGGGTCACCTTGCCTTATAATTCAGTAAAACACCAGCTGGTCCCAGAGATCAGGAAAGGGACAGAGGACGGTCGTTGCTTTCCAGAGCACCATTGCAAAGATTAACTCTGGAGCTTGGTGCTCGAAGGAGTGGGTGTTAGGTTCCCTGGAAAACCCCAGACTCCTGGGCAGGACTTGCTTCCCGGGGTTTCCGGCAATTGAGGGCACCACTGCCTTTGTCTCCGGCTGCTCCACTCACACCTTAGAAAGCCCCAGAGGGCAGTTGAGGGAGGGGTGAGGAACACAGGTTTGGTGCTGGAAGGACTGGGATCTGGGCTGGTTCTGCCACATAGGAGCTGTGTGGCCCTGGGCAGGTCATGCCTCCTCTAGACCCTCTGTGAATCAGTCCAGCGGGCATCAGGAGACACTCACCAGCAGGCATCAGGAGATACTCACCAGCAGGCATCAGGAGACAGTCAAGCTGGTGGCGCCATCAGCAAGCCCCATGTGATGACAATCCTTGTGAAGGACTGAGCATCTTCTTGGCAAGTGACAATTTGAATTTATTACAACCACATCAGGGAGCAGAACTGGAGGGCACTTAGAAATCTCCAAGCCCAACTCTACCATTTGCAAGATGGAGAGACTGAGGCCCAGAGGAGTGACAGATTGTCCCGGGAGAATTGAAGCCTGAGCTGGGGTTCGGACAGGTCCTCTGGCAGGCAGGGCTGTGTGTGCTTCTGCCCCAGTGTCTGCAGCCTCCAGTTGGGCGTGCTTGGAAAGCCCCCAGCCCTGAAGGCTCAGGCACCTTCCTCTAGGAGGCTGCTGGGTGTGCTGTGTGGAGTCGGGGTGCTCTGTGCAGTTGGGGAGGCTCTTGGAAAATTCCCCCGGCCTTGGGCCAGAAGTACAGCTGCAGAGACAAACAGGATACGGGGTCTCCAGCCACAGCAGGGGACAATGGCCAGGAGAGGAAATGTCTCCAGACCCGTGTGTGGATGTGGAGCCCGTCTGGGGGCTTTTTTCAACGTAGCTTCCAGAAAAACAAACACAGGGGAAGCCAAGCATCTCTGGCCAGGAGATGAAATGTGTTCTGCCTACTCTGGAGAAGGGGTGGAGGTGTGAGCAGGCTGGAGAACTGGGGGCACCCGCTTTGAGTCTCAGGTCACAGATGGGAAACTGAGGCCCAGAGAAGGAGGTGCCACAGGCAGGCAGCAAGTTGACACAGGTGGTCTTGGGCGCCAACTCCCCACTTCTCCCCACAGCCCCTTGGGGCCATCATCTGAGCAGGGGCACAGGGCAGCCCCATCCCGTGATGGGGGTGACGAGGCCAGGGCACTGGTAGGAGGCGCTAACCTCCCAGGGACGTCGGTTCTTCCCCACCTGCCTGTCGAGCGCAGCCCCTCTGTGCTCCTCGCTGGGCCAAGGCTGCGGAGAGGACCCGGCACGGGCATTTGTTACATGCACAGAATCTCAGTGCAACTGAGGTGTGCACCTGTGCTTGGCTTGTTAGAAAAGTCCTTGAGTCTAATTTAATCTTTACGATGACTCAGGGCCTGGCCACAGATCTCACGTCCCCACCCGCCTGACACCCAGGGCTACTTGGAGGAAGTGACCACTCCATGAGGTTGTGTTGATGGATGTGTTGGACCCGAGGCACGAATGTGACCCTCGGTGGAGAAGACTCGCTGAGCAGGGGAGGGAGCCTCAGAGGCTACAGGTGGCACTGGTGGGGACGTGGGGAGAGGAAGACCTGGAGGGGTGGGGTGGGGTGATGTTGGGTGCTTCTGTGGGCATCCACAGGTCCTGGGCACTGGGGTGGCAGATGCCTCGGGGGTGGCCACTCACCCAGGAAAGCAGCCCACATGGAGGAGAGGTGGGTGCCCAGAGTTGCACCCATTCCACAGGGAAGCTGCCAGTAGAATCCAGCTCCCAAAGTGCTCTGGGCTTCAGCAGTGGGACCTTTGTCAAGGGTGGAAGCATTACCCAGTCCCCTGAGACAGGGGAGGCAGAGGGAGCTGGACAGAGGCCTCCAGCTGGTGGGGGCTGGGCAGGAAGAAAGTTGAGCCCTGATGGGAGAAGGAAGGTGGGAGATGGGGCTGGCAGGTGTCTGCAAGGAAGGGTGGGGTGCTGAGGGCTGGAGTCCAGGAGGGGCTTCAGGATGGGGTCCCTGGACCTTGTATCGTCCATCCCCAAGGCCCAAGGAGGGGGCTGAGAGGACAGCAGGCTGCAGGGACTGCAGGCTGTTGGGGTTGAGGGGCTGTGATTGGGGGCCAATGTTTCTAACCACTGTCCCAGGCCTGCTTCACAGCTTATGTACCGAGCTGACACCAAAAGGTAGGACCACCCTGAACCTGTGAACCTGACCTTATTTGGGAAAGGAATCTTTGCAGATATAATTTCCTTAAGGGTCTCCAGATGAGATCATCTTGGGTTATTTAGGTGGACCCCAAATCCAGTGACAGGGCGCTTAAGGGAGACTGAAGAGGAGACACAGACACAGAGGAGGAGGCTGGGTGGAGACAAGGGCAAAGACTGGAGCGATGCCACCTCTAGCCGGAGCATACCTGGAGCCCCAGAGGCTGGAGCAGGCAGGAAGAGGCCTCCCCTGGAGCTTCTGGAGGGAGCATGGCCCTTCCGACAGCTTGATTTTGGACTTTTGGCCTCCAGAACTGTAAGAGATGACATTTCTGCTGTCTGGAGACCCCAGTTTGTGGCACACAGTTGTGGCAGCCCCATGAAACTGATAGAGTGACTGCCCCTCGACGAGGCCAGAGAGAACACCATCTTCCTCCTCAGACGCAGCCGGGGCTGGGGAGCCGTGTCCCCGCAGGGAAGAAGAGCTGGTCTGGGAGCTGCGGCCCCTCTGCCTGTGGGTCAGACTTTCAGATTGCTGCCACTGGGGATTCTCTCAAAGTGTCCTTTGGTGCCTCTGAACCCTCCAACCCACCGTGTGCTCACTGAGCATGTTGATGGCATGGAAGGTGGGGCCTGGCCAGGCCGGGCCGGGGAGCCTGGAGGCTGGGCCCCTAAGGGGCTTGGGCCTCACCTGGGCCATCCTCGAGTTCTTTTCAGGGCAGCGAGGGGCATGCCTAGGGCATCTGCAGCTGCACCCCCGATCCCGGGCCCTGGCCTCAGTGGGGCGGAGGGAGGGTGTGACTTGAGGGCTCACCGTGCAGGATGCAGGGACTTGAGGTAAGCGTCAGCCCCTGGGCAGAGCCTGTGATTAGAGAAAGGTGAACAGGACGGGAGGGCGAGGATGAAGGACGCAGGTGTGGGCTGGAGGGGCTTTGACCTGAGTAGCTCACCTGGGCTGGGAGTTCTCAGCCTGGGGTGACTTCACCCCCAGGGGATCAATATCTGAGCTATGTTTGGCTGCTATGATTAGAGGAGGGGGCTACTGGCATCCAGTGGGTGGAGGCCAGGGACCAGCTAAAACCCTCCAGTGCACAGGACAGCCCCCCGCCCTGCAACAAAGAAGGATGCGGCCCCAAATGTCGGTAGTGCCTTGGTTGAAAAGCCCAGCCCTAAAGCCTTCAGAACCAGTCAGACCTGGTTCCAGTCTTATCTTCTTGTTGGTCACTGGCCTTGGGCATGTCACATTACCTCCCTGAGCCTTAGTTTTCCTGTCTGTGAGATGGATACATAACTATTTGACTTAGGGATTATTCTTGGTTTTCTCAAACCAGGTGTGTGTAAAGCTCCGACCTATCACAGCACAGGCTGGAGGGATCCCTCCCATTCCCACTTCCTAGAGCTGGGCCGGAGCCCGCAGCCCACACCCACCACGTGGGTGCTCACACTCCTGTGTTGGCAAGGGCATCAGAGCAGGCAGACAGGCGGGACCAACAGGGCAATTTGAGTTCAGTTCTGCCTCTTGTCCCAGCTGACGTGAGCCCAGGCCAGGCTTCCTCAGCAGGCAGGGGCGAGATTACGTGCTTTGGCCTTGGGTCTGCCTGGCTGGGAAGGTTTCTGCTCTCAAACCTGGCTCAGGCCTGGAGACGGTGGGAGGGTAAAGAGGTAGACCCGTTGGGACAGGCCAGGCTAGCAAGGAGAGCTTGCGGTGAGGAGGAGGGGAGCCCATCTCTTCCCCTAAATGTTCCCATTGATGGAGCCAGTGGCCCGGAGGGCACCCGGGCAGAGACGGAAGAAATTGCACGTGAGCGTTTGTGTGCATACGTGTGCCTGTCCATGTGTGCACACACTTGTGCTTGTGAGTCTCTGTGTGCCCATGCATATGTATGTGTGTCTGCATGCACATGCGTGTGTGTGTGCATGCATGTATGTGTGCAGGCATGCGTGTGTGTGTGTGTGCAGTAAATGGAAGAGGAACAGAGATCAGAGCTGAGGCTGGCAGGGCTGAGGCAGCCGGTGGCTGGTGGACTTCCCCAATCCCAGCCTGGCGGGGGACTGGGTGCCCCTAGCCTCTACTACAGAGCCTGGGGGCTGGGCAGCGGGCAGGCAGGACAGGGCCTGGACCTCGTCCAGGAAAGAGCTAATGATCAACCGGCTGCGGTGTCTGTGCAGCCGCCCTGGGCCTGCCTCTCCGTCACCGGCCCTCAGGCGCAGGGAGGAAGTAGGGCAGGAAGCAGGGGGCGGAGGCCGCTGTGCAGTCAGCCTGGCTGTGGGCGGCCCCTGCCTGCTCCGTCCAGCTGGAGACAGCCCCGTGGGGCCAGCCAGCGCTGGGCCAGGAGCGGCCACCTGGTTCCTGCGTGCTACGGCCCTGTGGGCCTGGGAGCTGCCTCTGAGGAACACGCCGCAGGTATGGGGGGCTCCGGGGCAGGCGGGGCGTGGACTGGCCGAGCAGGCTGCTGTCTGCCAGTCTTGCCATGGTTGGATCTTTACACTTTCTTGAGGACTTTTCTGACCTGTTTGGGATGGGGGTGGAGCGAAACTGCGAGCTGGGGGCCTCGGGGAGGTCGTCGGCACCCTCAGCAGACCCCACTCAGAGCTCACAGGTGCTGGCAGTGCCAATCCGCAGTGATTGAGGGCAATGATTTCAGCTTTGACCAAGCACCCTTGCTTCTGGGACCTGGCCTGACCCCGTGCTGGCCCTTGGCATGAGCGGCCCTGGGGGTCTGGGAGCAGAGCCAGCCTGTCGCTGGATTCCAAGTCCAGCGGATCTCAGGTGTGACCCCAGCGCCCGGTTAGCTTGGGCCACACTACCAGACCTACCAGGGCGAGCCCAGCGCCTCAGCCTCACCCGGCACCGCAGTGGCTATAACTGGCCACTCTGATGCCGCCACCTGGGCCTCTTTTCCAACAACCAAATGGACCAGCAACTGGACCAGGGGCTTCAGCCTGAAAATTCCAGGGAGGGTCTGGGCCCAGCCTTCAACTGCAGGTGTGCCGGGGCGTGTGCTCCTGTGTGTGTACACCACTGAGACCCCCTCTGGGCCTGTGCGTGATCCCCAGGAGCCCTGGGAGCCCTGCCCTGTCTGTGAAGCGGGAGTTTCCAACCTTTTGCCGTTGACGAGGCTCAGATGAGATGAATAGCAAAGTGACGCTGGGGGGTGTTAGCGGTGTCGGCCAGTGCCAGGGCCAGGGGCAGCCTGCATGTGGGCCGGCCACTCAGGGTGTGGCCTCCCAGCGCCAGGCAGCGGGGCTGCGGCTGAGCTTGTGGCTGGAGGCAAGGCTGGGCCCGAGTCAGGTCTGGGTTTAGGATGGGTATGTGGGGGCTGGGCTCTGACCACCTGGGTTCAACCCCACCTGTGCTGCTTGGCTGTGTGACCTTGGGCAGGCAGAGTCACCGCAGCTGATGGCTCATCCGTGAAAGGGGCACAGCTGTGCCTCCCTCCTCCAGGTGAGCCGAGGATGCTGTGAGCACCCTGGATGGCCATAATTATGTGACTGTCAACACTGTTGTTGACAGTGATGACAACTGTGTCCCGTGTGGGGCGCTGGGCCAGCGTTTTTTGCATGGAGACGTCACTCACTCTTCCAGCAACACGGGTGACGATGGCCGCACAACACAGAAGAGCAAGGCAGGGCCCAGCAGCGCACGGGTGCGCCGGTTTCCCCTGCTGCCAGAGCGCAGGACACAGCCCTCTCGGTCGTGTTCTCTCGCGGCTCTGGAGGTCGGAATTCCGAACTCAAGGCGTCCCTCAGAAGGCTACTGGGCGGCTCCTCCCTGCCTCTTCCCGCTGCCTGTGGCTCAGGGCGCTCCTTGGCTGTGATTACATCAGTCCACTCTCCGCCCTGGTGGTCACATGGCCTCCTGCCCGGCTCCTCTGTGTGTCTCCGTGTCCTCTCTTTTACTTACAAGGACACCACGCACTGGATTTAGGGCCATCCTCATCTGGAACACCCTCATCCCAAGGGAAGGTCGCTTCATCTGCGCAGACCATTTCCAAATAAGGCCCCATTCTGAGGTTTCTGGGGGCATGAATTTTGAAAGGACAGTGTCACCCCAGGATGCGAGGTGACAAGCCAACCCTCCGGAGGTGCTTGGTGGCATAGGTGAGGTCTCAATGGCCCTAGAAGTATTTGTTCCGTAAGAGCCTGGCGAAAGCTTGGCCAAAGCTTCCCAAACCCATTCAGGGCTGGCCGCGGCCCTCTCCCTTCTTCTTCCAACCCACATTCACCAAACTCTGACTGTGGACCAGGAGCACTGTCCCTTTAACCCACTCGACCCACTTGTGCGGTGTGCGTGCTCATTCTCATTTTCTGGCTCAGTAAATTGAGGCATGGAGAGGCCTCCCAGACACCGGGGTTTGGCCCCACGTCTCCGTGTTCTGGAGCCAAACTCCACCCCTTCCCCCGGGGCTGGAGGCTGGCCTGGGGCTGGAGCCTGTTCTGACCCATCCAGGGCCCCCCAAGGGTTTGTCCTGATGATAAACTGAACAAACAGGATGAAGGCAGGAAGGAGAGAGTCCTGCAGGCTGCTTGGTGGTCCCCCAGCTGGGTGAGCTGGCCCCTGGGGGCGTCAACACCTGCCCGTGGTTGGGGCCTCTGCTTGTGCAGTGGTGGCTGGGCCTGCAGGGCTGAGGGAGGGGACGCTGTGGAGAAGGAGCTCACTTCCTCATCGCCAGGCTCTGCACAGGAATCCCACGCTTAGGGTTATAACAGCAGGTGGGAAATTCCCTGAGCCTGGGGAGCCCTCCTTTTCTCAGAAGACAGTCTCTGAGTACCAGCTGTGTGCCAGGCCCGGAGAAGCCCTGGATGCCGTTTCGAACAGGCCTGTTCCTAACCCAGGGGGAGGTGGTGGGCTGGGAGGCAGGCAGGTGTCCCGGGCATCAGCCAGTGGATGGAGAGAGGCTGCTGGGACTCCTGCTCTGCCTATAGGGACATAAGACCCAGCTTCTGAGGGACAAAAAGGCAGAGATGGGAGGACAAGGACTCCAAGGTCAGGCGTTCGGAGCGAAAGACCCCTTAAACCAGGGAGCTCGCATGCCCAGGGAGTGGATTCCAGCGCTTTGTTGAGACGCCTCCATGTGCTTCCGGAGAGGAGATGGGAAGACAGCCTGGCCTTGCAGGCAGGGGCTTCCTGGTGCTGCCACAGACTCAGGGCCAGGTGGTGGGCACAGGCAGCCACAGGTGCCAGGACCGCAGTCCTGCAGAGCAAGGAGGAGAAAGCAAAGTCCGAGGCTGGGCGAGGGCAGCCAGGGCATCCTGCACTGCCCCTGAAGGTGCCCAGAGCTCTCCAGGCGTGACCAGGGTCCCAGGACATGGGAACAGGGAGGGTGAAGGCCCCAGGCTGCACAGGGCATTTGATCAGTGAGGCTGTGTTCTGCGTCCGCAGTTCCACTCACGCTTCCTCCTTTGGAAAGCAAGTCTCATGGGCTGCACCCTGCTCCCACTCCTGGGCGAACAGCTTCCCCGGAGGGTCTCTTGGGTGCCTCTTGGCGTCAGATGTCTCCTGATTCACCATTCCCGGCCCCCACAGGTCCTGGTCCCTGCCCCTCAGAGGTGGTTGGGGGGTGGGAAGGATTTGGCCACAAACTGATCAATCAGATTACAGTTGGAGCAGGTGTGCAGATGGAAGGTGGGGTGCCGGGGCACTTCACAGCCAGGGGCTGTCGCCTCTGCAAGCCTTGCTGGCCCGGGGCTGATCCGGCTGAGGCCCTGCACTCTGAGCATCCCCAGGGAGCCTTCCCTGACTGTGGGATTCCCTCCCCGGCCAGAGCTAGGGGACCCTCTCTATGCCTCATAGAACCTCCCTCACGGAACCATCACTATTCTGTCGAAATTCCCAACTTAGCAGGCCTGGGTCTCCCTCCCTCTGTGTGGGAGGTGGGTGGTTGTTGAAACCAAGGACTTTAGACCGTGGGCTCCTCCCGCCCCTGCTCTGCTGATGGAGCCCAAGGTATGAGGTGAGCTGGGGCCTGGGAGGCCAGTTCTCAGGGTGACAGCCACAGCCATGGGGGCAGGGGTGATGGCTGGGCTTACATGACACCCACTCGTCCCTGTCTGCAGCCAACTTGCCCCCCATGAGGGTTTCCTCATCCTGTACTAAACATTACACAGGAGCTGCCTCTTGGGGAGCAGCCTCTGTGAAGGGACCTGTCGCCACAGTGGTGGCCCGAGCCGAGAGCAGTGCGGGGAGGGAGGAGGTGCTCGTGGGTGGGAAAAGGCATGGCAGGGATGGCAGCTTCAGTGTGCACTTCTGCTTTGGTCTGACAGGTGTGCGGGTGCGTGTGTGTGTGTGTGTGTGTGCTTGCACACAGGCTTGAGAATTGCCTAGCCCCTCAGAGCCTCAGTTTCCCCATCTCTGCACTGGGGAGGTAGGCCTTCCCTGGGGGTTGCTGGACCAAGGTGTCTGGTACCAGGAGGTGTGCCAGTTGGCACCTACTGTCCTGGGACTGTCCTGAGGTCAGTCTTGACCGCCTCTGGGTTTTCAGGCTCAGAGCCTCGGGGGAGGGCTGGGGGTGCTGGGGAAGGAAACTGGGCTCCATCTGTGCTTGATGTATGGTGAGATTTTCCGTGCTGCTGTCTAACGCAGGCCCAGCTTGCCCTGTTTGGTAAAAAACTGAGGTGGGGAAGAAATAAGCCCAGCATCTCCGCAACTCCTACCTCCCATCTCCCCGCCCCTGCAAGACATTCTGAGCAGACACTGGGACAGACTTTGTGGCGCATGGACTCGTCCCCCTGCTCCTGGCTTGAAGCTCCCAGGGGTGCCTCTCTGCCCTTCCCAGGTGCTCGATGTCCAGGGCCTCCTGCCTCCCCTTCACAGCTGCGTCCTCTGTCCCTGACTGCAGACCCCACGCACCCCCAACAGCTGCCTGATTTGCCTCCCAGTCCCCTGCCACGTTCCCCGCCCAGAGAGCAGGGTGGAAGTGGGAGATGGGGATAAGGACAGGAGGCTCTGGGGGTTGTCCTGGCAGCTGGAAGGCCCCAGCCTCGTGGGCCCATCAGGGCTCTGAGGCCCGGACGGAGGCCCTGGCAAGCCCTGGGTGCCCTGCCCCCCAGCATCCACCACAAAAGGGGTGACAGGACAGCAGGAGGCCAGACTTGCACTTTTGCTCCCAGACAGAGGTCAGAGGCATGGCCGTCCCGGTTCTCCATGCCCTGCCTGCAGAGGGGATGTTTGCTGGCCACTGAGGGGCTTCAAGCCAGGAGCAAGGGGACGAGTCCACGCACCGGAAAGTCTGTCCCAGTGTTTGCTCAGAATATCTTGCTGGGCGGGGAGATGGGAGGCAGGAGCTGCGGGGCACGCTGGGCTTATTTCTTCCCCACCTCACATTTCACCAAGCAGGGGCAGCAGAGCCTGTATTAGACAGCAGCAGGGAAAATCTTCTCACCACACATCAGGCACGGATGGAACCCCTTTTCCTTCCTCTGCATCCCCATTGCTCCCCGAGGCTCTGGACTTGAAAACTGCCCTGGCCATGGTGTTCTGGAGGGGCAGGGTGGACCTTTCCCCACCCACAATCAGTGAACAGTGAGGCCCCCCATGACCAAGCCCTCCCTTTGGGGACAGCAGGGTTCTGACTATGTGCTTGCCATCCTCCTCTCTTATTAGCGCCTCTGTCTGAGGCCGGAGCTGAGGAGGACGTGGCTGACCCCGTCCCTGCGGCCACAGCTGGGGTTTGTCCCCTGTGCACCTCAGCCCTGGCCCAGGCTGCCGTCCCCATGGCCCCTGTGCCTATTTGTGACGCTGGAAGGGGGACTCGAATGTGTCCTTCTGTGTCTTCTGACAGGCGACGGAGCACTGTTCCGGGAGCACGGTCTGTTGGGTGTGACGGCCCAGCAAAGAGGCAGTGACCGGCTCCTGAGGAGGGGCACAAGGCACCCAGGGGTTCTGCCTCGACAGGGAAGGGGACTCCAGGCAGAAAACCAGCGAGAGGAGGCCCCGTGGAGGAAGGGAGCACAGCAAACCCGAGATAGGGAGGGGAGGCGCAGCAGCGGTGCGGGATCACGCCCACCACAACACGGTGCACGGTGCGGTGAGGGGCTCGCTGGATCTGAAAGGTGCAGGCGCTCAGCAACGCTGGTGTTCTCTTTCTGGACCCCAGGCCTGGACACAACCTCCGTGCTGGTTCTGGAGGGGCCACCTCTCCTGACCACACCCCCTCTGTCCACAGGGCCAGGCATGTGAGGTCTCTGCGGGTCATGGAGAACCTCCCTGCCGTGACCACTGAGGAGCCGACCCCCATGGGGAGGGGTCCTGTGGGACCCTCAGGAGGTGGCAGCACCCGGGACCAGGTCCGGACTGTGGTCATGAGGCCCTCTGTGAGCTGGGAGAAAGCGGGGCCCGAGGAGGCCAAGGCGCCAGTGAGAGGCGGTGAGTTCATTCCACCCTCACCACCCGCCCTCCATCCCACCCACTTCTCCACCCCACCCGCCCCGTCCATCCATCCCTCACCACCCTGCCTGCCTCCAGGCCTCTTGGGGCTGGGGCTGGAGTCTGCTCTCCATCACTTCTCGTTTCCTTCCCCCGCGTGTGTTTAACAGGAGCCACTGTGCCCGCTGAGTCACTTGAGAGGCCAGGGCCCAGCTCGTGTTTTTCCAGGGACGCGTCAGTGATAACAAAACTGGCAAAGAACGAGGCAGGGGCCTTTGAACCCCCATGTTCAGAGACCGTTCCAGAAACAGTCCGATGGGTTTGGCCTTGGAACCCCTGAGAGTCCTCAGGATGAGGCATCCTCGTTCTCCAGGAGGCACCCAAGGTGCAGAGAGGGAAGGGCCGGGCCAGGCCACCCTGTGGTCAGGGGCCGGGCCAGGACGTGTGCCCAGTTTCCTGAATTCCCGGGAGACCTGAAGAGTGACCTAGGTGATCTCCAGGATCCCCTCTTACCCCCATCCTGAGACCCTGAAGGGGACGAGGGGAGAGGCAGGGGAGACCAAGGCCTGCACGGCCCCTCCCGGCAGGAGACAGCTGCGGTTGTGACCCGTCCCTGGGCCTCGTCCTCCCAGTGTCCAGCCTCAGCCCAGTCTCCTCTTAGCTGCCTATGTCCCTGTCTTGGGACTCCAGGGCTTGGCACATGGTAGGTGCTTCGTCACTGTTCAAGGGATTGATGAATGAAGGATGTGTTTGGACAGTGGCGTGGAAACCTCAGATGCTGTCGCCTGGCTCACAGCCAGGTGTGGGAGTGTTTTATACCTGCGATCCTGCCCTTCTGCTTGAGGGTGGAGATGGGAGGGGGTGGATGGCCTCCTGCACTGATCACAAAGGGGAAGTGGTCTGCAGGCACTGGCATGCCTGGGCAGGAAGGGCGGCTCAGAGGTTTGGGGTGGGGCCTGGGCCTGGGGAGCCCACCTGGCCATGGAATCGCGTTCCCTCCAGGGCAGGCCTCATGAAAGGAAGGGGCTGCGCTGTGCCCAGGGCCACGAGTGCACAAGGAGACTGAGACGCGCAGGAGGGCCCTGGCCAGCCTCCCACAGAGCCGCGGGGCCCAGGGAGGAGCTGGGAGCCTCTGGGAAGGGGAGTGGTAGGAGTTGGAAGCCTTTGCCCTGAGTGGCTGGGTGTTTCCTCCTCCGGAGGCTCAGCAAAGCACCGTGGCATCGCCTCTCCCTGGAGTGAATCTCTGTGGACCGAGCGGAGGGGAGCTGAGGAAACTTTCCCTGCTTGGCCAAGGGAAAGCTGGCTTGGGGTGGGGCTCCTCATCAGCTCCTTCACCTCCTCGTCTTCTCTGGACAATTTCAGATAGACATCAAAGGTGGCAAGAAATAGTACAGATAATTCCATTTGCCCATACCCAGGTTCCCTGAATGTTCGCATTTTAGGACTTTTACTTTGTGTGTGTACTCGTGTGTGTGTGTGTGTGTGTGTGTGTGTGTGTGTGTGATTTTCTTCTGATCCTTTTGGGAGTAAATTGCAGACATGATGCCCCTTCATCCTAAAAGGTGTCCATATTTCCTAAAACCAGTACATTCTCTTATATAACCGCATTGTAATTATTTCAATGTTAATTCCCTGCTTTTAATAACACCATCACCTCATCTACAGGCCTCATTCAGATCTTGCCATTTATCCCAATAATATCCTTTATAGCAAAAAAAAAAAAAAAAAAAATTCCTGGGTCACACCTTGTGTTCTGACGTGACCGCGACCTCTCTGAGGTACCTTTTAATCTGGAGGCTGCTGTTTTGAAGGATACAGTTTGGATCTTTTGTAGAATGTCCCTCGATTCGAGTGCAGCTACTATTTCTTCACGATCACATTAGGGATTTGGGCAGGAATCCCGCAGAAGTGATGTTTCTTCAGTGCAGACGATGTCTATTAGTCTCTGGCTGGTGACGCTAATTTTGGTCCCTTGGAGAAGGGGCGGCTGCCAGTTCTCCCCACTGCACAGTTATTTTTCTCCCCTCTGCAGTTAGTAAGTAGCTGGGGGGACAACACTCTGAAACTGCGTGAATATCCTGTTCCTCATCAAATTCATGAAGCGCTACTGTCTCATCATGGGCTGGCCTGGCTGAAATAATCCTTGCGACAGAGGCTGCCAGGCAGTGACTGTCTAATTAGGCAACCCTTCTCCATTCAGCAATCAGCTTTCAACTCTAAGGAAGAGCTGTCCCGCTCCCCAGTTATCCATTGATTTATTTCATTGTAGGCTCACACATCTTTAATTGCATCTCCATACTATATACATCATTACCTATTTTGTCATTCAAATCACCCTAGATTTGGGCTTTCCCTGTGTCTTCGTCACTTAGTGGGTGCGTCCTCACTTTCTGGGACATGAGATATTCCAGGCTTATCTTGCACTTTCCCTGCCATAGCCCTGGGATCGGCCATATCCACAGCCCCGTGTTTCCAGGGAGCCCTGGCTTTTCAACTGGAGGATGGTGTTTAGAAGCTGTTGGGCCGGAACTCTATCAACTTCAATAGGGATGGCACCTTGTTTGAGAGACTGAAGAGGAGACCCAGAGCCAGCGACCATGACACAGGGTTGATTGAGAGGACTTGCGTACAGGGTGGTTCAGCAGTGGCGGGCTGGACAGGACCCCTGTGAAAAGCATGCAGTTGATGTAGCATTTTCCCTTAGCACCCTCCCTCTACCATCCTCCACCTGGCAACCCTCATCCAACCCTTCCAAGCAAAGGGGCAGGATCTGCATGGCCTGCATTCCCTGCAATGAGCCAGGGGCTCAGATCTTCTTCAGACAGGGAGTGAATCTCCAGGCTGGCTGCTGCTGGATTCTTTAGCTCAAAATCCGAGCACACGTTCTTCTTAGCCCATGGGGGCATCTGCGGGGTGTGTTTCGGTTACCGCTGTCAGGTGCATCGGCCAACGGAGTCAAGATCTGAGCACCACATACTTCTTTCCATTTGAAACATTTCTTTCTTTTTTTTTATTTTTTGAGATGGAGTCTCGCTCTGTTGCCCAGGCTGGAGTGCAATGGTGTGATCTCGACTCACTACAACCTCCGCCTCCTGGGTTCAAGTGATTCTCCTGCCTCAGCCTCCCGAGTAGCTGGGACTACAGGTGTGCGCCACCCTGCCCGGCTAATTTTTGTATTTTTAGTAAAGATGGGGTTTACCATGTTGAAACTCCTAACCTCAGGTGATCCACCTGTCTGAGCCTCCTAAAGTGCTGGGATAACAGGCGTGAGCCACTGCGCCCGGCCCATTTGAGACATTTCTGAGCCCCCACTGCATGCCTAGCTCTGGGCTTGGGCTGGGGCTGCAGAGCAAGTGAGGCCTAGGAATGGGCTCTGGCCACACCGGGCGAGTGCACGCCACTGCAGGTGGTCAGCAAATGCGGGTGTGAAGTGAACACCGTCCCAATGCAAGGCCCAAGACCACTGTGGCTGTGCGGCGCCCAGGGCTCTGAGTGAGACGTCTAGGAGGCTGTGAAGACCGGCCACACAGAAGTTCACTACTCTCTGCTGCAGTTGCAGGTTTTCCTAATCAGATCCCCCTGGATCCTGAGGCCTGGATAGAGAAACTGCGCAGGACAGAGATGAAGTGCCCAGGCCAAGATGCAAACTCTGCAGGACCAATGGCCAGAGGGGTGACCCCCAGCAGGGAACCAAGCAACCAGTAGGGGTCTATGTCCTGGCTCCTACCTGCACAAGCTGTGAGGCTGAGCCCGTCTGTGGGCTCAGATAAAGTCCTCCAAAGATGCCCATGTCCTTATCCCCACGACCTACGCCTGCATTACCTCATCCAGCAAAGGGGACTTTGCAGATGTGATCAAAGGCAAGGATCTCGAGATGGAGAGATGATCCCGGATGCTCCAGTGGGCCCTCCATGGAATCACAGGGCTTTTGTAGGAGGAAGGCAGGAGGGAGAGGCAGAAAAGGAGATGCAGTGACAAAGCGGAAGTAGAAGTGGCGGCCACAAGCCGAGGGACGTGTGCGGCCTCTTGAAGGCGAGGAGTGGATTCTCCCCAGAGCCCCTGGGAGGAACAGGGCCCTGTCCACACCCTCACTTTAGCTCTGTGAGGCCCATTGGAACTTGAGAGCGGCGGGATCATACGAGTCGTGTGGTCTTAAGCCTCTGAGTGTGGGGCAGCTTGTCACAGCATGCTGGGAAGTGCAGGCAGCTTCCCTCCTTGCTGGGCTCTGGGGAGACTGGAGGAAGGCAGCTGTGGGAAAGGCGGCTCGTGCGGGACAGAACTCACCTCTTTTCTTGCAGAGAGACCTGGAGCGTTTGGCGCCTTCAGAGGAGCCAGGCCTTTGCTTGGTCTCCCCTAATCCTGGGAACCTGCTGTGTTGCAGACGAGGCTCCTCCTGCCCGCGTGGCTGGGCCTGCTGCTGGGACCCCTCCCTGCCAGATGGGGGTTTATCCCACAGGTAAACATCCTGGGCCCTACACAGGGCTTCAGGTTCAAATCCGGGCTGTGCCGCTCCCTGGGCATCCAAGAGTCCAACCCAGGGCTTCTCAAAGTGTGGCCTCAGACTTCCCACCTTAAAATCATGATGGGAATAGAAAGAAGGGTTTGTTAAATGCGCATGCCCAGGTCCTGCACCCAGAGGGGGACATGGCCCCTGGGGCTCCCCTAGGCATCCCTGTGTGCACCTGCACAAACGGCAGACACGGTCCTGGGGGCTCCGTGGGTGACACCCCAGGGAGGGGCTTCACAGGTGCCATATGGTAAGAGGTAGACGAAAGTACCCACTGCGTCGTGGGGTGAGGTGTCCAGGCACAGGCTTCCCAGGGATGGGATCGCCGCAGGGCACAGGTGGAGGGAGGCAGCCCTGGGCCGGGGAGCAGAGCCCACAAAGGGGGCCCAGGAAGCTGCTGGCTGTGAAGGTGTAAGAAGCCCCTTACCCTGGAGACCCCCCAACCCCCCGCTGGGGAGGAATGGAGACCCCAGCATCCATTGCTGGCTTTGCCCCTTGGCGGTGATGCCCGACTGTCCTTTGACTTTCCTTTTGTGTGGTCAGCACTGCTGGTGGCCACTCGGGATGACCAGGACGCATTAGGCAATAGGACCGTTATTTAGAATTTGAAAATGCAGGCTGGGCGCGGTGGCTCACGCCTGTAATCCCAGCACTTTGGGAGGCCGAGGCGGGTGGATCACTTGAGGTCAGGAGTTCAAGATCAGCCTGGCCCATATGGTGAAACCCCATCTCTACTAAAAATACAAAAATTAGCTGGCGCATGCCTGTAATCCCAGCTATTTGGGAGGCTGAGGCAGAAGAATCACTTGAACCCAGGAGGCAGAGGTAGTGAGCCGAGATTGCGCCATTGCACTCCAGCCTGGGCAACTTCTGAAAAAAAAAAAAAAAAAAAAAAAAAAAAGGCCGTCACAGCTCAGGAACCATTGTGGAATGATGGGCTGGTGCCTCCTGTTGGGGGAGTGGATTCCAGATTCCAGAAGTCTCCAGGTTGGCCCGGTTGGCCCTTCCCCCATAGGGGGTGAGGGTGTTTGCTCAAGGGTCCCCTAGCAGAAAACTCTCAGGCAGGTGCTTTAAGCTTATTCAAAGGTGTGAGAATCCATCTCTGTCTCTGTCTCATTTCCATCTGTCTCTCCCTCCCATTTTCTCCCCTCTCCCTCTCTCTCTTCCTCCCGGTTTCTCTCCCCTCCCTCCCTCTCTCCCTCTGGGTTTCTCCCCCCTCCCTCCCTCTCCCCCTCCCATTTTCTTCCCCCTCCTGGTTTCTCCCCTCTACCTCCCTCTCCCCCCACCTGTTTTCTCCCTTCTCCCTCCCTCCTTCCTCCCCTTTTCTCCCCACTCCCTCCCTCTCCCCCTTCTGGTTTCTCCCCTCTCCCTCCCTCTCCCCACCGTCCTGTTTTCTCCCCCTCCCTCCTTCTCCCCCTCCCGTTTTCTCCCTCCTCCCTCCTTCTCCCCCTCCCGGTGTCTCCCCTCTCCCCCTCCTGGTTTCTCCCCTCTTCCTTCCTCTCCCCCTCCTGGTTTCTCCCCTCTTCCTTCCTCTCCCCCTCCTGGTTTCTCCCCTCTCCCTCCCTCTCCACCCGCCCCCGCACCGTTTTCTCCCTTCTCCCTCCCTCTCCCCCTCCCGGTGTCTCCCCTCTCCCTGCTCTCCTTCTCCCCTTCTACTCCTCATTCTCTTCCCCTCTCCCCACCTTCTCCCTTGGGGCAGCCATGCTCTGCAGAGGCCAAAGCCCCTGGAATGCCACTGCCTAGAGATCTGGGGCCGAGTCTTGACCTGGAGGATTGGGAACACTTTTTTCTCAGCGTCTCCAGGCACTGGGAAGGGATAGTGCATAGGGCAGATGGGGTCACAGCCCCAGGAGCCTGGATTCTAGTGGGAAATTGCCAACCTCAGACATTGAGGAGGGGGCTGGATCTCAGGAGCTCCACAGCCCCCGTGGCAGGTGGCCCCTGAATGGGACACAGCAGACAGAGCACGTGCCCACCCCTGCGGAAGATTCCGCTGGATGGTGCCACAGGGATGGCCCAGAGTAGGGCCGATGGGTCGGACCATGCTGCCATGGGGTCCCAATGGCTCTGCGCAGACCAGGGGACAGACAGGAGGGAGGGCCAGGTGTGGACAGCTGCCCAGGTCAGACCCGCCAAGGCTCAGAACCACGATGGGGGCAGGAGTGGGGTGGGGGGTGGAGCCCATGGGGTTGCTGGTGGCTGATGTGGTGTGTGAGTAGGAGGTGTCATTGATCCGAGCAGGGGTGGGGGCCCTCTGCCCTCTGAGAGACAGGGAAGAAGTGGAGAGGAGCCGGCTTAGGGAGGCAGAACTGAGATTTCCAAGGTGCTTGTGGCGTGTTTGCTGGAGGTGGGTGCCCCCATGGTCCCAGACTCCCCACCTTACAGTCACCATGGGCGTGGAGGAGGAGCTTGCTAAGTGCGGCTGTCCAGGTCCTGTGCCCGCAAGTTCCAATGCAGCAACCCTCTGGGGCGGAGCGCTGAGGGGAGGGGTTGGAGGTCACGGTGACAGGGAGGAGAGACCATCTGTGCGCAGTGGTTTCTGTGCCGGCCTGGCCTGCAGGGGACATGAGTCCACTTGTCCCCACCACTCCACAGGACAGGCACTCACCCCGAAAGAAACAGGCTGGGAGCTAGGCAGTGGTCCAAGGCCTTTATAGGGGTGGGGCAAGGTTGAGATCTAAACCCGGGGCTTGGGCTCCCCAGGAGCTCACTGCCCAGGCCTTCGGGGTCAGGTGTGTGGGTTGGAGGCTGGCAGGTGGAGTACAGTGCCCCACAGACTTCCCAGCCCAGGTCAGACCAACTGCCCAACCTCCGTCTGCCCCTCCAGACCTGACCCTGCAGCTGCTGGCTGTGCGGAGGAAGAGCAGACTGCGGGACCCCGGCCTACAGCAGACCCTCCGGGGCCAGCTCCGCCTGCTGGAGAATGATAGCCGGGAGATGGCCCGCGTGCTTGGGGTGAGTAGCCCTCTGGGGCCTGCTCAGGGATGGGAGCTGGAGTCAGGGGGAGGGAGGGGCTGAGGTGCAGTGTCTGAGACTGGGGACACAGGAGGCAGGCCTCAGAGAGCGAGAGCCACTCAGGACAGTGGTGGCCTTGGAGGGGCGGCTGTGATACCCAGTGGGTGGCGAGGGCTTGTTTCTCCCACTTGCTTTGTGGAGGGCACTGTGATCGTCCCTCTGCTCTCCCACAGCCCCAGCAACAGGGGACCTCGAGCTGTCCCTTTCTCCACCTGCCCTCCACCCACAAGGACTGTCAAAGTCTCTTTGATGGGGAGTTAAGGACAAGTGTGAAGTTAGTCTTATTTTTTCTGGTGACAAAGCCAGCCTCCTGTGGGCTTCTGCACATACCAGCCTTCTGGGGAGGCTGGCACAGGGTGTGTCTTGACCTGGCAGACCTCCCCATGGCTGAGGGCTGGGGGCTTGGGAGCTGGGCTGGGCGTTACCACCACTGACTGGGGTTGGACCAGCCTGGCCTTGGCCGGTGCCTCTTAGCCTCTGTGAACTCCGCTTCCTCAGCCACATACTGGGGATGCTTAGAATTACGTCCCCGGGAGCTGACTTGAGGGTTATGTGATTAACTCACACCAAGCACCTGCAGGCTGCTGGACACATAGTACCTGCTCAACACGTGGGGCTGTCGTGCATGATGTCGGGCACAGGTGAACTGGGTCAGCATGCTGGCTCCGGGTTTGAATCTCAGCTGAGCCACTGACAGGTCAGACCTTGAATAAGAAATGGGGCCTTCAGCGGGACATGGTGGCTCACACCTGTAATCCTAGCACTTTGGGCGAACGACGAAGAAGGATCACTTGAGCCCAGGAGTTTAAGACCAGCTTCAGCAACATAGGGAGACCTCGTCTCTACAAAAAAATTTAAAAAGTTAGCCAGGCGTGATGGTGTGCACCTGTGGGAGAGTAAAATGGGTGGATTATCTGAGCCCAGGAGGTTGAGGCTGCAATGAACCATGGTTATGCCACTGCACTCCAGCCTGGGCAGCAGAGTGGGGCCTCATCTCTGGAAAAAAAAAAAAAAAGAAAGAAACGGGGCCTTATTTTTTGTCTCTGAAATGGAGACTCTAATAGTACCCCCCGACACACACTTCCCGAGTCGGAAGAGTTCCAGTGTTAGCTGCTGTTATTTTTTCATGCCCCTATCAACACTGATTAATAGAAATCAGAGGAGAGGGGATGCTGGCGGGGGGATGGAAATCAGAGCTGATGCTGCAGGTGGGGCTGGGGCCACTCAGGGCTGAGAGCACAGCCGAACAGGGACCAGCTTAGGTCGGGAGAAGCGGCGGTCACTGGTGTGTGGGGGATAAGGCAGGTAGAGTGCTGAGGGGGAGGTGTAGAGGGTGAGGAGCCAGGGCATGGGGGCCACGTGAGCTCTGGGAAGGGCAGGGGCTTCTCCCCACAGGCTCTGGGGAGCCACGGCTGGCTTGAGAGCAGGGGAGGAGCTGACTTGGGCTGTGAAGGAATCTGCCCTGGGTGTGTCGTCCCCCGCCGGGGCCACATCTGCAAGATGTCTCTGTCATGTGGACGCTGTCCTCCTGACAGATGCCCCAGAGCTCCTGGGGACCTCTCGAATTCCTATTTCTTTCTCTTAAGGAATTATCAGCCAGGCTGCTGTCCATCCACAGTGACCAGGACCGGATCGTGGTGACGTTTAAGACTTTTGAAGAAATCTGGAAGTTTTCCACCTACCATGCTCTCGGTAAAGAGGTGACCCTCCCAGAATTGGTCATGGGGACGCCCGTCGGAAGGTGCTGGTTACACACCGTGCACTTAGATTACAAACTGGTGCTTTGTTTATTTATTTATTGATGTATTGTTTTAAGACGAAGTCTTGCTCTGTCGCCCAGGCTGGAGTGCAATGGCGCAATCTTAGCTCACTGCAACCCCTGCTCCCCGGGTTCAAGCGATTCTCCTGCCTCAGCTTCCTGAGTAGCTGGGATTATAAGTACGAGCTACCATGCCCAGCTAAATTTTTTGTATTTTTAGTAGAGATGGGGTTTCACCATGTTGACCAAGCTGATCTCAAACTCCTGGCTTCAGGTGATCCGCCCGCCTTGCCCTCCCAAAGTGCTGGGATTACAGGCATGAGCCATGAATCTGTGCTTTAGAACAGGCAGGCTCACAAAGGCCTCACTAGCAAGATAACAACACTGGTGTGCGCACCTGGTGCTCAGGGAGAAATGCCGGGTAGGCGGAGTCGTAGACGGATGTGGGTCTTTGTTGCAGGAATGATTTAGGCTGTGCTTCTAGTTGCCTTCACACTCTGCCCTCTGTAATTTCACTCAACCAGAACTTGAGGGAAGCTGCCGTCCAGTGGCCTCAGTGCTGACCGGGAAAGCTGTTATTTGAAAGCTGACCCACGTGAGCTCTTCCTGGCACATTCCCTGTTCCATTTGGAGGAATTCCAGGCTCTAACGGAGCCTCCCTGGGGATCTTGCGACACCACCCTTGATTTGAGGGCTAAGTGAGTTAGGGAGTAAGAATTGTAGCCACAATTCCCCAAGCACCGGTGAGCAGGGCTGAGGCTCATCCCACTGTGGACGTGGGCTTCTTGATCCGGTTCTTGGAGGAAGTGGCTCATCTGTGGCTGCCCATCCACAGTGATGGCCATTGTGGGGGGATGTCCATCCAGAGGGCAGCAGGCTTCCTGTCTCCCTCTTTCAGAGTCCACTCTACGCTGAGTGTGGAGGCAGGATTCTCACATCACTTGCCTGTGCCTTACACGTGCACCGAGCCTCCTAGTTCAGCTGCGGTGAACGAAGGCTCACTGCCCCAGACGAGAGGGGGGAGCTCGCAGCATCCCAGAGACAAGGCTTCACCTGATAGAAATGGAAACAGATACCAGCTCATGATGCGGGGCGGGGCTTGCACATGGGCATTTCAGACCCACCTTGCTGCTGGCCCATACCCCCTGCGGCCTGCACGGCCCCCGACCATATGGTCTCCATCTCACAGAGGGGAATATGGAGGCGTGGAGAGGTCAGATAACTTGACCACGGTTGCCGCTGGTGGGTGGTGGAGCTGGGCTTGACCTCTCACAGCCCGGGTGGTCAGGCCGTGGGCTGCTGTGTGTAGCCAGCACTGTGGGCACCCCAGGGCAGGTGGGTGTCTTCCATGGTCTCCCTGGACCTGGTCAGTGCAGGGCTCAGCCGACCTGGGACCACACAGGCTTCCCTGCCTCCCTGCCCCTCTTCTGGAGCCCTCGGGTGACTGGGCCTGGCCTCCACAGGCTTCACTCATCACTGCCTGGCAAACCTGCTCATGGACCAGGCCTTCTGGCTGCTCTTGCCCAGTGAGGAGGAGGAGACGGCCATCCAAGTCCATGTGGATGAGAACGCCTTAAGGCTGACCCACGAGAGCCTCCTCATCCAAGAAGGTGAGCGTTGCATGGGGTGATGGCCGAGATCCAGCTGTGCGGGGCACTCCCGGGCCATGGGGTGACAGCCTGGATCCCGCTGTGCTGAGCATGTCTGGGGCTGTGGGCTGCGGAGCCTCTGGAGGCTGAGGGGTGCTTCAGGCAGGGAGGTGTGCTTGGTGTGGCACTGTCACTTAGCTCTAGAGACCCTGGCCAGCCCCCAGGGACACAGAGGTGCCTGGGAAACAGTGGAAGGGAGGTTCTGTCTAGTGCCAGTCCCCAGCTCGTGTCTCTGACATGGCTGCTGCCCTGGCCTTGTGGCTGGCCGCCGAGTCTGAGGAGGGGACATGAGGCTGTCTTTCCTACCCGACCACAGCAGGAGGGGGCCTGCCAGCAGTGGCTGGGGTCACTGGGGCAGTCCATGGAGAAGGGCCCTGGGGGTCCCACCTTTGGCTCCGCATCGCACAGTCAGGGAAACTGAGGCCCAGGGCGAGGGTCTGAGGCTGAGCCAGCCTCACACACCACATGGAGGCAGAGCTGGGACCTCGCCCTGGGCCCACCTCTCCTTCTGAGCCCCTTTGGGTCTCTGTGCCTGCAGACACTGGGGGGGCCGCTCCTGTGGGTGTTGCCTTCGTTGTCTGTCCGGCAGGGGTGTGGGGGGCAGGGCCACAGCTGCGCCCAGTCCGGCCACCCTCAGTGACCACCTCCATCCTTTTGAAGGGCCCTTCTTTGTCCTGTGTCCTGACCACCATGTGAGAGTGATGACGGGTCCCCGGGATGCAGGAAATGGCCCCCAGGCCCTCAGGCAGGCTTCGGGGGCACCCCAGGGAGAGGCGGCCCCGGAAACAGACTCTTCACCGCCGAGCCCCAGCGTGTCCTCCGAGGAGGTGGCAGTGGCGGCCGCCCCGGAGCCTTTGATTCCATTTCATCAGTAGGTACCGGCCTTTGCTGCTCTGAGAGCTGTTGGCCTCGCTGAGACTCCCAGGCCCGGGTCATCTGGAGGTCAAGGGGATGGACAGGGAATGGTGGGGGCCCCGGACAGACCTGGCCATGGCCTTGTTCTGCTGCTTCCCAGCTGTGTGGCCTCGGCAATTTGGCCCACCTCTCTGGGCCTCTGGCCTGCCAGCTGCATGATAGGCCAATGACATCCACTTGGCAGGGCTATCCTGGGGTTCGCTGGCACAGGAGATGTGGCATGAGCTCTCACCAGGCTCATCCGAAAAGCTTTTGAGGAAGCTACATAAAACATGCGTATCCAGAGTGAGAAGGCACACGGGACCCACAGATAGAGCCAGGGGATGTGAGGACAGGTGACATGCAAACTCCTGTTCACTTGCTGAAGCGGGGGGCATTAACTTGGGTTGGAGCTTCCTGGTAGCCAAAGCAAAGAGAGAACCTCAATCTCTTGATTTGCAGTGTCTCAAGTGACAGGCTGTGGCTTGGCTTCTCTCATTACTGAGACCCAAGAGGAGCTTCTCCTAAGAATCCTTCCTATGTGCTCTGGCCAGTGGTGTCCCAACAGGGGACACTGAGAGTGTTCTGCCATCTGGGAAAGAGGGATTGTCAGTCATCTAGTCCAGCTTCCTTTTTTTTCTGGCTGAAGGAACTGAGGCTGAGAGAGGAGTGATCTGTCCAGGTTATATGGCAAAGTCACAGTGGTACTAGGATTTGAATCCAGGCCTCCAGAGCCCCAGGCTGGGATCTCCCTCACCCCTCACTGTGTGGAGCTGGGGGAGGCAGGTGCTTTGGAGGTCTGCAGGGTTCCAGGCCCACAGGGGTGGCGGTGTTTCCAGGACACGGGCCCTAGGCTGAGGGGTGCGGGGCTCCCTGGGGGCAGTGCCACACGCACGGGGCCTGAAGGCCACACACCTGGGCAGGCATGTGTGTGTGTGTGTGTGTGCACGTGTGTGTGTTGGGGGAGGCGAGGGACCTGCTCAGGTTGCTGGGGGCTGCTGGCCTGTCCAGTCTCTGCACAGGATGTATCTGCCCCAAATCTGAAATCCCGCAGCAAAGACCTCCCTCTTCCGGCTCCAGGTGGGCTCTTAGGATCCCCCAGGACCCCATCGACGATGCCATGGGTGGCCCTGTGATGCCCGGCAACCCGCTGATGGGTAAGTGTTTCCATGGGCCTCTCTTTTTTGGGGAAATGTGTGTGCTAGGGAGCAGCACCAACATTTTGGAAGTTGCCCTACATCCTCCCTGAGCCAGAGAGATAGCTATCAGGTAGTGCAAGAGTAATTGTGGTTTTTGTTATTGCTTTCAATGGCAAAAACCGCAATTACTTTTGTACCAACCGAGTCTTCTCCAGCTTGTGAGGTCATAACTGACACTCAGGAAGCTCTGGGGGCTGGTGCAGCGTCATAGGATGCTCAGTGAAGCTGCACCAGGGCCCCCGGCCACTGTCTGCAAAGAGCTCCCAAACGCCACTTCTCAGACAGTGCAACCCAACAGTCTCAGAGTCTAGCCTTCTGTCACCATGGGAAACGCCTGGAAGGCCCTGGGCCGAGGTGGGCTGGCGCTGGCTGAATTTGCCACGTGCACTAACAGAGGACCGTGACCGCGTCCTCTTTATGAAAAGCTGGCACTGCCAGCAGCCCTTCTCCTTGGATGCCGGGTCCAGCGCTTTGTGCTCTGTGGCAAGCTGCCGGTGTCTGGATGGCCTGTGCACCTGTCAGAGCTGCCGGTGTCTGGGTGGCCTGTGCACCTGTCAGAGCTGCCGGTGTCTGGGTGGCCTGCGCACCTGTCAGGGGGACTAAAGCCCCATGCAGGAGCCGGGTGGGGAGTAGGTGGGGCCGGGGGTTGTGGCTGCAGAAGGAAAGGAGGAAAGAGCCTTGGCCTTGGAGGCTGATGGCCGAGGCTTATTTATCAACATCTCTGAGCCTCCATTTTTCTCATCTTCAACAGAGGGATAAAAACATCCCCTCTGAGGACCACGTAGACATTCCCTCCCTCATTGCGGAAACCAAGCTTTACTACGAACCTCCTAGTAACCAAAAGATGAATTCCCCATGGTTCAGGGTGGCTGGCATCGGCCCTGTCTGCCCGCTCTGGCCCCCATTTGGTCTCCCTGGCACTCACCATGTGGCTTTCTTCCGCAGCTGTGGGCCTGGCCTCGGCATTGGCAGACTTCCAGGGCTCGGGGCCCGAAGAGATGACCTTCCGAGGTGGCGACCTCATCGAGATCCTTGGGGCGCAGGTGCCCAGCCTGCCCTGGTGCGTGGGCCGACACGCAGCCTCGGGCCGGGTGGGGTTTGTGCGGAGCAGCCTCATCAGCATGCAGGGCCCCGTGTCCGAGTGAGTGGCTGGAGCCCCGCCCCTTTCCTGAACCCACCCCCATCTCACCTAAGGGGACGTTGCTGCGTCCACCTGGCTCCCCAGGTAACAAGCCTGAAAGTCACTGTGGACGATGCCTAGTCTCTTCCCTTGTCCTCAGGCTGCTGCCCCCTTGGCCCCAGTGCCTGACTCCAGGGTTCCCTGGCGTCCTTTCTCCGGGCTGCTGCAGGGAGAGCGTTCCCTCGAATGCACACCTGCCCATGTGCATCATCTTTCCGTGGCTACCGTGATAAGGCACTGCACGCCGGGGGCTTAAAGCAACAGAAATGTGCTTGTTCAGAGTTGTGGAGGCCAAAAGTCTAAAACCAAGGCCAGAAGGGCCACATTTTCTCTGGAGACTCTAGGGGAGGGTCCTTCTTGCCTCTTCCAGCTCCTGGTGGCCGTGGGCGTTCCTTGACCTGTGGCCACATCACTGCACTCTGCCGCCGTCTCCACGTGGCTGTCTTCCTCTGTGTGTCTTCCGTATTCTCTTCTTAAAAGGGTGCCCATCTCCTAGCACCCATCCAACTCCAATCTGACCTCATCTTAGCTGAACTAATTACATCTGCAAAGATCCTTTCTCCAAGAAAGCTTACCTTCTGAGGTTCCGGGAGACATGAATTGAGGGACACGATTTAATCCAGTACACACGTCGCTCTCCTCCGTTAAGCCCCAGGAAGCTTCTGGGCCCGACCTTGCAGGCCCCCATGGGCTGCACAGAGTACCTTGTGCCTTCCAAAACTGCTCTGGGTGACACGTGTGTCCTTCTGCCTGGGATGCCCCCTCTCCCTGAACCCCGTGTTCTCCTGGGGCCTTCCATCAGCCCCCGTGGCTCCTCTGGGGGGGGCACTCTTCTGGCCATACGCCTCTTCCTATGTGATTTACACGCCACCCATGACCTGCCTGCTCCCAGCCAGGGAACTCCAAGAGAAGAATTCCCTGGTCACTTCTGTGTTCTCACTGCCCAGTGCGAGCAGCAGCAGGGGGTCTTTGGAGAGGAGTCAGCTGTGCCCATCCTTTGATGGAATTCTGTTTCCCTGGCCTTGTCCTTGTTAAGACCTCAGTCAAGGAGCCCAGAGAATGTGGGTGCATGGAGAGGCCACCTTCTGGGTCATGTGATCCTGGTCCTGGCCCCACCAATGAGATGCTTGTCTTCAGTGGTCCTGTTCAATGTTTAGGGCTGCGACAGACCAACACCTCTCAGACCAGGTCTCAGAGGCCGTTTGTCACCATGCCTCATCAAGCCGTTCACTTGTTCCCCTCATGGAAAGGGTCCGTCTGCTCTGGTACCTCTGGCACCTGTGCATCAGAAGCAGCTGGAAGCTGGCCAGGCCATGCACTGATGGCAGGAGCTAGACCAGCAGTTCCCAAAGCATGTTCTCACACACTGCTCCATCATAGACTTCATCATGCCCTAAGGAGTGGGGAAAAGCTTTGTCCACATCCCTTGTGGGTGATCCCAGGGATTCCCAGCACAAACAAGGCATCTTTTTCCTGTTGAAATGCCTTTTCCACACTTACTTAACCTCCAGAATCCTCCACAACCCTGTTTGCTTTTGGCTGAGCTGGTGTTCCATGGGACACTCTTTGGGGATCCTTGGTCTAGCTGATCCCTACCATCTCCAAGGGAGACCACAAATTCTCAACAGGTCACTGGGGGCCGTGTGAAGTCAACATGTACTGAACTTACAAGGGGTCAGAGAAGAGCCAGGGAATGAGCTAGTTTGTTCCCTTCCTTTAACCCAGAAGGATGACGGGGCTGGGTGCCATTAGTCCTGTTCACAGCTGGAGAAATTCTGACTTCTCTCATTCACTCAACAAATGTTTGCTGAATATCTTTCCTATTCCAGACCCGGGGTTTTCATCTTTTATTTAGTGAACAACCTGGTAGCTCTTCTTTTTTTTTTTCTTTAACTTTATTTTTGACACAATTTCAGACTTAGAAGAAAGTTGCAAAAAGAGTATAACATTCCCACACGCCCTCACCCAGATTGCACAAATGTTAACATGTTATGACATTTGCTTTATTGCTTTCTCTCTTTCACTTCTATTTTTTTCTAAACACTTTGAGAGTAAGTTGCAAACATGATGTTCCTTTACCCCTAAATAATGCAGTATGTGGTTCCTAAAACCAGGACATCTGCTTACATAACTACAGTACAACTGTCGAAATCAGGAAATGAACGCAGATACAATGCCATTATCTACAGATCTTACTCAGATTTTGCCAGGAGCCACAATGATGGCCTTTGTAGACAATGACAATTTCAGACCACGTGTTCTATTCAGACGTCATGTCTTGCCTCCTTAATGTGAAACAGCTTTTCAGTCTTTTTCTGATGTTTTTAAAGAATACAGGCCTGTTATTTTGTAGAATGTGCTGTAAGCTACTCTAAGTTTTTTTAAAATCTGAATAAGATGCATTTCAAAGCTTCATATTATACTGGTAATTTAGTCCTATAAGCAAAAATTGCCTCCTTTCTCCTCCCCTCTCTCCCTCTCTCTCTGTTTCTTCCTGTAGTTCTTCTCCCTGACTTTATGAGAGTGCCCTGAGTGTATGTTGGGCACTCTGGGGAGCACTGAGGTTGTACAGAATCAGTGGGAGTTTACAATGTGGAGAGATTGGATTGGTTCTGTCTGCAGCTGTCACAGGGGACTTCATAAGGGAGGGGACATTTGGAATGGGGCTTTGAAGGCTGCCTAGGAGCTCACTGTCCTAGGACACCATTACTTGTTTGCATCTGTTTCAGCCTTTCCTGCTTCTGGGTATCTGCCCCTGGCCAGACAAGGCACCCCTTGAGGTCAGGATCTGGTTTTTTTTTTTTTTTTTTTTTTTTTTTTTTCAGACAAAGTCTTGCTCTGTCACCCAGGCTGGAGTGCAGTGGTGTGAACTCGGCTCACTGCAACCTCTTCCTCCTCTGTTCAAGTGATTCTCCTGCCTCAGCCTCCCGAACAGCTGGAATTACAGGCTCATGCCACCACGCCTGGCTAATTTTTGTATTTTTGTAGAGATGGGGGTTTCACCATGTTGGCCAGGCTGGTCTTGAACCCTTGACCTCAAGTGATCCGCCCACCTCAGCCTCCCAAAGTGCTGAGATTACAGGTGTGAGCCACCATGCCTGGACTTTTTGTTGTTGTTGTTGTTGTTTTTAAATCTCTGTCTCTACCCCTGGGCAGAGAGTAGTGCTCCGAGACTATCTGTCTGTCAAATCAAGGAATGGAAATGTGCTTAGTGTGAAATGCTGACTTTGCAAATATGTTGTTTTGAATAAAGCACTTTATTTTTTCCAGGTTGGAAAGTGCGATTTTTCTCAATGAGGAAGAAAAGTCATTCTTCAGCGAGGGCTGCTTTTCTGAGGAGGATGCCAGGCAGTTGCTGAGGCGGATGTCGGGCACCGATGTCTGCAGCGTGTACAGCCTGGGTGCGTGTGGGCGATGCCTGTGGTGGGGCCACTGCCCTCCCCTTTCCCTTCTGCAGCCCCTGCTGCCCTCGTCCATCCACAGATAGTGCCAGCCCCTGGATGCTGAAAGGTGAACAGACAGAGGCTGCCGCTGCCTCCAGGGCACATAGGGGCTGCAGACAAGCCAGACAGGAGAGAGGATGGGTGAGGAGCTGAGGGCGTGGGAATGTGGCCCCTGAGACTCCTGTGGGCACCAGGGAAGCCCTTCCTGCCCTGACCCCAGGCACCTGCCTGAGACGCTGGGCGAGGGAGAGGGTATGGGTCTGGTTCTAATTTGCCAGCCCTGAGGGCTCCTGTTTGGGGCCCAGCCCTCTGCCCACTGCACTTTGCCTGGGTGAGAGTGACTTTTCTCCTTGTCACAAGAGAAAGAACCCAGACTGTGGTGTGGCCTGGTCACCTGGCTGCCAGGGAGTGTCATGGTGGGACCCCAGGGCTGCCGTCTCCTAAGGACAGAGATAGTCCCTCTGACCTCAGTGCCCCTCTGTGTGCAAAAGCTTTCTCTGGGGGCTGCAGTGCAACGCATAGATGAAGTTGGCATGTCATCCACAACATAAAGAAACATGGCAGAGGCCGTGCTATCTGCTGGGTGTAGATAAACACAAATGTGTGGCTACACACCCACTTTTTTTTTTTTTTTTTTTGAGACAGAGTCCTGTGCTGTTGCCCAGGCTGGAGTGCAGTGGCATGATCTCGGCTCACTGCAACCTCTGCCTCCCGGGTTCAAGCGATTCTCGTGTCTCAGCCTCCCAAGTAGCTGGAACTACAGGCACGCGCCACCACACCCTGGATTAGTTTTGCATTTTTTTATACAGACAGAGTTTCGCCATGTTGGCCAGGCTGTTCTCGAACTCCTGAGCTCAGGTGATCCGCCAGCCTCAGCCTCCCAAAGTGCTGGGATTACAGCTGTGAGCCACTGTGCCCAGCATCTACACACCTACTTGTATACCTATGTGCACATGTACAAACACAGACATAAACACACAAATACGCATGTAAATACACACTGTGTGCATGCACACATGCACTCACAAGTATACACACACACACACCCACCCATGCAGACATGTGTGCACATGTGCCTGCAGAGGTGTATACACACATACACACATGTGCATGCACCTTCCTCACAAGGTGTACACGCACACGTACATACATATCCATGCACCCCCTCACACACATATGCACACACATATATAAACAGATACATTTCCACACACACTTTTTTCCTGCTTGCTCGATGACATGCATTACAAGACCTTTTCTCCCACCAGTATTAGAGTTAACATTTGTAGATCCCACAAATCAACTTCCCTTCCTGAATGGACAAACTTAGACTTGACCTCAGCATATCAAGGCTCAGACCCCCTGGATGGTATCTCCTGTCCTTTTTAGGAAGCAGGTTTGGGACCCTCCACACCGTGGGGTGTTGTGGGCAGGGGCATTGCAGGGTGCAGGTGTCATAAGTGGGGGTGTTGCAGGATGCAGGTGTTGTGAGATGGAGGCATTGCAGGGTGCTCCCCAGAACTGCACACCTGTTATCGCAGTTCACAGCGCTTGACGCTGTCCACATCTCCACATCTTTTTACAGCTATTTCTCACTTGACCTCCACGGAAACCCAGTAAGCAGTTAGTGTCAGCCACTTTACGGGGGTGAAACTGAGACCCGGTAGCTGCCTGCCCTGGGATGAAGAGGGTGGGGGTGCACTGGAGCAGTGTTGATCCCTGGGCTGTCGGACTCAGAGCTGCTGCCTGTTCAATGCGCCCTGCTCCCTGATGGAGCTGATGGAAGCCGAGAGCGTGCTCCCCACTGATGATGGGAGGATGTCCCCAGAAGACGGGAGAGTGGAATCCCCACAGGGGTTGGGTGGGGTGGAGGCCTGGAGATGCTAGAACATGAGAATTCTCTGGCCCATTGGCTGGTGCCTCTCCCTCAGGTGTCAGCAGTGCTCCTATGCTGGTTGCACCTGACCCTGCAACACCTCAGCCTGCAACACCTGCACCCTGCAACACTCCAGCCCGCAACACCAGCACCCTGCAACATCTCAGCCCTCAATACCTGCACCCAGCAATGCTCTCACCCTGCAACATCGACACTAGCTCAACCTGGCAGGGGACCAGAGGTACTGGCTGGGGGTGTTGATTGCTTCTCTTTTCTCCCTTGCCAGACTCAGTAGAGGAAGCTGAGACCGAGCAGCCGCAGGAAAAAGGTGGGTTTTGCCAGTGGCTCAGGCTTCCTCTGGTTATGAGCTGGGCCTTGGGGTAACGCTGGGGGAGGTGACAAAGCTGAGCACGGTGGGCATTGGGTGCGGCTGTCACCCCTCTGTGGTGTGGGCTGGGGGCTTGGGGGAGGTTGCCTGAGGTGGGCCTGAACCTCCCGTCCACTGTGGCACTGGAGGCCGTGGGGTCCCGCACTTCTTCCAATGAACATGCTGGCCCCCGCCTGGTCCCCGCCCAAGATGGAGCATCCTTTCCACTGCTTGGGTCCACTTGTAGCTGTGGGTTCCTTTCTCATGACCTGGAGAAGCTGCAGCTTGCCCTCTGCTCTGCCTCAGAGATGGGAGGCCACACTGCCCTCAGTGGGTGGCAGAATTCAGAGCCTTAGGTTGCAGGGGCCTCAACTGAGGTCCCTCAAGGGTCTGCTCCTTCCTGAGGGGCTGATTGAGGGAGACCCTTCCATCTCCCCTCTACAGCTCTGTCTCTTCCCCTCACACAGGGTCCGCATGGGGAGAGCCTGGGGATGTGGACACCCCAAGAGCCCTCGGAAGTTCCCTGGGAATGGGATCCATTCCAGTACATTTGGGATGCAGGCAGGAGGTCCCAGAGGAGGCCTGGAAGCCAGTGGGGAAGGGAAGGCTGTTGTAGGTTTTCCTGGGGGAGGGGGTGGATCCACCCTCTGCCGAAGTCCCTGGAGCAAATGCGAGTGACTCCAGCTGCCCCCAAGGCCAGGGTAATAGCTGGGAGGGGCTGTTTGCCTCTGCCGGGCAGGGAGATTTCTTAGCTAATCTAGTGTAGTCAAGTCACATTTGCCTCTAAATCATATGTAATTTTTTTTTAATTCCAAGGCTTTACAGATGAATAAGGAGACAGTTTGTAGTGAAAATATTTTTTACATGTGAGCTTGAAACAGAGAGTCTATTTAAATCTAGATTCTTTCCTTCCCAGTAATGTCTCCTTTCGTCCCAGGTTTTCCAACAGGAAATGCGCTTGTTTGCTCACCTCTGGGAGGGGGCTTTGGCTGGGAATCCACCAAAGCCAGCAGGCGCCAGCAGGCTGCGTGGGCAGCCTGGCCTTTGTTAACCCTTTAGGAACTGCGGGCTTCAGGTTTTCAGACCATCCAAGGTGAAGGTGGTCACAGGAGCCTGGAAGCTTTCCCATCCTTCCTGCAGGGATGGTCCATTTCCCTGCATGGAGCTGGGTACATGGCTACAACATCCCTGTCCTCTGCTGTGGGTAGCTTTACCAATTTTGCATAGCAGCTTTTGAGCTGATCAGTAGCTCTGACTGGCTGTTGAGGATTTCATGGATTCCTGTACCCCATCGAGGGGCCCAGTATGCTGACAAAAATTACATTTGTAGTCGTAGTGCTGCGTACACTTGGGTGCAGTTAGAAGGCTTTGATTCTTTCTAAAGGGAAAGGCATCTCTGAGGGATCACTGAGCTGACACATAGTCTCCTAAAACCATGCTGTCAGGTGGGCAACAAAGGAGGACAGGAGGGTGATTTCATAGGAGAGTTGGGCCATGGGCCTGTGTTTTCCCTGTCCCCACAGTGCCGGAGTTCCTATGTGCTCCAGGCCCTGGGTTTGCATTGCACATAATTCTCAAGGGCTCATGGCAAGCCGGTAGGGTGGTATCGTCTGGAAAGTGCTGCGCCGGGGACACAGAGGCTGGGGATGAGGGGACCCTGCCCCCAGTGGACCCAGGACTCACTGCTGGACTCTAATCTGTCTAGGTGTTTTTGTGACTTGCAGAAATACCTCCACCTTGCCTGAGCCTGGAGCCACAGGAGACCTTGCAGAAGGTGAAGAATGTTCTGGAACAATGCAAGACCTGCCCAGGCTGCCCCCAGGAGCCAGCGTCCTGGGGTCTCTGTGCGGCATCCAGCGACGTGAGCTTGCAGGACCCCGAGGAGCCCTCCTTCTGCTTGGAAGCCGAGGACGACTGGGAGGACCCAGAGGCCCTGAGCTCACTGCTGCTGTTCCTGAACGCCCCTGGGTACAAGGCCAGCTTCCGTGGCCTGTACGATGTGGCGCTGCCGTGGCTGAGCAGCGTGTTCCGCAGCTTCAGCGACGAGGAGGAGCTGACTGGGCGCCTGGCACAGGCCCGGGGGGCGGCCAAGAAAGCTGGCCTCCTCATGGCCCTGGCCAGGCTCTGCTTCCTCCTGGGGCGGCTGTGCAGCAGGAGGCTCAAGCTGTCCCAGGCCCGGGTGTACTTTGAGGAAGCGCTGGGGGCCCTGGAGGGCAGCTTCGGGGACCTGTTCCTAGTGGTGGCTGTGTACGCCAACCTGGCCAGCATTTACCGGAAGCAGAAGAACCGGGAGAAGTGTGCACAGGTGGTGCCCAAAGCCATGGCCCTGCTCCTGGGGACGCCTGACCACATCTGCAGCACCGAGGCGGAGGGGGAGCTCCTGCAGCTGGCGCTGCGGCGGGCGGTGGGTGGCCAGAGCCTGCAGGCCGAGGCCCGGGCCTGCTTCCTGCTGGCCAGGCACCACGTGCACCTCAAGCAGCCCGAGGAGGCCCTGCCCTTCCTAGAGCGGCTGCTGCTTTTGCACAGGGACTCGGGAGCCCCAGAGGCCGCGTGGCTCTCAGACTGCTACCTACTCCTGGCTGACATCTACAGCCGCAAGTGCCTGCCCCACCTGGTGCTGAGCTGTGTCAAGGTGGCCTCATTGCGGACACGGGGCTCGCTGGCCGGCTCGCTGAGGAGTGTGAACCTGGTGCTCCAGAACGCCCCCCAGCCCCACAGCCTCCCTGCCCAAACTTCCCACTACCTCAGGCAAGCGCTGGCCTCCCTGACCCCGGGCACAGGCCAGGCGCTGCGCGGCCCCCTCTACACCAGCTTGGCCCAGCTGTACAGCCACCATGGCTGCCACGGCCCGGCCATCACCTTCATGACGCAGGCAGTGGAAGCCAGTGCTATTGCCGGAGTCCGTGCCATCGTGGACCACCTGGTGGCCCTGGCCTGGCTGCACGTGCTTCATGGGCAGAGCCCGGTGGCCCTGGACATCCTGCAGTCTGTCCGGGATGCAGTGGTGGCCAGCGAGGACCAGGAGGGCGTGATTGCCAACATGGTGGCCGTGGCTCTGAAGAGGACGGGCCGGACGAGGCAGGCAGCTGAGAGCTACTACCGCGCCCTGCGGGTGGCTCGGGACCTGGGCCAGCAAAGGAACCAGGCAGTGGGGCTGGCCAACTTCGGGGCCCTGTGCCTGCATGCGGGTGCCAGCAGGCTGGCCCAGCACTACCTCCTGGAGGCCGTGCGGCTGTTCTCGAGGCTGCCCCTTGGGGAGTGTGGCCGGGACTTCACCCACGTGCTCCTGCAGCTGGGCCATCTCTGCACCCGCCAGGGCCCGGCCCAGCAGGGCAAGGGCTACTACGAGTGGGCCCTTCTGGTCGCCGTGGAGATGGGCCACGTGGAGAGTGAGTGCCCCAGTTCCTTCTGTGTGCCTTCCGGGGCCACTCGGGTCAGGGCACACCTGGGGTTTGTGATTCAGACACAAGCGGTGGTTTTTCCACCATCGAAAGTGCTGAGTCATGGCAAACAGCAGATGTTGGCAAGCGCCCTGGAGACAGGCAGTTCCCACGCAGGGCCAGGCCCTCTCTGCCCTACTGGGGGAGCCAGCTCCTCCCGGTTTGCCCAGGGACCATCCTGCCTTGAGCACTGAAAGTCCTGCATGCTGGGAATCCCTGAAGTCTGGGCAACGGGCGGTGGGTCACCCTAGACATAACCCTGGAAGCGAGGCAGGCTCCGCTGAGCTGGGACTTGGGGCCCCTCCATGAGCCAGGCCCTGAACGCCGGTGCTTGTGCCCATGTTATCTGCTTGACATCTCGGCAGCCCTGTGCACCTGTCATCCCACTTCACAGAGGACGCAGGGGCGGGTGGTTACCCAAAGCCGCAGAAAAGTTTATGCAAAAGCAGCTCGTTGTGCAGAGTGTGCCACGTCCCACCCACAAATGGGGCTTGTGGGGTCCTTGGGTGGCAGGGGCTGAGCATGGGAAAGTGAGCTTCAGGCCAGAGAAGCCACAAAAGGGTGAGTGGTGTGATGGCGGGGCAGCTCTTGGCCCCGGGTTAGGGAAGCCTCTTTAGTCTGGGGCCAGAGGGTTGAGAAGATTTAGTCAAGTAATACGTGGTGGGTGAGGGGCTGGTGGTGTAGCCTGTGTGAAGGCCCAGGGGTGAGCGAGTAGGGGTGAGTGAGTGGGGGTGTGATGGGGGTGAGTGAGCAGGGGGTGAGTGAGTGGGGGTGTGATGGGGGTGAGCAGGGGGTGAGTGAGCGGGGGTGTGAGCGGGTGAGCGGGGATGAGTGGGGTGTAAGTGGGGGTGAGTGAGCAGGGCCTATGCAGGGAGGTGCAGAGTTGGGCGTGGGTTGGTTGGGTGCTGGATGGTGAGAAGCTCTGCTGGAGAGCTAAGCAGGGCCTGGGGCCTCAGGCTGTGGCTTGGCCTTTTCCCTAAGGGCACTGGGGAGCCATCTGCCCAAGGAGGAGTGGGGGGGTTCAGACCCAGGCTTCTTCCCCAGGGCCATTCTCTGACTGCAAGGAGACCCTCCAGAAACCCGGCACCCCAGCCCCCACAGCAGCCTCCGGTGGGTCCTGGCACAATAGCCTGTGGCACCTCCTACGAGGCCCTCCCCGGGGTGCTGGGGGATTCAGACTTGGAAACGCAGGCCAGGGAACGAGGATCATGCTTCCCTGTCTCCCCACCCCGCGTTGAACAGTCGAGGAGACCGGGGGCCAGGGGACGAGGATCATGCTTCCCTGTCTCCCCACCCCGCGTTGAACAGTCGAGGAGACCGGGGGCCAGGGGACGAGGATCATGCTTCCCTGTCTCCCCACCCCGCGTTGAACAGTCGAGAAGACCGAGGGTGGGGCTGATACCCCACATGCTTACTTGTGGTCATTTTTGAGTCACTTTTGGTAGTTTGTGTCTTTCTAGGAGTTTGGCTGTTGCGTCTAGATGATCTGATTTGTTGGCATACAATTGTTCGTAGTGTTCTCATGGAATCCTTTTATTTCTGTCAGGTCAGCAATAATGTTCCCTCTTTCATTTCTGATTTTAGAAACTTGGGTTTTTAATTTTTAATTTATTTATTTTTATTAGAGATGGGGTCTCGTCATGTTCCCCCAGGCTGGTCTTGAATGCTGGCCTCAAGCGATCCTCCCACCTCGGCCTCACAAAGTGCTGGGATGACAGGCGTGAGCCATGGTGCTCGGTCTCTGATTTTAGTCATTTGTGTCCCATCTTTCTTTTCTTGGTCAGTCTGGTGAAAGATTTGTCAATTTTGTTAATATTTTTGAAAAACCCACCTTTGGGTCTGTTGATTAGCTCTTTTGTTTTTCCATTCTCTGTATTTTTACTTCCCATTTCCACTCTCATGTTTATTATTTTCTTCCTTTTACTCGCTTTGGGTTTAGTTCATTCTTCTTTTTCTAGTTTCTTAAGGTGGAAGGTTGGGTTTTTGATTTGAGATTTTTCTTCTTTCTTTGCATGTAGACATTTAGAGTTACACATTTCCCTTTCAGCACTGCCTTAGCTGCATCTTGGAATTTTTGATATGCTGTGCTTTTTTTTTTTTTTTTTTAGACAGAGTTTTGCTCTGTTGCTCAGGCTGGAGTGCAGTGGTGCAATCTCGGCTCACTGCAACCTCTACCCGGGTTCAAGCCATTCTCCTGCCTCGGCCTCCTGAGTAGCTGGGATTACAGACATGCACCACCACACCCGGCTAATTTTTGTATTTTTTTGTAGAGACGGGGGTTTCACCATGTTTCCCAGGCTAGTCTCAAACTCCTGGACTCAAGCGATCCTCCCGCCTCGGCCTCCCGCAGTGCTGGGATGACAGGCATGAGCCATTGCTCTGGCCCGTGCTGTGCGTTTGTTTTCATTCTTCTCAAATTAGTTTTCAGTTTCCCTGATGGTCTCTTCTTTCACTCACTGGTTGTTTAGGAGTGTGTCATTTCCACATATTTTTGACTTTCCCAAATTTCCTTCACTGTTGATGTCCAGTTTCACGCCAGTACAACTGAAGAACACTCCTGCTTTGGTCTCAGTCCTTTTCCATTCACTGAGGCTCATTGTGGGGCCTGGCACGTGGCCTGTCTTGGGGAATGTCCCATGGGCGCTTGAGAGGACTGTGTATTCTGCCGTTGTTGGGTGGCGTGTGTGATAGATGTCCACTCGGCGTACCTGGTTTCTGGTGTTCATCTCCGGAATGTTGCTGACACTAGAAAATCAGCAGCTTTCCACCGTTCCCAGCGCCTTGGCTTTGGGAGAGGCCCGTGAGCCTGTGGGTTTGGAGCCTGGCTGCACGGGAGGAGCACGTGTGGGAATGCCAGGGGCCGGCTTTGAGCCCCATTCCCCCAACATGATGCCGTGTGTGGCAGACGTGACATTTGGTTTTGCTCCCCCAGGGTTCCATCTGCGACAGGGGCTACTTGTGTCCCTGGCCTCGTCAGCTCGGGCTGAAGGCGGCCCTGGTCCTGGCCAGAGGGGCTTTGTGAAGCAGAAATAGATGGCCTGGTGCAGGGGCCAAGCTCGGCTAGGGCCTCAGCCCTGGGAGTTGTAAAGAAGGCCGGCCTCTACCATGGGCATCTGCACCAAGCTGTGCCCATGTCACGGTGTGCTCAGCGGTTCCCCGCCTGTGGGGCCCAGGCTCACAGAGGTGTGAAAGAGGCAAGCACACCGCAGGGGCCTCTGAGCCCAGCCAGCCTCGCTTCAATGCTGGGAGGCTGACGTCTTCCTTTTTGTCTTCTGCCCAGGCCAGCTGCGGGCCGTCCAGCGGCTG
The DNA here is from genome assembly GCF_000001405.40 of Homo sapiens. Taxonomy (NCBI): domain Eukaryota; kingdom Metazoa; phylum Chordata; class Mammalia; order Primates; family Hominidae; genus Homo; species Homo sapiens. The sequence goes on from NC_000004.12 coordinate 8,232,002, forward strand.
TGCCACTTCTACAGCGCCGTCATGCCCAGCGAGGCCCAGTGTGTCATCTACCATGAGCTCCAGCTCTCCCTGGCCTGCAAGGTGGCCGACAAGGTGCTGGAGGGGCAGCTCCTGGAGACCATCAGCCAGCTCTACCTGTCCCTGGGCACCGAGCGGTGAGGGCTGGCTCTGTGGTGGTGGGGGCGGGGGGAGGGGGCAAAGGGGGCGGCGGGGCGGGGGCACAGGGAAGCTGGCCCAGGGCCCCAGCAGCCCCTCTCCTTGGGATCATTTGGTTCCTTGGCATCGGATGCTCTGAGCTGGGGGGCCTGGGGTTGTCCCAGGGCTGCTGATGACCCGTGAGTCCCAGCTTGAGCTTCCCTTGTTGGGTGACACGTCTTCCCATCCCTGCTTGCACACCTCCCCAAAGGTCATCTCAACCCCAGCAGAAGCAGTTACATGCATTCTGGGCTGTTCTTCCTACCTGGTGGCTTTTGTCATCTGACCTCTGCCTGCCCCGAGTCTTCACTCCTGGCCTTCACCTGTCCCCTTAAATGTGACCACAGCAGCCACCTGTGGCTTCTCTCCCACAGAAGACAGAGCCAGTTGTGTCACCTGCTTCCCTGGGGCAGGGTTTCAAGGTCTCACATCCCACATGTGGCCCACTTGGCTCTCCTGGAGCATCCTGACCTGGTGGGGTAACCATGGCCCTGGCCACCCCACCCACAGGGCCCAGTGACATTGCTGCACTCACACCCCTTCGACTCACCAAGAGAGCAGGGAAGGAGCCGGATTCCACAGGGACCCGGGAGATCGGCTCCAGCCTTGGCCTCAGGTTCACAGCAGGAAAATGGGCCAGTGTGTTAGAGCCATGTTCTCAAAGTGTGGTCCCTGGACCAGCAGAGCAGCATCCATGTCACCTAGGAGCTTGTGGCAAGTGGGAGTTCTAGGGCCCGCCCCAGGCCCGTGGAGCCAGAAGCTCTGGGGGCAGGCCAGCAAGCTATATGGACAGGCCTCTGGATGACTGTGATGCCTGCGCACCTTGAGAACCATCGGCCTGGATAGCATCTGAACACTGATGGCTCCTGGTGCGTCTAGAGAAGACACAGGCCATGTCTGGGACGCGGGGGAGATGGACTAGCACGCTCCCCCAGCCACAGGGCAGCATGATGCCCAGTTCCCTCAGAAGGATGTCCTTCGTCTTTTCCTTGCCGTGTGTGTTCAACCCCACCCTCTCAGCAGCCCGGGAAGGGCAGGACACTGCACACACAAGAGGGCCGTTCCCAGTCCCATTCCAGATTCATCTGTCACCAGACCCACGGGAGGAGGCAGACTGGTTCCAGGAGGATGACAGCCCTTGTTCTGACACCTGTGTCTGATACCAGGGCCTACAAATCCGCACTGGACTACACCAAACGAAGTCTGGGGATTTTCATTGACCTCCAGAAGAAAGAGAAGGAGGCGCATGCCTGGCTGCAAGCAGGGAAGATCTATTACATCTTGCGGCAGAGCGAGCTGGTGGACCTCTACATCCAGGTGAGTGATGAGGGATGCAGGAGGGCCTCTGCACATGTTCACTCTCCATCCATCCATCCGTCCATTGATGATGATGATAGATGATCCTTCCATCATCTATCCATTTACCTGTTCATCCTTCCTTCCATCCATCCATCCTTCCATCATCTACCCATTCACCTATGGGTCCTTCCATCCATCCATCATCCATCCATCCATCCTTCCATTATCCATCCATTCACCTGTTCATCCATCCATCCATCCATCATCCATCCATCCTTCCATTATCCATCCATTCACCTGTTCGTCCTTCCATCCATCCATCATCCGTCCATCCATCCATCAGGCATCCATCCTTCCATCATCCATCCATTCACCTATCATCCTTCCATTCATCCATCCATCATCCATCCATCCATCATTCATCCACTCTTTTGTCATCCATCCAATCACCCATCAATCCATCCATTCACCTGTTTGTCCATCCATCCATCCATCATCCATCCATCCTTCCATTTATCCATCCATCATCCATCCATCCATTCATCCATCATTCATCCATCCTTTTATCATCCATCCATTTATTCATCCATCATTCCATCATCCATCCATTCACCTGTTGATCCTTCCATCATCCATCCATTTATCCATTCATCCATCCATCCATCCTTCCATCATCCATCCATCCATCATCCATCCATTCATCCATCCACCATCCACCATCCTTCCATCATCCATCCATTCACCCATCCATCCATTCACCTGTTTGTCCACCCATCCATTTATCCATCCATCATTCATCCATCCACCCACCCATCTACCCATTAATCCATCCCTCCATTCGTCTGTCTGTCCATTTGTTTATCCATACATTCGTCTATCCACCCATCTATCCATCCATATGTACATACATACATCATCCACCCTCCACCCATCCATCCATACATTATCCACCCACCCATACATACACACATCATTCAACCCATCCATCCATCCATCCACCCATCCATCCATTCATCTGTCCATCCGTCCGTCCATCCATCCATCCACCCACCTATACATCTGCTCATCCATTTATCCATCCATCCACCCATCCATCCATCCATCCATCCATGTACCTATACATCTGCTCATCCATTTATCCATCCATCCACTCATTCCTAAGCCACTGCTGAGCACCTGTTGTATGCCTTTCCCCTCTCTCCCACTGGTTCCCTCATATCCTCCCCCAATGGCCAGCATCTTCTCCCTGAGGGCAGAGGCACAGCCCCTCACAGTGCCCAGCACCTGCTGGTATACAGCACATGCTCAAATAATGTGGCCTCTCAGTTAACATACAGAAGAACTTGCTCCAAGCGACATGTGGCAAATCTCCTTACAAAATGCATCTGTCATAGCAGCAGTTTCCAGAGGCTTTCCCAAACACAGTGTGATCTGGAACAAACTGGGAAGCCCAAGAGCCTGGTGAAGCTTTTGTTTTTGAGCACCTGCTGTATACTTCCTTGAGCTGAGGAGAAGGATCAAGAGCTCATGGCCAAGAGGGGACCAGCCCACCCACAAACACTGTTGATGTGGGGTCCTGAGCTGTGGCAGGGATGTGGCAACTCAGAAAGGAGCCAGGGGATGGGCTCCCAGCAATCTGGGGGCCATGGAGGCTGGTTTGAGTGCAGGGGGAGTGGGCTAGGGCTAGCCCTGGTGGCAGGATTCACAGATGTCGGGCTCCTGGGCTGCAGCTGCACAGTCACCTCCTGGCACTCGGGTGCATGAGATCATTGTCCCCATGCCAGCGGTGGGGGCGGCCCTAATGCACAGGGTCTGAAAAAGGCTCAGTTGCACCTGCAGTGTGTGAGAGGAAGGAGGCTGGGCGGGGGAGTCCGACCTGGGTGGGCGTGGCCACCTCACCAGGTGTGGGTCTTGAGGGAACTTCTGCCTCCTTTCAGGTGGCACAGAACGTGGCCCTGTACACAGGCGACCCCAACCTGGGGCTGGAGCTGTTTGAGGCGGCTGGAGACATCTTCTTCGACGGGGCCTGGGAGCGGGAGAAAGCTGTGTCCTTCTACCGGGTGAGCTGGCCTGTGGGCTGATGTGGGTGGGCCCCAGGGGGGGCACCTTGAGGGCTGAGGCACAGGTGTGGCAGGGCAGAGCCCTCGCACCTGGAGGCAGGGCCGCCCATGCACATGCTTAGTTTCCTAGTGGTTTCACCGGGAATGATATTGACTGTGCCCCCCGCCCGGGACAAACACTTGGGGCCTGGACACAGCAATGGCCTTACCCTTGCACCCGATGATCTCAAGCAACCTTGAGTGGGAAGTCCTGTCCCCATCTTACAGATGAGGAAACTGAGGCTCAGAGAGGCACAGGGACACGTCAAAGGACACACGGCATGCCAGTGGGAGGCCCAGGGCCAGGGCCCAGGTCTGCATGCACCCCGAAGCGGGGACGGCTTCCCCCTTCCTCTGAGCTCATGGTGTGGCTCAGCCCTGGGCACAGATAAATGTCGTGTTTTTAGAGCAGAGAGGAGTGCAGGCTCCCCCCAGTCAGACCCCTGGTGCCCAGGCGGGAGGGGCTGGTTTGAGGCTGCCGGGTGTAGCTGGATGGGCCTCAGGTGACTCTTCAGCCCCTAGCTTGGGTGTCTGAACCGCCCTTTATCTCAGAGCACACAGCTGTGTCGAGGCCCAGGGGTAGCTGGGGCGTGGGAAGCTCCGAGCACATGTTTGAGCTCTGAGGAGGGCGCTGGGCAAGGTGGGTGCTGCGGGAAGCCTGACCCCACCTGCCTGTGTGGCAGGACCGGGCCCTGCCCCTGGCAGTGACTACGGGCAACCGCAAGGCGGAGCTGCGGCTGTGCAACAAGCTGGTGGCACTGCTGGCCACGCTGGAGGAGCCCCAGGAGGGCTTGGAGTTTGCCCACATGGCCCTAGCACTCAGCATCACCCTGGGTAAGCCCCCTGAGCCCCTGCCCTGCCAGGACCCACACTTTGCCAGAGCTCAGCCTCCAGGTCTGCAGGGCAGGAGCCGAAACAGCTGCCGGATTTTCCTGGTCTCCTGTCCAGGCAGGCACATCTGCCCAGCTGGCTCCCCCGTCCGGCCGTGGGGCACAGCCCGAGGTCCTTCACTCAGTGCAGAGCTCCCTGCCTGGCTGAGCTCTGCTTCCTGTGCCTCTTCCCCCTGCTGACCACGAGGGCTGCCCAGTGTGCCCTCTGCCTTCCAGACATGCCAGACATCTCGTTGGTCCCTGCATGTGCCAGGCTGAGTGGCACATTCCCTTTCTCTTGTGCCCTTCCCACCCTCATCAACCACACGGCTCTGTGGCTGATGAAGTCCCAGTTCCCCTTCCAGCAGCCTGCCCCTTAATGCCGGGCATCCCCCGGTGCTGTGCCAGGGTCGTCTGTCCTCTAGAGAGAGGGAGCCCCAGACAGGCCACATGCCCCAGCGCCTTGTGGCCCAGGGCCTGGTACACAGGTGTGCAGCCGCGTGGGAATGCATTGAATGCAGGCTCCACAGCACTCACCCTGAAAAGGGGAGGACACCGGAGACAGCCTGGGTGGGCTCGCGCATCTGTGGGGGGACCTGGAGCTCAGGCACGCAGTGACTCCCCAAGGTAGGGGACTCTGATGATGACACACCCAGGAAGAGTTGGATGTCATGTCTGTGGGTTGCCTGGAGCCCTGGTGCCCAGGAGCGCGTGGGCTGCATGCCTTTTGGGCTCTCCTGGTTAAAAACAGTGAGCAAAGGCAGGTGGCTATATGTAGGCACAGAGCTGGGCCATCCAAGTCCGACTTTGCCAAAGCCTCACGGTAGATGGGGGCAGGCCTTATTAGTTCTGCTTTGTAGATGGGAAAGTGAGTCTGGGAGCTGGGAAGGGACTGGCCAGAACTGCCCAGGTGACCGCAGTGCCTGGAGGCGAGCCAGGTGCTGCCGGGGTCTGCATGCCTGCCCCGGGGAGCCACGTCCTCACACCTGCCCCCTTGGCCTGCACCCCAGGGGACCGGCTGAACGAGCGCGTGGCCTACCACCGGCTGGCCGCCCTGCAACACCGACTGGGCCATGGCGAGCTGGCAGAGCACTTCTACCTCAAGGCCCTGTCGCTCTGCAACTCGCCGCTGGAGTTTGACGAGGAGACCCTCTACTACGTGAAGGTGTACCTGGTGCTCGGTGACATCATCTTCTACGACCTGAAGGTGGGTGGGGAGGGGCTGGGCTCAGGGTGTTCCCGGCCCCCTTGGAGTGGGATCTCCACCCAGACCCCTGAGGCATGTGTTCCAGCCTTCCTTAAGAATGGCCCAGTGGCCTCCCTGGAGCGCTGCGCCCGGCTGGAGGAGCTGGCAAGGTTAGCAGACACAACCCAGCTCCCGAGCGGCCAGGCCTCACCCTCAAGAACTCAGCCTCAGCCAGGGAGGCTGATACATGAGTGGGCAATGGTGGCCTCTCGGTAAAGAAGGGGGATTGTAGTCAGGGGGGCCCTCCTGGAGAAGGGGACACCAAAGCTGAGTCTTGGCAGTCAAGTGTCAAGTTGTATCTAACAAAGAAAACAGGGTAGGGAGAAGGACATTTGGGGGGATGGCATCATCCTCACATTGAATCCATGTTGCAACATCCAACCCAAATCCTGGCGCCTCTGCTAGGAAGCCTGCCAGGGTGCCAGCCTGCACTGAGCAACTCCTTCCTGGAGTCCCGAGACACCTTGAATCTTCACATCACCCAGGCAGGGTGGGGCGGGGCCGGTGTCTTACCACCTGCTTCACAGACAGGGAAACCCCAGCTCAGGGCAGGTGCAGTGGGGCGGGGCCCCAGACAGCCAGGCTGAGGCCTTGCTGGTCGGGTCTGTCTGGAGAGGAGGTGCTGGGACCTGTGCTCCCTCTGCGCCCAGCCCTGCAGGGGTGGAGAACTGGGACCGGCAGACTCGGATCTGGGATGTCCCCACCCCCTTGCCCAGCAGGCGCCCGCCCCTACTCAGCATCACACTGGCACTGCATCGGTGCTCGTTGTGGGCTGGGGGGCCAGGGCGCTCCAGTCCAGGGACTGAGCTCTTGGGGGCCTTAGAACAACATGAGGAGCTGCGGCAACCCTAAGACCCCGCCCCGTATCCCCCGCGGCAGGCCTGGGGCTGCCAGGGAGGCCCCCGCCCGGTGCTGGGGACACCTGGTGGTCAGAAGCGGTCCCTGTGGCCTCCCAAGTCCCAGCCAGACGGGGAAGTGCCAGGTGTCTGGCCCAGAGGGACGCTGCTCACTGCTCAGGGGCTGGCCTGGGACCCAGGGGACGGGCCTTCCAGAGGGGACTTTATCTCTCTTAGTCATGCCTGCTGCCCACTCCGCCCACCCAGGAGGAAGGAAAGGACGAAGTAGTCCCTGAGAGGCCAAAGTCCATGGCTGGGGTCAAGGGGCACAGCCCTCTGGGCCTCATGGTGACTGTGCTGTCAGCGCAGGCCAGCTTCCCACAGGGAGGCCCCCTCGGAATTCCCCCAGGGCTGCTGTCTTTCCAAGGCCACACCCTCCTCCTTGTGTAGAGGTGCCGGATCCAGGGCCCAGAGAGGTGGCAGAGAAAGCCGGTTTGGATGGGGCCTGGAAGGCTGGCAGAGAGGCAGGGGTAAATGGGCATCTTTGCCGATTGCCTCTAAAATGGGGTCCCCTTTAGTCTACATGTGAGAGTGAGCCCTGGAATAGGGTGGATTAGGTGTGTCCTGGCTCAGCCTGCCACCCACTAGCTGCTGCACGCACTACAGGCACATGCAAATGCACATGCACGCTGCACGCACAGGGACACACACACACACACAGAGACACATGCACACACATGGACATGCACACATGAGCACACACAGGCACAGGCACAGAGACACATGCACACATGGACACGCACACGCAAATGCACACAGGCACACGCACACACAGGCACAGGCCCCATGTACACACAGGCACATGCACAAATACACAGGCACATGCACACACACGGACACGCACACGCAGATGCACACAGGCATATGCACACATAGGCACACACAGGCACACGCAAATGCACCCAGGCACATGCACACAGGCACACACACAGACATGCACACACACAGGCACATGCACACGCAAATGCACAGAGGCACACGCACACAGGCACGTGCACACACACAGGCATACACGGACACAGGCACATGCACACAGAGACACATATGCTTTGGCTGGCTCCTTCCTGTTTAGTTGGGATGCCACCCGCTTCAGGAAGCCCTTGCCTCCCACCCCAGGCTGAGTCTGGGGCCTCCTGGGCCCCCACAGGCTCCTGGGCTTGCCTCTGCCACAGCCCTGGCCACCCTGTGTGATCAGTGTTCACTCCCAGGTCCCCCAGAGGAGCAGGGACGTTAGGCTCAGCCATGCACCCGGCACAGAGTCCAGTGTTCGGTGGGGCTGGGGGGCGTTGGATGAGCAGTGATGTGACTCGGGCCCTTCTCGCACCCCTGCCCTGTGTGTGGGGCGGGGCCGTGAGGGCATGGGCTGCTGCATCTTAGACTTTGTCCTTGGCCCTGGGAGCCATCTTGAGATGGTAAAGGGGAATGGGCCAAGCTTGGGTCTTAGAGAGGTCCCTTGGGTGACCCCCATGTGGAGGAGGTGCCTGGGGAGAAGCTGGGTGGGGGATGGGAGGGTCAAGGAGGAGGTCTGGGAAGTGGCATCCCAACCCAGGGATGGTGAGTTTGAGCCACAGATGCATTGAAAATGGGAGTGGATGTCTGGGGCATCACACTCCGTCAATATTTCAGGGAAGATTCCCAGAGAGGACACCTGGGAGATGCTTTTATACCTGGCCCGGCCCATGGAGGGCCTGGAAATGGTCAGCATGGACAGGGGCCAGAGGGAAGCCTGGGTCACTCAACACTGTGCCCCTGCTGTGGCTGGGAGCCATGGGTCCTGCATGGAACTCTCAGAGCAGGCAGGATCCGCCCCAACCTCAGCCCACGGGGAAAGCAGCCACTGCCTGCAGAGAGGGTGGGGCTGGGACAGGAGGCTCGGGGTGAGTGGGGTGTAGGGACAATCAGGAATCCTTCCAGGGGGTGCCAGGGCCGTCTCCACCTCCTGCAGCTGAGCCCACAGCAGTGTCACAGGCTTCGGGGCTCATGGGGTGAGCCAGCATTGGCCGGACATGTGGAATGACCTGGGCACAGGAACGGCCTCTGGGGAGACTGGCTCCGAGTCCCCCTTTTGCTGAGCATGGCCTGTCCCCTTCAGGACCCGTTTGATGCAGCCGGGTACTACCAGCTGGCGCTGGCAGCCGCCGTGGACCTGGGCAACAAGAAGGCACAGCTGAAGATCTACACGCGGCTGGCCACCATCTACCACAACTTCCTCCTGGACCGTGAGAAGTCGCTCTTCTTCTACCAGAAGGCCAGGACCTTCGCCACAGAGCTCAACGTCCGCAGGGTCAACCTGCCTCCTCTGCCACTCTGCGGGTGGGCCCCCTGGTTGGCCCCCAGCCACCCTCGCTGAGGACAGCATCCAAGGGAGTGGGTTTTGTGCAAGGGCTGGGGGTCTCCTGCCTCTCCTGGTGTCGCCGGTGGCTCATTTTCTGGCAAATGGAGGCACGAACGCAGGGGCCAAATAGCAATAAATGGGTTTTGTTTTTTTTTTGCAATAACTTATTGAAGTCAGCAGGGCATCCTTCCCTAGTATGCTTCCTGGGGCGTGTCTAGGGGCCAGCTCCCTTCCCTGGGGGCAGCCCTGCTGCTATGTCCTGATCTTGGGTATGAGAAGGACCCCGAGTCCAACAGACCTGTGCCAGGTCACCATGAGCCTGGGTTTCGTTGGCGGCCAGAGGGGAGACGGTGGTGGAACTCCCTGGGCAGCTGCTCGGAGCTTTTGCCGTAGGTCTTGTGCCACCCTTGCCTTTAATCCTCAGGCCACTGTGCGCGGAGGTGGGGGCTGCTAGTGCCCCCATTCGCCAGTGAAGAAATAGAGACACAGAGAGGTTAACTGTCTGGCCCACCATCACACAGACGCAGAGCCCAGTGCGCTGACCACACCACCCTGCCGGCCTGCTGCCAGGAAGGTGCCCCCATTAGGACCCAAGGTCAGTTCCTGCACCTCTCTTGTGGTGTCAGGAGAGCCACAGGGCGGTGAGGGTGGCCCAGGGGATCCCCCACTAAGTGTCCTCTGGTCCCAGACTTGGCTGGGCTGAGCCTGACCAGTCCCACCTCCAGCCACTGGTCAGTCCTGTGGGAAGTGAGATGCAGGGATCTCTGCCTGTGTAGACGCTGCTGCCCAGTGTTGAAAGCCTTTTCTGGGCTGCCCCTCAGCCCTCCCCATGTACCCCTCCCCTTCCGGCCCCCGGCCCTCATCTCAGTCCCCAGGAATCCCAGGTTTTCCTTCTTGGAATCTCTTGGCCCCAGGAAACACGGCTCACACGGTCTCTTCGCCAGTTTACGGCAAGGAAACCGAGGTTCAGAGATTGTGGGTGCCCCACGTGATTCTCACAAACACTGCACTCTCCCAGGCCCCTCTTTTAAACACTTTTAAAATGAGGTGACATTCACATCGCATGAAATTAACTATTTCAACGTGAATAATGTGGTGGCATTTGTGCACTCACAGTGCTGTGCACCCACCCACACCGTCTAGTTTCAAAAGGCATTCATCTCCCCAGAAGAAACCTCCCGTCCTCATTAAGCAGTTACCCCTCCTTGGTATCCCCCAAGCCCCTCTCCTGGGGTCCGAAGAGGGACTTGCCAGTGAGCGGAGCTCTGATAATAAGGAATCAGGCACCCACTGCTGGTCCAGGCCTGGGTTGGTTTTCCACCCAGCAGAGGTGGCAGAGCCAGGAGGGTCTGGGAGCGCTACAGGGGAGCCCCATGCTTGCCGCCGGAGCCCTGCCCCGCCCCGAGCTTCCCCACCAGGGGGCAGCAGAGAGCTTTCCAGAACCCGCCGCGGGGCTGGAGGGAAGCAGTGGCTCAGAGCTGCTGACAAACCTCATGTTGACCCCAGACCGCTGTCTCTGTGGGTTGGGCTTGGGAATTGGAGAGGAGGCCGCATGATTGGAAACATGAAGACGGCACGGCCTGGCTGGAGCAGCGGGAAGCGTCGTCACGGTCACTGAGGACACAGACCTCCTGCCTGCCGGGCCGGGCCTGCAGCCATTCCTCTCGGGGTGGGGTCTGCAGTTCCGGGTTGCTCTCAGCCCCCGACCTGCCTCAGAGTCCTGGGGGCTTTGGGACTGTGCCTCCCCATTTCCACCCACCCTGGCTGGTGCCATCAGGGGCCTGGATCCTGGGATCCTGTTCCTCTCGGGCAGCAGAGCATGGGGGACCAGAGGAAACGGTGGGTCTTCAAGCCCCACATTCAAACCCCAGCCCACCACTCACAGTCTGGGGGTTCGGGGTGAGGGAGTTGATTTCTCTGAGCCCCAGTTTGGTCACCACTAAAATGAGACTGACATACTGGGGCAGAGTGCCAGCCCCAGGGCCAATAGAGGCCTGTTTCCTACTAACAATACTTCTTACTCCTAAGAAAAGCTCCAACAACCACACGCTATGGAACACTCAACCCAGGTCAACTTGTCAGAGACATGTGAACCAGAGCAGCTCCATCTTGAATGGGGGCTGGGTAAAGTGAGGCTGAGACCTGCCGGGCTGCATTCCCAGGAGGTTAGGCATTCTTAGTCCCAGGATGAGATAGGAGGTCGCACAAGATACAGGTCATGAAGACCTTGCTGATAAAGCAGTTTGCAGTAAAGAAGCCGGCCAAAGCCCACCAAACCCAAGGTGGCCACGAGAGTGACCTCTGATTGTCCTCACGGCTCATTATATGCTAATTAGAATGCATTAGCTGCTAAAAGACACCCCCACCAGCACCATGACAGTTTACAGATGCCATGACAACGTCTGGAGGTTACCTTATAAGGTCTCAAAAGGGAGGGGAGAAACTCTCAGTTCTGGGAATTGCCCACCCTTTTCCTGGAAAACTCATGAATAGTTCACCCCTTGTTTAGCATATGATCAAGAAATAACCATGAAAATGGGCAACCAGCAGCCTTTGGGGCCGCTCTGCCTATGGAGTAGCCATTCTTTTTTTTTTTTTTTTGAAATGGAGTCTCGCTCTGTTGCCCAGGCTGCAGTGCAGTAGCGTGATGTCGGCTCACTACAACCTCCGCCTCCCAGGTTCAAGCAATTCTCCTGCCTCAGCCTTTCTAGTAGCTGGGATTACAGGAACCCGCCACCACGCCCAGCTAATTTTTTGTATTTTAGTAGAGACAGGGTTTTGCCGTGTCGGACCAGGCTGGTCTCGAACTCCTCACCTCAGGTGATCCACCTGCCTCGGCATCCCAAAGTTATGGGATTACAGGAGTGAGCCACTGTGCCTGGCCAGAGTAGCCATTCTTTTATTCCTTTTCTTTCCTAATAAACTTGCTTTCACTTTATGGACTCGCCCCGAATTCTTTCTTCTGTGAGATCCAAGAACCCTCTCTTGGGGTCTGGGTCGGGACCCCTTTCCAGTAACAAACTTGCTTAACCTCTCAGACCCTTCGTCTCTTCATCTGTCACCAAAGACAAAGCCTACCCCAAGGTTCCAAGAGTGAGGAGAGAATGCATGGGAAACGAGGGGCACAGAGTTGGTGTGCAGAACCAGGCAGCCAGTCCCGTTGTTCTGTGGTGGGTGGAGGTCAGGGCTCGGCTGGCTAAGGCCTAAGCCCACTGGTCTCCAGCCCTGCTCTGCCCGTCGGAGGCTGGTTCCCGGGCAACAACCGCCGCAACAACAACCCCCTTCAGCAAAGTAGGCATGAGATGAAGAGATGTCCAGTGGGCACGTGCCCAGCTCTACGCAGCCAGTGGTCTCGCAGCCCAGAAGCCAGCTGCCCCAATTTTAGAAGGAGGCGGCCATGATCCCCAGGTTAACTCAGTCACCTTCCCACACACATTCAGCAAGCGCCCACTGCATGGGCTGCAGAAACTGCCTCAGGCAGGTGCAGGGAACTCCAGGAGTGTTCCAGGCCCTCCCAGAGGTGCTCCTGGGACTGCAGCTGAAATCACACTCCTTGTTGGGGTCCCTGGAGACTCTCCCCTGAACAGAGATGGAAAGAGCCTTGCCCAAGGTCACACAGCCCCCTCTCCTGACTCAGAGGCAAGGGAGCTCCGCCCAGCACAGCCGCCTGCACTCTCCTGGAGCCCACATCCTTCCCTGTACTGGTTCCTCCAGGGGTAAATATCGGCCGAGTCCAAGTTGGACCCTCATTTTGGATGAGGGAGCCGAGGCTCAGAGAGGGAGGGTCACCATCCTAAGGGTATGGAATGATCAGCATCCCAAGGGAACTGGCTGACCTGCTGCTGTTCCCTTGAATGGAGAGAGCACCATCTCCACACAAGGGAACAGCAGGGCCACCCAGTTCTAGGCAGGATTGGGCAGCATACAGGCCACCATTCCAAGGGTGCCCAGCAAGTCTACATCAGCCTTACCTTCGCCACGGAGCCCAGGAGTTGAGAGGAGGTGGTTTACGGCCCAGCGTGAGGCCAAACTCTCTCCTGAGCAGGGTTCTCCGGAGATGGGAGAGGCCACCTCAGGCAGAAGTGAGCTCCCCGTCTGCAGAGGGGTTCAAGCAGGCCACAAGGGTCTCCCACGTGAGTGGAGAAGTGTGTCCGGGTGACACTGTTTGGGCATAAAGGTGCCCTTGGACTCCAGTTGGCGCCATCAGTGATCCAGACTGTGTTTCCAGGGAGCTTGGCCGCAGTCAACTCACACGCCCTGTGTCCAGCGCCCGGCCTGGGGAGCAGGCTGTGGGTCTTAGGCCGGGCAGCTGGCGAGACCTGTGCACCGGCAGCAGGGTGGGGTCTATGCAAGCTCAGGGGCAGGAAGCAGGCTTGAGTCCAGGCTCTGCCTCTCTCTGACTCGCCCTGACCCAGAGCACCGGGCAGTGGGCTCCCGTTCGTATGCCTTGCCCCTCTGCGAGCCTCAGTTTTCTCAGCTATAAAATGGGGCAATGAGATGTACCTTGCTGAGCTACTATGAAGATCAACAGCATCGTAGGAAACATTTAGCACATTTTCCAGGGCTTGTCAGGTCCTCCAGGGTTGATGGAAAAACACAGCGAAAAGAATAATATGCCTCCCCCCAGATGGAAGTGCAGGCAGGCGGAATTCTAAACTGACTCTGCGTGCCTCCTTCCTCTTCAGCACAGGTGAGTCTGGGCTGTGATAGGATTATCACTTCTGCAAGTAGGTTGCAGTACGTGGGAAGGGTGAAGAGGTCTGCAGATGTAATTAAGGTCTCTAATCAGTTGACTTGGAGTTATTCAAAGGAAGATGATTGCAGATGGGCTTCGCCTAATCAAGTGAGTCCTGTGTAAGAGGGTTCAGCCTTCTCTGATTCTCCTACTGGCCTGGAAGTAAACAGCTTCCAGGCTGCACAGCACAGTAAACAGTGGGCTCCCCACAGAGAGGCCGGCCCAGTAGGGGCTGCAGGCTCTCTAGGAGCTCAACGGTCCCCAGCTGGCAGCCCTCAAGCACACGGGACCCCAGACCTACAATGGCACGGAGCTGAATTCTGCCAACAACCACGTGAATTTGGAAGGACGCTGAATCGTGGGGGAGATCACAGCCCAGCTGGCACCTCAATTACAGTTTGTGGTGACCCTGGGCAGAGAATCACATGAGGCTTCTGATGCAAGAAGCAACCCAAGAAAGGGGCGTTGCTTTAGGCTGCTGAATTTGTGATAATTTGGTACACAGCATAGATAGCAAATACAAGGCCAAGCCTAGGAATGGGGAGGCCGAGCCCCAGGCATCCCTCCAGCCCTGAAGGACTCATGGTGGGCGGTAGCCAGGCAGCCCTTCCCGAGGTCGCCTCCTCGCCTGCCCACTTACCTGTACCAGCAGGTCCACTCCTCAAACTGAGGTCTTCACGTTCAGCTCCCACACCAGGAATTAAGGAAGAAGGGAGAAGGAGGAGTAAGGCAGGAGAATGGGGAATTGGGGTAGCCAAGGGCTGGGGCATGAGCAAAGGAATAGCAGGTGCGGCCAGTTAGAGTAAGCCAGAGAACTGCAGGGGCAGCTGGTTCTAGGCAGGACTGGGCGGCACCCAGGCCACATCCTCGCTTCTGCGATAACAACACAGAAATTTCTACCGCAGCCTCTGATGGACCGCGGGCCAAGTGTCCACTTCACCTCTGATGGACCGCGGGCCAAGTGTCCACTTCACCTCTGATGGACCGCGGGCCAAGTGTCCACTTCACCTCTGATGGACTGCGGGCCAGTCCTTCATAGGGCGTAGCCAACTGGGGGCCTCTCGAGGGCACCCAGGGGTGTTGCCAAGTTCTTTAGCTTAATAAACACGTGAATTGAGGGGCCCTCAAGCCGCTTGCTAGAGCCGCTCCCACTCTGTGAATTGCACTTTTGCTTCTTCAGGAAATGTGTTTTGGTTGCTCCGTTCTTCTGTTGCTTGGTCTCTTGTTGCTTCTCTTGTTGCTTTGTGCGTTTTGTTCAACATGCCAAGACCCTGGACAACTCACAGTAATGACCTTCCATCGGGGAGCAGGGGGGCAGGTGTTGGGACCCCTGGCCTCCACCCTCCACCCAGCTGTGTGACCCCAGGACAGCCTGGGCTTCAGGTGGCCTTCTCTGCAGAGCACAGGGCACACGTCCTGAGCCCTGGCGTGGGCGTCCTGCGAGCACGGCCTCCTGTCCTGGACCCTGTTCGTCCGCTGCCGTGCTCACCAGGCCAGCCCTCGGTAACCCGCCAGAGCCAAACACAGGATTTCACAACCCCGGCCACTTTGGCCTGGGTCTGTGCGGCATCCCAGGAAAAGAGAATTCCAGGGCCAGGAGGTCTCCAGGAAGCAGGGCCGACCTCGTCCCTCCCATAGCAAACACGGCAGCTCCTCGTCTGTGACGGCTCCGATAAGCCCAGACTGCAGGATGAGGAGACCTCTGGGGACTCATCCGCATGGGGAGGGCTGGGTTTCCAGAGAAGTCTGAGAGGGGAGGCAGTTTCACAATGCCAGCACCCCAGGCTTCAGGCCAGGCCCAGCCCCTCTGGGGAGGATAGCCGGTGCCAGTCCCCTTGCCCTGTCCCCAGAGCCTCAGGGACTCCAAGAGGCCCAGGGGCAAGCCTCTCCCTTCACCTCCTGACCCTTGTCGGCCCCAAAGGGGAGCCCCTGTGTGCATCCCCACCTCCTATGCAGGAACGCACAGCAGACTGGCTATCTCCAGGCCAGCAGGGAGGACCCCGCTGTGTGGTCACGGCTCACACTGCCGGGCCCTGTGAACACACCCGTTCCCGACAGGGCCTGGATCCAGGGCAGAGTGCAAAGCTGGGCTGGTTCTGACCTAAGCCTTGTTTCCAGCACAAGCTTCGGGGGCCCCACCCGGGATGGGCCATGGTGACGGAGGAGGAGTGATGTTACCTTCCCACATGGATCCCACATGCTCTGGGACAGCCCTCCCTGTGCCGGGGGAAGTGCCCTGGAGGGAAGGAGGCCCTGGGACCACTGTGAGCTCAGCCTTCAGCCTTATGGGAGCTTCACCCCAAGCCCCTGACCCTGTAGGGACAGATCAAAGGAACCTCCAGAGCCACCTATGCTCTGGGGTCCCACTGGTGATCAATGCTCTTAGCAAAGGAGAGATGGTGTCGACCTCAACCTGACCAGGGCTTTCTGCTTTACCTAACAGCGGACGTAAGAAGCATTCCACTCAAGTTCAAGAGCAAGGCTCATCGTGTGGTCAACATTATACTGGAAGTCCCAGACAACGCAGCAAAACAAGGAAAAAGAAATCGATTCAAAGAATTGTTAAAGAAGAAACAAACTGACATGATTCACAAATGACAGGGTTGTTTACCCAGAAAATCCAAGACATCCCAGACAGCTTTTAGGGTCACTAAGAGGCCAAGTTTCCTGGGAAAAGAGTAAACAAAAGTCAATTCCATTCCCACAGACCTGGAACAGTGAGTTGGGAAATGCGATTATAACAATTACGCAATGTTGAATATCAAGAAGATAGACACTATGTATGATGGTTAATACTGTCAACTTGATTGGATTGAAGGATACAAAGTATTAATCCTGGGTGTGTCTGTGAGGGTGTTGCCAAGGGAGATTAACATTTGAGTCAGTGGGCTGGGAAAGGCAGACCCACCCTTAATCTGGGTGGGCACCATCTGATCAGCCTCTCACGTCCTCCTCAAAAACCCATTCCTGCCACATAACAAACCCAAAGGTGGAAAGCAAAAATGATGTTAACTTCTTTAAAAAATGAGGCTATTGGCCAGCCGTGGTGGCTCACGCCTGTAATCCCAGCACTTTGGGATGCCAAGGCAGGCAGATCACCTGAGGTCAGGAGTTTGAGACCAGCCTGGCCAACATGGTGCAACCCCGTCTCTACTAAAAATACAAAAATTAGCTGGGCAGGGTGGCACACGCCTGTAGTCCCAGCTACTCGGGAGGCTGAGGCAGGACAATCGCTTGAACCCGGGAGGCAGAGCTTGCAGTGAGCCAAGATTGCGCCACTGCACTCCATCTGGGCAACAGAGCACAACTCTGTCTCAAAAAAAAAAAAAAAAAAAAAAAAAAAGATATCGTCATGAGCCACAGTGGGAAAGAATTTCTCAAACAAGGCACCTAGAACATAAAAGGAAAAGATGACTAAGTTTGGCTATATTAAAATTACAAACCACTGTGTGGAAAAGACACCATGGACACAGAAAAGACATCATGGACACGGAAAACACACCATGGACACAGAAAAGACACCATGGACACAGAAAAGACAGGCCCCGAGCTCGGAGAAGATACTTGCAGCACAGGTTTTAGTCAGGGCTCTCCAGGGAAATGGGGCCAATAGGATATATATATATATATATATATATATATATATATACACACACACACACACACATACACACACACACACACACAGACACACAGGTAAATATGTACACTTATACATCATATGCATATATGTTCATACACATAGATACACACACACATACGGAGATTGATTACGGGAACTCAAGTGACTGTGGAGGCAGAGAAGTCCTATGAGATGCTGCCTATGAAGCTGGAGACCAGGAGAGCTGGTGGTGTGATTTCAGGTCTGACAGTCTGAGAACGAGGGGAGCTGATGCTCAAGGGCAGGGGAAGACGGATGTCCCAGCTCTACAGCAGACAGGGAGAGGATTTGCCCTCCCCTTACCTTTTTGGCCCATCTGGACCCTCAAGGAATGGGATGACGCTGCCTACCCTGGTGCTGATGAGGGCAGCCTTCTTTAATACTATGGATTCAAATGCTAAACTCTTCTAGAAGCGCTCTCACACACACCCCCCCAGAAATACTTTACCAGCCCAGTCAAGCTGGCACAAAATTGACACTCACCACATGTGTGCATGGTGCGCTACGTGGAATATATAGAGTTTATCATGTGCACGTGTGTAATACAGAATCTAATAGATTTCTTATGACATTTTATGTATGTATAACATCTGCAAACGTCATGTGTAACAAAGTACACGCATGCATGTGTGTAATATAGGATCTAATGTGTCAGATATGACATTTTATGTATAACATCTGCAAACATCATGTATAAGCAAGTACACGCATACACACGTACAGTTACAGACGTATTAATGATGGGATACATTCTGAGAAACGCGATGTTAACGCATGTTTGTGTGAACATCCTGGAGTGCTTATACACACCTAGATGGTCTGGCCACTGTACACTGGGCAGAGGGCAAAGCCTCTTGCTCCCAGGCTGCACGCCTGCATGGCGTGTGACTGTACTGAACACCACAGGCAGCTGTCACAGCACGGGAAGGATTTGTCTAATCATTGAAAAGGCATAGGGAGAGTTGGGGCAGCCCTCATAGAGCTGTCCCTGCACCCTCAGTGCTCATCGTTGGCCAATCTCCCCTACACATGGGGAACGAGGGACAGGCCTATGGCCACAGGGCTGGGAGGCACCCTGGCTCCACTGCTCAGAGCTCATTGCTGTGGGAAGTCAGCCCCTTGGAGTCCTGGCTTCCTCCTCTGCAAAATGGGGACAGTGATGCTGATGTCAGAGGTTCCTGTGAGGGTCATGTGAGGGTGTGTTTGTAAAGAACAAGCCCTCAATACACAGTGCTGTTACTGTTAGCTTTTTTTTTTTCTTTTTTTTTGTTTCTGAGACAGGGTCTCACTATGTTGTCCAGGTTTGTCTTGAACTCCTGAGCTCAAGTGGTCCTCATGCCTCAGCCTCCTGAGTAGCTGGGACCATGGCTGTTTCGCAGCACATCCAGCTGTTGTTGTTATCTTTTTAATGGAAAAAGCCTGGACAGGAGAGACCGGCGTGCATGGGCAGTAATCTATCCACCCCCGTGCATGGGCTGCACTCTACCCTTGGCCTGGTGGGCTCCTACCCACCCTTCAGGACCCCATGTGAATGACCCCCTTATAAGCCTTTTCTGCCTGCACCATCCCCTGGCAATTCCCCCACCTGGCTCTCTACACTCCCGAGTAGTGTTCATTGCACTGAATTGCCACCCACCTGTTTACCCAGCTCCTCCACTCCATGAGGTCCCGGAGCCTGGAGTGGGTCTCGCTCACCATCACCTGCCCACCAGCACAGGGTCCGCGCCTAGCAGGCGTTTGTTGAGGGAATAAACAAGCCCAGGCGCGGGTGTAAGAACTCCTGAAGGAAGGCAGGTTCCACGAGTATTGAAATCCCCTGAGAGGGACCTGAAAGGGAGGCAGAAAGCTTTGCCTGGGGCTGGGGTTTGGAAGGAGGCCTCGGCCTCCGAGGTCCAGTGGCAGGTGTGTCCCATGTGGTTGGGAAAGGGTTCTGAGTGTGCGGGAAGATATCCCATGAAGGGAATCTCTGGAGGCTTCTGCACTGAACGGAATGTTCTTTGCTCTTTCTCAGAAGTCCCTGCAGCCCCTTTCCTGACTGGACCTTTTGCAATGAGTGATTGTCGTGAGCATTTTCCACCGGGGATGGACCCACCGGCTCTTTTGAATTTCCTGCTGCAGAAATCGTGGCCAGGCTGCTTTTGTTAACTGCATGTTTGACAAATGAATATTCTCGAACACCCGTTCTGAACAATGGCCTGCGCTTCTTGGTGGGCAGTTGGGGCCGCTGCCATTTTAGGGACAAGGTGCATTACAGAGATCGCATGGTCACAGCCCCTTCTCGCAGCTGAGGCCCAAAGAGGGGAAGGGCAGAGCCTGGACATCCCTGCAGCCTCCAGCTTCCCCACAGCACCTGTGGTGGCGTTCCCATGGTAACCCTGGGGGTCAGCAGGCAGGGGCATCAGCCGTCGCTGGGAGGCTGCAGCAGGAGACAGGGCGGTGCCAGCCAGGTTGCTCCACGCCACCAATCTCCCCTCATCACCTGTGTCCATCTTGACGCGCCGTGTGTCTCACTAACCCTTTATTTCTCTGTTGCGTGAGGACCCTTGGTGCACAGCTCGGGGGAATAAAAATGGCATTGCAATTTGGGGCCAAAATGAAAGGGCAGGCGTTCTTTACCTGTTGGTCTGGCCGAAAGTCTAGCTCCGCACTCCAGGAGGCCTGTCTCAGTTTCCAGTCACCGCCATAACAAGTTACCCCAGTTTAGTGGCTTGAAGCAGCAGACGTGCCTCCTCTCACGGTTCTGGAGGCCAGGGGTCCAAATCAAGGCATCATCGGCAGGGCCATGCCCTCGGAAGGTGGGGAGAGGACCCTTCCTGCCCCTCCCAGGCTGCTGGCGACCCACAGCGCTCCCCTCTCTGCAGTGTCTTTACAAGGCCTTCTGCTCTGCGTGTCTGTTCCAACCTCCCTCTGCCTCTGTCTCCTAAGGACACTTGTGGTGGCGTTTAGGGCCTACTCAGATAGTCCGGGATCATCCCTCCATCCCAAGTCCCTGGGCTGAATCCCCGTATCCCTATGAGATCACAGGTGCTGGTTCCAGGTTCCCGGCACGAAGTCCTAGGGGGCCATTTTCTGGCTGACCACCAGGGATGCGCTCCAGATGAGCCAAGAGAGGGGCTTGAAGCCCTGGTGGATTCGAGAAGCAGGAGGCCGCAGGATGCAGAGCGGTGGGAGGCAGAACAGGGGAGGGTTGGCCTGAGGGAGCTGGTCTGCGGGAGGGGGGTGACGCCACTCCTGAGGCTGGGGAGGGCTGTGCGTGGCCAGGGTGGTCAGGTCCAAATGTCAAGGGGTACCTGCCTCTTGATGGGGCAATGAGGTCATGGAGGTCATCAGCCCCAGGCAGTGGCCGGGAATGGAGACATGGACCCAGATGAACTGGAAGCATGTTTACCCCGTTTCCCAGGGAAGGACGATTCAGGGCCACCTCCAGCCTCCCCACAGCCACCCCAGCACCCCCAGCTGCCGTGTTTCACCATGGCCGGAATCAGCATGGATTTACAGTGCATTTCCTAAGCCACTGCTTGCGTCTGCTGCATGACCCTACGTCCCTGTGGTTTTCTTATCTAGCATTTTGATGGGGAGTGGGGGAAGGGTGGCGGGTGTCGCTTAGTGAAAGAATATGCCCCTCTGTGGCAGGCAGCTCTGTGCTCCGCGGCTGGCTCTCCTATGCTCTTATCCCTGGGAGACTGTCTGTCCTCAGTTTCCCCACCTGTAATGTGGGATCGCGAACATCACAGAGGGGTTCCTTCCTCTCCCTCCCTGCCTTCCTCTCTCCTTCCTTCTTTCTGCCTCTCCTTCCCTCCTTCTTTCCCCTTTCCCTGCCTCTCTTCTCTCCTTCTATCCTTCCCTTTTCCCTCCCTCCCTTCCTGCTTTGACCATCTCCATGTGGAGGCGTGCATGACTAAGAGGAGCTGCCTCGTCTCTGTTGGGGTCCTGGTGACAGCACTGGGCATGGGGTGCTCCTGGAGGTTTGAGGGGCTCACTTCTATCCACCTCCAGAGCAGGTTTCCTTGTTCAGAGCAAGTGGACAGAATGACCCCCGGAGGGTCCCTGTCCACTTGTTACCGTGCAAAGGTCCCAAGCCCTCAGGGAGAAAGGAGGTCAGACACTGTTTGGCCTCTCCGGAGTCCAAACAGACAGGGCCCTGGTGCCTGGGTGTCTGGGCTGAGGTTGCAGGCTGGGGCTTGGGAAGATCAAGACCCTCTGAGTTTGCAAATTAGCTGAGGTTCAGAAGAAGCTTCAGCTATTGAAAGTAAAAATTGCTGGTCGAACTCTGTGGCTGAGATGCTGATGAATGAATGATACACAGCTGAACAGATGGGCATTGTCAGCGAGGGAGAGGATCTTGTTTTTTGTGGGTAATAGTTTCATTTCTGGATAAGTTATTTTCTTTTTTTTTCTTTTTTTTTGAGACTGAGTCTCTCTCTGTCGCCCAGGCTGGAGTGCAGTGGAGCGATCTCAGCTCACTGCAAGCTCCGCCTCCTGGGTTCACGCCATTCTCCTGCCTCAGCCTCCCGAGTAGCTGGGACTACAGGCGCCCGCCACCACGCCCGGCTAATTTTTTGTATTTTTTAGTAGAGACGGGGTTTCACCATGTTAGCCAGGATGGTCTCGATCTCCTGACCTCGTGATCCGCCCGCCTCGGCCTCCCAAAGTGCTGGAATTACAGGTGTGAGCCACAGCGCCCAGCCGAAAAGTTATTTTCAAATAGGTGACTCTCTTGTCATCAACAGTAACTTGGAATTGAGGAAGTAAGGTTGTGTGTGTGTGTTGTGTGTGTGTGTTGTTGTGTTTTGTGGGCATGTGTGTGCCTGTGTTTTGTGTGTGTGAGAGAGGGGGAGAGAGGCTCTGGCTGCATTGAGAACCTCCGTTTTCCTCTTACCAGTATGTGAGCGTCTTGGCAGGTCTGCGTGTCCAGGCCCGTCCCTCTTCTTTCTGTTTCTAGTAAAACCCCACAGCATTCCACTGTGCCAATGCCACTGGCTCAATCCATTCATTCCTGCTGCTATCACAGAATACTGCGGCCTGGGTGGCTTACAAACAGCAGACAGTTCTTCCTCCCCGTTCTGGAGGCTGGAAAGTGCAAGTTCAAGGAGAAGTAGTTTCAGTGTCTGGTGAGGGCTGCATCCTGATTTGTGGATGGGCTGGAGACGGCCACGTCCTGATTCATGGATGGGCTGGTGAGAGCCGCGTCCTGATTCGTGGATGGGCTGGAGAGGGCCGCGTCCTGATTCGTGGATGGGCAGGTGAGGGCCGTGTTCTGATTCGTGGATGGGCTGGAGAGGGCCACGTCCTGATTCGTGGATGGGCTGGAGAGGGCCGTGTCCTGATTCGTGGATAGGCTGGTGAGGGCTGCGTCCTGATTCATGGATGGGCTGGTGAGGCTGGTGAGGGCTGCGTCCTGATTCATGGACGGGCTGGTGAGCGCCCTGTCCTGATTCGTGGATGGGCCGGTGAGGCTAGAGTGCAGTGGCATGATCACAGTTCATGGAAGCCTCAAACTCCCAGGCTCAAGCAATCCTCCCACCTCAGCCTCCTAAGTAGCTGGGACTATAGATGCATGTCACCATGCTTGCTAATTTTGTTTATTTTTTGCAGAGACGGGGTCTCACTATGTTGCCCAGGCTGGTCTTGAACTCCTGGCCTCAAGTGATCCTCCTGTCTCAGCCTCACAAAATGCTGGCATTGTACACATAAGCCACAGCACCCGACTACAATGAAGATCTTGGCACATGAATTCTGTCTTTCCATGATTATATGCCCCAAGTCAGGTCTTCTGAAGTCATAAATTGTGAGGAGAAATCCAGTCCAGGGCCTTCCTGCACAGCCCCCTATAGCTGGTGGGGCCAGGGAAGATGCTCTCTCAACTCTGGGTTGATAGAGCCATGTGCTGGCTGTGTGACCAGAGGCAAGTCACTTTCCTCTCTGACCCTCTGGTTTCTTATTTTGTTTTTTTCTGAGACGGAGTCTTGCTCTGTTGCCCAGGCTGAAGTGCAATGGCGCAGTCTTGGCTCATTGCAAACTCTGCCTCCTATGTTCAAGCGGTTCTCCAGCCTCAGCCTCCTGAGTAGCTGGGACTACAGGCGCGCGCCACCATGCCGGCTAATTTTTGTATTTTTAGCAGAGACAGGGTTTCACCATGTTGGCTGGTCTCAAACTCCTGACCTCAGGTGATCCGCCCACCTCGGCCTCTCAAAGTGCTGGGATTACAGGCATGAGCCACTGTGCCCAGCCTGGTTTCTCTTCTGTACAATGCAATACACAAAGAGGGATGGGCATGTTTCCAAGTGCACCAGAAGCAGGTGGGCTCTAAACAGGGCATCCCAGCATGTGCCACGCCAGTAAGAGATCACAGCACCGTTCATCGGTCTGTTCATAGGGCCCCTGTTTTTTAAGTCCCTGCTGGTGCTGGGTCAGGAGTAGGCTGAGAGGAACAGAGATAAATGATGCATCCCATACTGTGGAGCGGAGGTGGACACTGCTGCTATTCTAGCCAAGAGGCAGACTGGCACGGGGCACGGGGCCACAGAGAAGGGAGGCGGGGAATCCCACCTGGGAGCAAGTGAGGCTTCACAGCGGGGTGCAGTGCAGGGGTCCACCTGGGGTGCGACACCTCAGCATGTCCTGCCTCCCTGTCCTCCCCCTGCTCCCTGAGTGCTGCTCAGGCATCCCCAGGACTCAGAGTGCTTGGGGAATACGTGTTAAATCACAGAGCCAGTGAGGAAAGAGCAAACGGGTGACGGTGCAGGGAGGGGGAGTTCCAGACAGAGCCAGCTAGAGGGTGAGGCCTTCTGGGACAATGACTTGTAGGGTGTGACAGCAGTGTGGGCTGCAGGGAGGGTTCGATCAAGCAGGCTGCCAAATGGGAGGGTTTCAGTATGAGCAGCTGCTGGCCAGACCCCAGGCATCATCCAAGAGTGGGCAGGAGCCACGCTGACACAAGCATCTCTGGCATTCTTGGCTCTCTGTCCCCGACCCCTCCCCTTGGCTTCTGTCTGTGTCACTCACAGGAGACTCATCCAGCACCATGAACCAGTTACAGAGAGGTGGCTTTCTAAACCTTTTAAAACATCTAATGCCTTTTAAAGATAGTGTTCAATGACGTCAAAGATACATTAAGAGAGGCCCTCCTCCTGGAGAAAGAAGAAACCTGGTAAAACCTTCCCAGAAAGCAAGCTGGCCCAGAGTCTTTTTTTTTTTTTTTGAGACAGAGTCTCACTCTGTCGCCCAGGCTGGAGTGCAGTGGAGCGATCTCAGCTCACTGCAAGCTCCACCTCCCGGGTTCATGCCATTCTCCTGCCTCAGCCTCCTGAGTAGCTGGGACTACAGGCGCCCGCCACCACGCCTGGCTAATTTTTTGTATTTTTTTAGTAGAGATGGGGTTTCACCGTGTTAGCCAGGATGGTCTCAATCTCCTGACCTCGTGATCCGCCCACCTCGGCCTCCCAAAATGCTGGGATTACAGGTGTGAGCCACCTTGCCTGGCCCCCAAGAGTCTTAAAAGAGTTGATATTCATGGGCCTGTGAAGACTCTTATCCTCACCTTATTCTTATCTACGTCTTAACGAAGTCCCTGCAGAGGCCCTCAACGGTTTACGCCCAAGACAGTTCATCACAGGGTTAGTAATCCCAGCACTCAGTGATGGGGCTGACTGAACAGAACATAAGCCCACACCCATTGGCTGGTGTGGACCTGTTCAAAGCATGTGTTCCAAAGAAGTTTTTTTGTTTGTTTGTTTTTTGTTTTTTTGAGACAGATTTTTACTCCGTCGTGCACTGTTGTGCAGTGACACAAGCTCAGCTCACTGCAACCTCCGCCTCTCAGGTTCAAGCGATTCTCCTGCCTCAGCCTCCCAAGTAGCTGGGAGTATAGGCATGTGCCACCATGCTTGGCTAATTTTTGTATTTTTAGTAGGCATGGGGTTTCACCATGTTGGTCAGGCTGGTCTTGAACTCCTGACCTCAAGTGATCTGCCTGCCTCGGCCTCCCAAAGTGCTGGGATTACAGGCGTGAGCCACCACGCCTGGCCAAAAGAAGTTTAATAAAAGGAGAATTCACCTTTTATTTATAAGTCAATGGCCACGCGCGGTGGCTCACACCTGTAATCCCAGCACTTTGGGAGGCCAAGGCGGGCGGATAATTTGAGGTCAGGAGTTCGGAACCAGCCTGACCAACATGGTGAAATCCCGTGTCTACTAAAAATACAAAAAGCAGGGCGTGGTGGTGCATGCCTGTCATCCTGACAAGTCAGGAAGCTGAGGCAGGAGAATTGCTTGAACCTGGGAGGCGGAGATTGCAGTGAGCCAAGATCGTGCCATTGCACTCCAGCCTGGGCAACCAAAACGAAACTCCATCTCAAAACAAATAATAAGTCAAATAAGTAGAACATTCCACTATAGCGTGAGCACGGTGACAAAAATAAGTGTGCCTCATGCACATATCCTGCTG
The DNA here is from genome assembly GCF_000001405.40 of Homo sapiens. NCBI lineage: Eukaryota > Metazoa > Chordata > Mammalia > Primates > Hominidae > Homo > Homo sapiens. The sequence continues at coordinate 8,257,783 of NC_000004.12, forward strand.
TTCATTTGCCTTTGGGTTTTCTACCCCTTTCTCTACCCTTCCCCAGTCTGTTCTGTGTCTTGGGAAGAAAATATTTCCCAGGCTCCCTTTCCAACCAGCTTTCTGCTGGGCTCAGCTGATGGGAGGTCCCCAGGTGAGAGGAGGGGAGAAGCCAGGATGTTTCTCCCGTTGTGTATGTGCACACACATGCACTCCTACATACACTCTGATATAGGTTGGCTGTGTCCCCACCCAAGTCTCATCTTGAATTCCCACGTGTTGTGGGAGGGACCTGGTGGGAGGTAATTGAATCATGGGGGTAGGTCTTTTTCATGCTGTTCTCGTGATAGTGAGTCTCATGAGATCTGATGGTTATTGTAAGTGGGAGGAGGGTTCCTGCACTAGCTCTTTTTGCTTGCCGGCATCCATGTAAGATGTGACTTGCTTTTCCTTGCCTTATGCCATGATTGTGAGGGTTCCCCAGCCACATGGAACTGTAAGTCCAAATAAACCTCTTTCTTTGTAAATTGCCCAGCCTCGGGTATGTCTTTATCAGGAGTGAAAACAGACTAATACACACTCCCTTTGTGACCTGAGCTCCAGCCAAGGAACCCCAGCCCAGGGCTCCAGCATTCCCACCTCCTGCCTCTGCTGCTCCAGTCCTGGTGGGGTAACAGCCCCCTGCTCTGTGCCTCAGTGTCCTCTGAGTGGCTTTTCTGTCCCTCCATCACCTGTGTGACCAATACCCTAAATTAATCACCTGTCTTAAATACCCAGAGTGGTTTCCATCTTTCAGGCAGAAGGTGCTTTTTATTTTTCTTTTGAAATAATTATAGATTTACAAGACTTTGCAAAGATAGGAAGAGAGGTCTCATGCACCCTTCCCCCAGCTTCCCCTAGTGATCTTATGTGACTATAATACAGTATGGAAGCCAGGAAATTGATGTGGGTACAATGCGTGTCCTTAGTTCTGTGTCATTTTATCACGTGCATGGATTCCTGTAAGCACCACCACCGTCAAGACACAGCAGTGTGGCCGCCACAAAGCCCTCCCTCGGCTGCCCTGTGGTGGCCAGACCCACCTCCCCACCCACCACAGCAACTGTAAATCTGAACTTCATCCTTATGGGTTTGTCAATTCAAGATCATATACATGGAGTCACGCAGTAGGTGACGTTCTGAGATTGGCTTTTCCCCTCAGTGTAATGTGTTTGCAGTGCAGCCCCCTTGCTGGGCCATCAGCCGTTTGCTCCTTTTTATAGCCGAGCTGTGGCCACGGTGGACAGTGTGGTCTGTGACGGTGTAATAACTCATCTAGTATGTCTGGTTGTTGACAGTTTCTGGCTGTTACAAATAAAGCTGCAGTGAACAGCTCTGTACAGGTGTTTGTGTACCTGTGTCTTCATTTCCCTGGGACAATCGCCCAGGAGCCAAGAGCTGGGTCGCATGTGTGTGTTTTGGATTGTTAAGAAACTGCCAAAGCATTTTCCACAGTGGATGTACCATTTTACATTTCCCAAGAGGGTTTTGATCAGTATGCAAATCTAGAAGAAAAACACAAAAATGATGATTATTTTTGACTGGCATAATTAAATATAATTTTTTTTTGAGACGGAGTCTCACTCTGTCACCCAGGCTAGAGTGCAGTGGCTCGATTTCAGCTCACTGCAATCTCTGCCTCCTGGATTCAAGCAATTCTCTGCCTCAGCCTCTCGAGTAGTGGGGATTACAGGTGCCCACCACCACGCCCAGATAATTTTTGTATTTTTCGTAGAGACGGGGTTTCACAATCTTGGCCAGGCTGGTCTTGAACCCCCAAACTCATGATCCACCCACCTCAGCCTCCCAAAGTGCTGGGATTACAGGCGTGAGGCACTGCTCCTGGCCAAATATAATTTTTATTCCTTGCATGTATATGCCTGTATCTTCCACATTTTATAAAATAAATCAGAAGGATATCCTGTAAAAATTATTTAACAAAAAGAACACTCTCATGAAATTATGATTTTTAAAAGGAAGATACTGCAAGGTCTGTTAGTGTGATCTTAACTATGTAACGCACACTCACACACACACTTGCCCACACACACACAAACACAGCCCAAGACTCAAGTCCACAGGAGAGCAGCCTGGAGGTCACAAGGCCCCATGCTGACTGGAGATTCAGGTGCAGTTTCCTGGGGCGGTTTTTGGTGGCTGCCATGACAAATGACCACACGTGGTGGGTTAAAGCAACAGAAATGTGCCCCCCCACAGTTCTCTGGAGGCCAGAAATCCTAAATCAAGGTGTGGGCAGGGCTGTGTGCCCCCCAAAGCCTCCGGGGGAGGATCCTCCTGCCTCTGCCGTTCCTGGTGGCTCTAGGTGTTCCTTGGCTTGTGGCCATGTCACTCCAGTCCCTACCTCTGTCTTCACGGAGCCCTCCTTCCCTCTCCTGCTCCTCCTCCGTGTGTCTCTCATAAGGACGATCATCAGTAAACTCAGGGCCTTCTGGCTAATCCGGGATGATCTCAACTTGATCACATCTGCAAAGACACTTTTTGCAAACATGGTCAAATGGTGTTTGCAAAACGCCTGGGGGCTGGGATATGGATGTATCTTTCTCAGGGCCAGCAACCCACCTACTACAGCGGGTGACTTTTGAAATGTTTGCATACTCTGCTACTTTTTAAATTACCCACAATGAGAATGTATATTTTTGTTGTTTATTTTTTTTAGACAGGGTCTCACTCTGTCACCCAGGCTGGAGTTTAGTGGTGTGATCTTGGCTCACTGAAGCTTTGACCTCCAGGCTCCAGAGTAGCTAGGACCACAGGGGCATGGCCACTACACCAGGCTAACTTTTTGTATTCTTAGTAGAGACAGGGTCTCGCTATGTTGCCCAGGCTGGTCTCGAACTCTTGGACTCAAGTGATCCACCTGCCTCGGCCTCTCAAAGTGCTGGAATTACAGGCATGAGCCACTGTGCCTGGCATGAGAATGTGCACTTTTTGTTACGATAGACGATGACTAATAATGCTACTAATAATAAACAGTTGCATAAAAGTAATCGTTATTTTTCCCAACTTGAGAATGAGCCAGAGGCAGAAAGGGAGAGACAGTCGACAGAGCTTCCTCAAACATCCCCACCAGGCGCTGAAGTGGTTCCAGTTCTCCGGCCTTGTAAACCTGCCGGGGGAGCTTCCTGCCGCTGAGCACTTGCGAGCAGCCTTGATTACATTTCCTCGGGGTAGATTCCGGGAGCTGCTGGGCCTGGGTGCACAGGGACACTCAGCTCTCGGTGGCTCTGGAATCTCTCTCTCTCTCTGGCCACCTCCCCCACTCCCCATTCTGTAAGGCACCCAGCCTGGGGTCAGAGAAGCCCGGATGGGGTGAGGTGGGGGCTTGCTCCTGAAGATGCTCTCAGGATTGTCCATGCGTCCACGTGGCTTCTCTCATGGTGCCTGCATCTGAGCCGCTGCTACTTCCTGACAGGGATACAAGGCAGGTGCACGTTGAGGGACCCTCACTCCACCCAGACCGAGGCCTGAGGGGCCAAGTGCGTGGACGCCATCCTTCCAGTCATTCCGTGGACTATCCCTCCAATCGCTGTGGCGAAACGCACTGCTCATGGACACAGCCGAGCACCTATTTCTGAAGGGTCTGAGTTTCTGGGGTCCCACCTTTCTTTGAATTTGTGCTACATTTTCATTAACTTTTCTCACCGAACATGTGAGTACAAAGAGGCACGGCAGGAAATCCCCGGTTCCCAGACGTGGCCCTCCCTGCTTCACTGTGCAGTAGCAACTGCCCCCCCCCCCGATTTCTACCCAGGGAATCAGGAGCCATCGCCCCAGCCTGTGGAATCACCCTCTGGGCCCATTTGTTCAGCAGAACGAGGGGCCCAACTGGCCAGGTGGCAGGTTCGTCTTCTGATTGATGGGGCCATTTCTGTGGCCCCTGTTGGAAGCACTCCTGCCATGGGAACCAAGACTCCTGCCAGCAGAGCTCAAAGAAAATATGGATTTAGCCTTCACTGACAATGTCACCAGCTTTAGTCCAGGCCGCATGCCTCGTAGGGGAAGCCCAGGGGCAGTGTTCGTCCAGAACCAGGGCCTCCCCGGCCTGGGGGCAGCGACGCCTAACCTGGATATTGACAGGAGGAAGAATCCACGGAAGTGGAAAGGGCACTGCAGGGCGAAGGCCTGCAGGCTGGAGAAGGCCGGCATGTCGCTGCAGGAGCCTGGGGAACCGGTGAGCCACAGCAGATGGAGGGGGGAGGCTCCAGAGCCCTCTACTCCACCGCCAGGGCCAGGCCTGCGGGCAGGGGTGCCGGGAAGCGGACGCCTCGGGGGTGACGTCACTGACCACCAGTGGCTGTAGCAGGAGTGGAAGTGCTCAGCCTGCACAAAGATACCACAAGGTCTGTGCTGACCCAGAGACCCACAGATGGGGCAGGGGTGAAGCAGGGGGGCCCCTTTGGGGGCAGGGAATCCACCGCGGCTGCATGGCTGGAGCTTCCTGCCAACTGCAGGAAAATTATAGGGGTCCTTGCCACAGCTGGAGGGAGCATACCGCAGCCCTGCAGGAAGCAGGAACACACTCTTGTCCACCCTCCGGGCCTGCCCAGGGGCTCCTCCACAGCCGCTGAGTGTCACCTCTTGAAGGGTTTGTCATCGTACATATCCATACGGAGATATTGAAGATTAAGGGGACAATGTCTCTGCACATCCAGATGCCACAAAAGTGCCCTCTGCGGACACAACCCTGGCGGGGCCACCTCCTCTCTCGACCCCAGCTGCTCCCCACCCCGTCCTTGCCTCTCCACCCATGCAGCCCCCAGCACCCCTGCCACACTTGGTGTCACATCCAAACCTTTGCCAGGGCCTGCACCCTGGGCCTGACCCCACTCTAGCCCACCCACCCCCGCTTTCACCACCCGCTGCTGCCCCACACTTGGCCAGAAAGAGCGATTCGAGGCCTTCCCTCTGTCCTGGCCTGTCCCTGCCACGCCTATTCCCAGCAGTGGGACGTTTAGGACATGCAAGTGCTGGCGGGTGGCATGGTCAATGCCACCAGCAGCACCCACAGCTGGGCCTGGGAAGAGAATTCCAGCCAAACCTGCATCCAGTCCAGGGCAACAGGGCCCAGGGTTACGGGCACTCCGGCAGGAGTCCAGGGCCCCAGGGTCAGCCCCGCCCTTCTGCCATCCCGCTGTGACCCTGAGCAGGTGATCCCGCCTCCCAGACCCTCGGCTCCGTCCCTGCACTGACTCCCACCAGCCCCTGCTGACCCAGGCTGCTCGTCAGGCCTCATGCAGCCCACAGGACAGGCACTGCCGGGAAGGTGCAGCTGTGGGGAAGGGGCAGGCAGAGCCCCCGCTCTCAGCCATGGCTGGAGGACATGGACTGCAGTCTGCAGCGCGAGGCCTGTGGGGTGGTGGCCTCCCAGGGTAGAGGCTCTCTCAGGGCCCTGGGCTGGGTTCCCAGCAAGGTGGCCGCTCAGTTCTGCCGAGTGAGCCTGGATTGCAGCATCGCTAGCCAGGGCATCTCAGTGACGGCAGAGGTTGCAGGAAGGTGAGGGGATTTCCCAATTCCAAATGTCACCTCCATCCCTCCTGTGCCAGGCTCCCAGCCTGACCTGTCTGACCTCTCTCCTCAGGCCTTGGCTTAGGTCGGGGTCCCCCAGATGCAGACGTGAGCCTGACTTTGACCTTTGTGGTGCAGGTGTGGAGCGGTGTGTGGTGCTCAGGAGGGCGCTGAGCAGTTCACGGCTGGAGGGCACCGGTGTCTGCACTGCACCCTGACACAGCCTGGGAAAAAGTGTGTGCGCACGTGGGAGACAGACAGACACGTGAGAGATGGAGCGACACACACATGCAGAGATGTAGAGACACAGAGAGAGATGCACAGAGACACAGAGAGAACAGAGACACAGAGAGAGACACAGAGACACAGAGACAGAGAGAGAACAGAGACACAGAGAGACACAGAGACACACAGAGAGACACACAGAGACACAGAGACACAGAGAGAACAGAGACACAGAAAGAACAGAGACACGCAGAGAGATATAGAGACGCAGAGAGATATAGAGACACAGAGAGGACAGAGACAGAGAGAGACACAGAGACAGAGAAAGACACACAGAGAGACATAGAGACATAGAGATACAGAGGGATACAGAGAGACAGAGACATACAGAGACAGAGACAGAAAGACAGAGACACAGCGAGAAACAAAGACATGCAGACAGACACATAGAGAGACATAAAGACACAGAGACAGAGACAGAGAGACACGGAGAGACAGGGAGTGATTGAGGGATGGAAGGAGACAGAGAGAGGTGGAGGGACAGAGCCAGAGCCAGAGCGGTAAAGCGGATGTCATAGGACGTGAGCGTCTGGGGACCCTGGGGAAGGTGCATGGCATTCTTTGTCACTCTCATGTGTCTACGACTCTATAATTATCTCAAATAAAAGCTCAGAACACGTGGAAGGAGGTGCATCTTGGAGGAGGGATGCGGGGCCAGGCTGGCCCAGCACGGAACAGGGAACGCTGCCCGAGTCAGGCAGGAGTAGGATGGCGGGGACACCAGGGCCCATAGCAGCAGGAGGCGGCGGGGTCGAGGATTGGCTACTCCTGGGGATGGGGTTTCTTTCTGGGGTGGTGGGAATGTTTTAAAATTGATGCCAGTGATGGGGGCACATGTGTGGATGTACCAAACACTGCTGAATCTCACACTTTACAAGCATGAATTGTATAGTTCGTGAATTATCTCACAAAAAAGCGGTTGCATATATATGTTACACAAATTATCTATACATTATATACAATAATATATTTTATATTAAGATAGTATATATTATGTATTATTTTTATATATTTTATTTAAGACTTTTTCTTGCTGGAGGTGTGAATAGGGAGAGGCTCCACAGGAAATCCCAGTTTCCTGACGGGGTACACCCTGCCCCACTGCACGTCCGCAGCCCCAGCCGCTTTCTCCTCGGGAAGGAGGAGGGTTCGCCCCAGCAGGTAGAACAGCCCCTGTTGCCCATTTGCTCAGCAGAATGGAGGCCCACGTGGCCAGGTAGCATGGGACGGGGTGGGCTGGAAATGGAGGCCCACATGGCCAGGTAGCGTGGGATGAGGTGTGCTGGAAATCAGGGTCTGGGAAGGTGGAGCAGTTTCAGGTGATGCTGGAGCTGGGTGTGGGAGTTGGGGCCCGGGAGGGATGGAGGAGGAAGTCCCTGCAGTGGGGGTCCTGGGAACAGGGAGGCCGGATGCACTGCTGTCCCCACCCGTGGAGTCTCTAGGACGAGGGTGGGGCTGACTCCCAGGACTTGGGAGGGAGGGGGTCAGGTTGGGTCAGGGAAGAGACGACAGCGGGTGGAGGTTTGTGTGTGTTTCAGATAGAGACGGCTGTGCATGGGTGTGAGCTGTTGAGGCATTTTGCCCGAGCGTATCTTAGAGGTGGTGGCATTTAGGGATGAGGGGTGGGGTGTCACTTCACCTCTCGGAGCCTCTGCGTTCTTCCCTAGGACATGGGAATGGTCACAGGATTCAACCACACCTGGTCAGGGAGCAGTGGGAACGGGCTCAGCACTCGCACTGTGGAGGAGGCACCTGAGGAGCAGCTGTTTCCCCGCAGGAGCCCGAGGGTCACCAGAGGCCTCCTTGCCCCTCAGGGCGGAAGCCCCACCTTCCCGGCCCTCTTCAGTCCCCCAGGCCCCTGGGACCCTACAGAGGCAGCTCAAGCATCCCAGCCTTACCCCACAGAGCAGTGTCCCCCCTACTCACCCCCGACAGCTTCCCTATTCCTGACACCCAGGTGGCCAGAACCACAATTTAGGCCATTACCTCACCCCAGCTCCCACTGGAGGATGGAGGCCTCAGACGACCCCTGGCCAGTGGCCCCTCAGAAGGTGGACAGAGGCCGAGCGGCCTCCAGGACAGCAGCACCGTCTGCGGGCAGGTGGGGCTGGCAGTCTTGGGAGAGCCCCCTCCCTGGACAGGACATCCCCTCCCAGGAGGCAGAGGCCGCTGTGGTCCAGGGTGTTCACATTCAGCCCCTCCTGGCAGGGCTGGGTGGAGTCAGGGTGATTTCCAAGAGGGGTTCGGGCTCCAGAAAGCCAAAGGAGGAGCGCCATGTGAAAAAGAAAAAGGAGACCCTTGCCCAGCTGCGTGACCCTGATTCATCGTTTCATTTCATCAGCCAGGGTGGGTTCCATGCCCTCGAAGCCATCTCCCCGCTCCTTCCCCCTCCTCCCAGCCTTCCTCCTGTGAGCCTCCACTTCGCTTCTGTACAAGATGAGTCCCTCTGCCTAGGTTCCAATCCAATGCTGCAGCTCACTCACTGTGTGATCTTGGACACAGCGATGAGCTGTTGAGCCTCTCTGTGCCTTGCTTTCTTTATCTGTGCAATGGGCATGGCAATAGTAAGACCTCCTTCAGAGGGTGTGGTAAGGGCTAGACACCTGCACAGTCCCTAGTACACAGTACATCACAGAAGCTCAATCAATGCGACCTACTAGTATCAGTTAGCCTGGTTGTCTCAGCCACCCACTTTCCCTTTGTGGGCCTCAGTTTTTCCTTCCATAAAATGGGTATGGAACAGCAGTGTGGCTCTGGAGGAAGAACATACACTTTGGGGTCAGATCCGACTTTTCCTAAGCCTGGGTCCATCACCTAAAGGCTGAGGGGCCTTCGGCAAGTCGTGTAAACTCCCCTAGCTCGGCTTTCTGTACCTATAAAATGGCTGTAACTGGCATTCCCCCTTGAGGGGTTGTTCCCAGAGCTTACAGAAGCACCCAAGGACGGCAGAGCTGATGTCAGTGTTGGGAGGTGCAGAAAGGGTGGCCCATATCACAACCTACGCCCACCCCCCACCCATCAGCCTGAGCAGAGCCCACCCTCTGAGTCACCCACTCACACAGCCACCGCGTCTTATCACAGCTGATGATGGTCTTCAAGGTCCCTGGAGTGGTGTAAGTGATGACCTCATCTGAGACGAAGCCTGGACTTGGGCAGGGGTCAAGCCAAAGGGCCGAGCCTGCCCACAGCTTGGAGGGCTCCTCTGCAGGCCCAGGATGCGCACTGCTGTCCAGCTCTGGGCGGAGATGGAGGGATGGGATGGGGCCATGGGGTCCTGGCATGGGACAAGAGTACCCTGGAGAGAGGCAGACCCAGGCCCAGCCTGGAGGGAGTGAATTCCATTCCACTGAGGATAAGCAACGTCTCATCTTATGCTTGTTTGTAAAGAACTATCAATATTTCGGGCAGGGTGACAAGCGGGAGTAAGTAGAAATGAGCGAAGGAGGGGTGTACGTAAATTAAACAAGCTTCCTGGCATTGTTGAAGAACGAGCTGAGATAACACGGGCCAGAGGGCCGGCCCTGCGCCTGCACACGTTGGCCTGGCGGAGCCTGTATCTGGAGCTCTGGGCTGACGACAGAGGCGGTCCTGTGCTGGGAAGCCAGAGACTTAGAGGAACCTCCCGGGTGGATCCCAGGCCCTTGGGGAATCCTCTCCTACTCCTGGCCCCTAAGTCAGGTGTTCAGGGTTGGGGATGGGAGGCCCCAAAGTTTACTGAGTGAGAGGCAGTGCAGGGCGGGAGCAGCAGGGGGCGCGGCTCTCCTGAGGACAGCGCTGGGCTCCTGCCAAGCTCAAGGCAGCCACTGTGAGCCCTGCCTGCCCATTTCAGGGAAGAGCAAAGGCCACCCCAGGGAACTGCATCCCAGCTGCAGAGCAGAGAAGGGTCTTTTCACTCCGGGCCTCAGTTTCCCTCTCTGTACAAGAGGACTAAATCCCCACTGCAAGGTGGTCAAGATGGTGACCGTTGGGGGCAGCATGGTCTCCAGGGAGGAGCAAGGACTTGACCTAAGGACAGGCCAAGATCTGAGGCCCACCTGCCAGAATCTCTGGCCTTGCACTCCCCCAGCCCTGTTCTAAGGATCCTAACGCCCACCTCTCAGGCGCTTCGTGAAGACTGAGTCAAGTGTATGCAGAGCGCTCCAGCAGCCTCAGGGCCTACACATCGGTAGCTGTGGTTCCTTGGAAGCTGTGGCAGGCTGTGCAAACTCTGACCTGCTGCAGCGCCGGTCCTGGACTCTCTCAGAGACTCAGTTTCCCCATTGTAGAGGAAAAGCTTAGGGGAAATGAGCTCTTGGGCCCTTCCCAGGGACTTAGTTTTCTGCGCACTGAAGGATCCAGGGATGGAAAAGTGTTGATCTTCAGGGCCAGGTGTCTGCAGGAAAACACAGGCCCCCCAAAAAGCCAGCTCTGGGCCACAGTAGCCCACCAAGGCTTACTCGAGGGGCAGGCATCCTGGGCACGTGAAAAATTCTCCTTGCGCCTTAGGCAAGCCCACCCTGCAGAGACATGAACCGGGAGCCCTGGCCAAGGTTGAGGGAGGTTCAGCCCAGCCCTGAGGTCCCCAACTCCTAGCATTCTGGGTCATTCCAAAAAATGGCCTGAAATTCTCCACATCTTCAAAGTAAAGTGCACTTGAGGTTTGTAGAGGCAGAAACGCAGGTGCTATTGCCCCTTGTCAAAGGGCCTTTTAGGGGGAGAAGCTCCAGGTCCCTTCTCTCCCCGTCCCCTGGGACCCTTCAACCTTTCACTCTCTCTGGGTCCTATGGGGGCTCACACTTGGCGCCCCGCCTCCTCCCACCTCATCCTCCCCAGACATCTTGTCTGATGGGGCCGCTCCCTACTCAACGCCTCCCCAGGCCTTTGAGGACCCAGGGCCCTCAGGGATCAGGCCCCTCCACCTTCCCATTCCCCGAGGCCCTTTAACCTCCAGCTCCCCCTCCCTCCTCTGGACCAGAGGTACCCCTCCCCATTCTTAACTTGGGTATCTGTGAACCTGGATGGAAAAACGTCTTTATTTACCCCAACAACTCCAACTGAAGTCCAGCATTCATTCCTTTGGGGGTGCAGTTGACCCCAGCCAGCAGGGCCTGTGGCTCCACGGCCAGCAGAAGCAGTGTTTACATCCCCATGTTACCGCCCTCACCGAAGGTGTCTCCAGTGGCAGCCCTCTGCACAGGGCTGCTGCGAAGTGTCCACTGGTATCAGACGACAGACCGACCAGAACCTGCCATTAACATGCTGATAAAGAAGCCCATAGGCCACGCTGTCATGAATTGTTTCATGTATTTTGATAACTGTGTTTTGATAGAATTGTTCCCCTTTGTGACCCCATGGTCTTTGTTTTATGCGTTTAAATCTACTTGACGACATCGTTCTGAAAAGGACACCCAGGCTTCGCCAGGCAGCCCAGGGTACTAGGAACACACACAGTGTGAAGACCGCAGCTCCAGGCTGTGCGCGCGGCGTTATCTCCTGCTGCCCCGACCTGCTTTTGCTTGGGAGCCTCTGCCCAGGTCACGGCCAGCTCCCGCTTCCCATCCTTCCTCTTCAGGCTTGACATTCACCTCCAAGGGGGGTTCTGCCTTCTCTCACAACTCCGCAGCCTTCACCCCATCAGCTGACGCACTGTCACCAGATTCTGACTCTCGTGATGGGACCTGGGTCTGAAGGGGCCCTGCAGAAAATGCAGGAGCAATGATGAGAATGGAAACAGCTTCCGGTTCCGTGGACAGCGAGGACTCGGGAACACTGCTCAGCCATGGCCTCTGTGGTTCTTCCAACGACCCTATGAGGTTGAGAAATGCTGTCAATTCCCCTTTCCTGGAGGAGGAAACTGAGGCACAGAGGAGACTGGACACGGACAGACCCCTCCAGAGCGGGGAGAACGCATCCCCCAACGTTTCTGGGATAGGCTGGGCCCGGGGGTCCCCACCAGAAAGGACCCCTGCGTGTCTGTAGCCTCGGGTTTTCTCGACCAGGCCGACCAGAGTCCCAAGGCCTGCCGGGTGGGTCCAGGCCCGGAAGGCCAGGCGGGGCCCTGTCGGGGCCTGGGCGGGGCTGGCGGAGGGGCCGGGCCGCCCCTTCCAGCGAGGGCGGGCTGGGCGGTCGCCTTTAAAGGCGCGGGACCCGCCGCCCGCGGACCGTCAGGCTGGAGGGAGCTGGTCCCTGCGCTCCCTGCGCCCTGGGGATGCCCCTGCCGCCCTGACGCCCGCCAGCCTGAGCCACCGGCGCATGTGACCGCGCGTCCGCCCCAGTCCCATCCGTAGGCGCCCGGCGCCCGGCCCCGCAGCGGCCTCGTTGTCCCCGCCGGCCCCCGCCCGGTCTCCCGCGCTGCCACCCGCCGCCGGCCCTGCCGCCATGCAGGCGCGAGCGCTGCTCCTGGCCGCGTTGGCCGCGCTGGCGCTGGCCCGGGAGCCCCCTGCGGCGCCGTGTCCCGCGCGCTGCGACGTGTCGCGGTGTCCCAGCCCCCGCTGCCCCGGCGGCTACGTGCCCGACCTCTGCAACTGCTGCCTGGTGTGCGCCGCCAGCGAGGGCGAGCCCTGTGGCGGCCCTCTGGACTCGCCTTGCGGCGAGAGCCTGGAGTGCGTGCGCGGCCTATGCCGCTGCCGCTGGTCGCACGCCGTGTGTGGCACCGACGGGCACACCTATGCCAACGTGTGCGCGCTGCAGGCGGCCAGCCGCCGCGCGCTGCAGCTCTCCGGGACGCCCGTGCGCCAGCTGCAGAAGGGCGCCTGCCCGTTGGGTAAGCGCTCGGGGGCCAGGGAGGAAGTGAAGCTTCTTTCTCTTGGGGAAACTAAGGCCGGGAGTTAGGGCCGAGCTCGAGGTCGCCCTTCCCTGGGCACCACCGGGTGGCCCTTCAGAAATCATCCCACCAGCCCTCTGGTCTTTCAGATGAAGAAACTGAGGCCCGGAAAGGTAAACCGCTGTCCCCAAGGTCACAGAATTAGAGTCAAAAGGGAAACCCGGTGGTCTCCTGGCCACCCGAGGGGCCTCATCTAGGACTGTTTCCAGCTCTGGTCTCTTCAGAACTGATGTCTCGTGCCCATTCCCTTGATCCTTGGACCCCTGCTCTGTCCGGGTATTGAGTGAAGGGCACTCTTTCCTGCCCTAACTCTCCAGCCGGGGTGCCCTCTTGGGTGATGCCTTCTTTCCTGGAGACTGTGGTTAAGTGCATGTCTCCACAGGACTGTGTGGGAAGGGTCAGGGTGCAGGTCCCTGAACTGCTTAGGGCGCCCCAGGGAGAGGCTGCTTGGGGGAGAGAATGTCGGGGTCAGACCCTAGAACAGCCTCCCTTGAGGCAGTCGGCTCTAGGTTGCATCTCACCGTGCAGGTTGACTCTGTACGTGGAGGAAAATGCTGGAAAACCTGCTGTACCTTTTTCCCTGTTTGGGGTGCCTCTTAGGAAAGCAGACTCTGCTGTGGCCGGACAGGGGTTCACTGAAGACAGGCGACGGGCCCCAGGTTCATGGATAGGAGTCAGGGTCCTGCGTGCCATCAGCTTGCAGGTGGCAGGGAGAGATGCAGTAGCTGCCAGAACAGGCTCCGTGGAGCCTCAGGAGCACCATGGGGAGCACCAACTGCCGGGGCTCCTGGGAAGCCTGCAGAGGGCTTCCTCATTTTTTCTGCGGTCCGCTGAACACAATTCCAAGTGTTTTCATGGTGTAAAAAGGTTGGGGAACTGAGCGCTCTATTCCTGTAGTGGAGACTCACAGGCTCAATCTATCAGAGGTTCTGAGAAAACCTGCAGTGTCCTCAATTGATGAAACCCAGGGCTTCCCCAGAGAATTTCAACAGAGAGCTCTTCTTTTCTGGCAGAACACGTGACCTCCTCCCAGCACGCTGGGGTTCCTGGGAGCCCCGTGTGGGAAGCATCATTCGAGATTAGCTAGGATTATGTGGAAGAGCCACCGCAGGGTTTGGCGGGGAGTCCCAGTCCACCTTGTGCTGGTACAACGCCTGAGACTGGGCAGTTTATACAGGACAGAGATGTATTTCTCGCAGCTCTGGAGGCTGGAAAGTTCAAGACCAAGGTGCCAGCAGGCTTGGTTGTCTGGTGAGGGCTGCACTCTGCGGAAGGGAGGAAGCTGCGTCTTCACACGGCAGAAGTGCAGGCAGGGACAAGGCCGAACGCTGCCTGTAGCCTCTCTCATAAGGAGCTTCTGCCCACGCTCGAAAGGAGGAACCCTTGTGACCTCATCACCTCCTAACACCCCACCTTTTCATACCATCACATTGGCAACACCTCTGTTTTGGAGGGAACATGTTCAAACCATCATGGGGGTGAGGGTGATGAGGTCCGGCTTGTGTTGAGACTGCCCAGGAGGCTGAGGGGTGCGAGTGTGGGGCTGCGGGGTCTTGGAGACGTTGTCATTGACTCAACGCCTGCTGCACTGTCACAGTGGCACATCAGTTTGGGGCTTGGTGCTGGGGTACCTTTCCTGGGCCTGCCCGTTGCAGCCCAGCTGTGTGCATGGGGGCCACCTCCCCACCCCGCTCCCCACCGTGGAAGGCACTATGAGAATAGGGCTGCAGGGCTCAGGGCTGGCAGGGAGCTGGAGGCAGCCTGGGTGTTCTGAGACACTCACTGACTTCTGGAGTTCGCGTCATGAGGCACTTTCTCTGTGTGCCTGGCTGGCCCCAGGCTGGTGACAGGGCACAGCCATGTAGCAGACCCTGTTGGTGCCCTCAAGCCTCACAGACCATCGAGGGGACAGAAGGGAGGAGGAAAATAGTCTTATCCCCAGAGACAGGTGCATGGGGAGCTCAGAAGGCCAGGAGGTGGCCGTGAGCGTGGGGGGTCATGGGCTGAGGCCTCAGTGCTCCGGGGTCTGCAGTCCCAGCGCACCTCTTCCCGATGAGGTGACCTTAGACCACTTGCTCACCGTGAGTTTCCTCAAATGAGAAGCGGGGACCTGCAGGAGAGCTGCTGCCAGACACGAAGGCACACGCCCCTTGCCTGATGGGCAACCCCCAGACCACGTTGTTTCATATGTTGTTATCACTGTGGCGACCGACCCAAATCTGTCTCACCCAGCAAGGTCAGGAGAGGCTCTCCAGAGGAGGCGCTTCTGTGCCAAGCTGTGGAGGAGGACTGGGAACTGCCTGGGGAAGGATGGGGAGGACAGAGAGGGCATGGGCAAGGCAGAGACCTGCACAGGACCCGAGAGCCCTGTCGCCACCAGAGCCCACGGAGCCAGGTGGGGAAATGGGGCCTGGTGGGGAGGGGAGGCAGAGAGTGCAGGTGGGAGGCTGCTGGCCATCTCCAGGGCGCCGTTCACACTGTGGGCGGTGTGCAGCCCTGCCACTGTAGCCCGGTGCACGGGGACCTTGGACAGCCAGCTTTCGGCAGGGCGACACGCAGAGTCCACTCCCTGTGGAGGCCTTGGGTGCCCGGCCTCTCCCCAGCCCTGTCTCATTTCCCACGGCAAGCCTGGTCCTTTCCCAGGCACCACAGATGTGCTGCTGGAGGCCAGGAAGGGTGAGGGACTGCTCTGAGGTCACATGGTCAGGAAGTGACCCGGCTGGGCCTGGCCTGGGTCTGGCTGGCTTTGCAGGCTATGCTCTGTGGGCCTCCTGGCTTTTCCTCTGCAAGGGGTGGCAGGGCCCCTGAGGCTGGGAGTCGGGTCAGGCCTGGGCCCCCGGCTCCATCAGGCTCAGCCTCCATGGAGTATTCCAGCAGCGTAGCCGGCTTCTGCCCTCCCGAGGTCCCAGCCAGAAGTTGCTGGGTGCCGGTCACACTTAGTGGTGTGCCAGGCGCTGCCGGGCATTTCTGGGAGGAAGTCCTGCCTGATGAGGGCAGCCTCCTGTGGGCTGAGGTTCCTTGTGCTCTCCTCTCCCCTCCCCATGTCAGCTCCTCCGCCTTCTCCCACCCTCTAGGCAGGAAGGTCTCCTTGGTCCCTTCTCGCCACCCTCCCCCCCGCACCCCCGCCCCAGTAAGCTCATCTGCCATGAAGTCCTCCCCAGGTGCTGGGACTTCGGGCCCTATCTCCAGCCCCCGGGTCTCTCCTGAGTTAGAGTCACGTGGAGATGCCTGCTGAGCCGCCTCGGGCTCTACTCTTCCCAGCCCCACTGAAAGGAGCACCACGATGTTCAGTGGGGAGCCTCGATCCCCTCCGTCCCTCCGCCCCTCATTCCCCTCTTCCCCTCACTCCCCTCAATGCCTGCTGCACTGTCACAGTGGCTCATCAGTTTGGGACTTGGTGTGGGGGTACCTTTCCTGGGCCTGCCCATTGCAGCCCAGCTGTGTGGATGGGGGCCCTTACTCCTCTCCACCCCTCATTCCTCTCTGCCTCTCACTCCCCTCCACCCCTCATTCTCCTGTGCACCGGGAGTCCCCTCAGCTCATCCACAAAACATCTCCTGGGGCGCTCTGACTTCCCCCTCCATCCTCCCTTCCATCACTTCTCACACAGCAGCCAGGATCACCTTGGTCAATCTGTCCTGCCCATGACCTGCAGGCTTCCTTGCAAGGCACCCCAGCACTTACCTTGACTCACAGGGCCCTGTGCCTGCCACCTGGCCCGCATCACCCTCGGTGCCGTCTCCCACTGTCCCCTCATCCCCTGTGCTCTGGCCTCATGGCCTCACCGGTCTCTTTCCCACCTCGAGGCCTTTGCACGCAATGTGCCCACTGCCCGGCGTTTCCTTCCCTTGCCTTAGCGTGGTGGGTTCCTCATCCTGCCTTCACCCGGATGTCCCACCGCCCCTGAGCCACCTGCCCTGGCCACTGTGCCCAGGTCATCCTTCATTGCTTGGTGAGCACACCCAGGGTCTCCGGTGGGCCCTGCACACAGATGTGACTGTGGGTCAATTTCTCTGCGTGATCCCCATCTCCTCCAGGCTCGAAGCCTCGCCGGGCAGGGGCCTGGGCCAGTGCGTGGCCTCTGTAGATGACACGAAATGAGACGAGGGCCCATGTGATGTGTGAATCTCCTCTAACCCTCTGGGCCCTTCTTGCATCCCTCCAGTGACAGAGGCTCACCACTTCTCAGGGGAACCCTCGCATCTTCTCAGGTCCATGTTAAGGCATCGCAGTTGCACAGAGTGGATAAATGTCCATCCACGGGATGGTAAAAGCAGGGATAAATGCGTTTCTGAGGGCCTGTGTGGAGAAGGGTTTCCCTTTGCGCGTAACCAGAGCTCTGAGGCCATGCAGCCTCTCCTCTGGCTGCAGATAAACAGGCCTTGGAGCCTGCCATGCGCTCAGAATGTAGAGCCCCAGAGCAGTTTACAAGGTGGCATTTAATCACCGGCTTTTATTGTGCAACCCCAAGCAGGTTCTGATGGCATCTCCCGGTTGTATTTATTGAAGAACTTGGGTTGGCTTTTGATTTGTAATCCTCTTAGCAGCTTCCTGGGGCTGCACATGCCTTGGAGTTCAGCATCTGGGACCACTCAGGCAAGATGACGCCTCCCCTCCTGCCCCGCCCACTCCCGCTGGGGCTGCAGTGCTGAGCCACAGCATCTGGCGGCACTGGAGGACTTGGAACTGCCGGCAGAGCTGCTTGGCCAAGAGCTTTCGCCAAGGCTGCCAGGAGCCAGGAGTCCAGCCGGACTGGAGCTGAGACCAGGGCGCTGTGCAGCTGCCCTTCCTGCCGGGGCTTGGCCTAGCAAATGCACCCTCACCCCATCTGCCATCCTGTGGTCTTCCCCCGACAGGCCTCTGCCCTCCCATGCAGCCCCACACAGCAGCCTGAAGGGACTTGGCGAGACCCGGACCCTCCCTGCCGAAAGCTGGGCCATGGCTCCCACGGCCTCAGGACTAAGCATAGCCTCCTGGCAGGCTCGCAGGCTTGGTGACCCCAACCACTGCCTCCTGCCCACATCACCACAGCCGCAGACCCCTGTGAAACCCCCATCCTGCATTGTGAGGGACCAATGACAATGCATGGAGCCCAGAAGAGGAAGAAACCACCTTCAGAGTGGAGAGAGGGCTAGATCAGGAGGGCTTTCTGGAGATGGGGGCGTCTAGTTGTGGAGAGGTGGGTACAAGGGGGCCTGTGCACCCTTGGCCTCCCACAGGCTCACCAGGGCCTGCCAGGTGGTCTGAACACCTTCCGCCCAGGCTTGCTTTGAGGGAGGGAGGCCACCAGGTTTCACAAGGGTGAACGGTGTGACACTGGGCACTGTTCCAGGCCCACAAAGCCTTCAACACATCATTGGGGTATTGATGTCCTGGTCCTGTATGAGAAAGGGTTCAGGGAGCTGTAGGAAGCTGCCCTCGGTCACTCAGGTAGGGATGGATGGTTCTGCCCTGAGCCCAGGTCCCCTGGTTCCCCAGCCAGTGCTCTGAATACCAGGCAGGCCCCTAGCAGCTCGAAGTGTCTGCCTTGTTTGGTTTTGATGAGGGTGTTTGTGGACTAATGGGTGGGACAGGGTTTAAAATCATAGACCGCTGTCCTTGGTGCAGCAAAGATATGGCGAGGACACGTCCATATGTTCCCCAAGCTGAAAGCCAGGTCTAGTGCAGGGGTAGCAGGTGACTCCCTGGAATTGTGCAATGTACAGCCTGCCCACCTGTGTGCATTACCCTGCTCCAGCACATAATGGGCAGAGCACCAGGACTGGGACCCAGTTCTGTCCCTCATGTCTGGCTGCTCAGGGTGGAGTCCCAGCTCTGCCCCAGAAGTCTCTGAAGCTCTTTGCACCTCAGTTTCTTCATCTGTGAAATGGATAACAGTGGGACCCCCCTCACTGGTCACTGGGCAAATGAGATGATGGACTGAGTGTGCTTTGCACGGTGCCGGGCTCATAGAAGTTGATGTGAAGAAAGGATGGCAGGTGGACGCGTCTTACAGAAGTGGAGTTAGTGAGAGTGAGGGAGAGGGGTCGAGGAAGGGGAGGAGCTGGAAGGCGGTGTCTGTGGAGGTGCTGCCATGTGCTGGCCCTGCCGGAGGGAGTTTCATTGGCCCCGGTCAAGGCAGGGAGGGCTTCCTGTAAGAGGAGGGCCAGGGGCTGTCTTCCTTGCCTTCAGTGGCATGGAAGTGCCTGACCCATGGCACTGTGCACAAGGACCAGCCTTCTTGGTAAATCACAGGCAGGCTGGCGGCAGCACCTCCTCCTCCTCCCAGGGGCTGGCTGTGGCCCAGCTGGGTGTGGAGTTTCACAGCCAGAGGAGCCAGGCTGGCCCCACATTGAGCTCGGGTCTAGGTTGAGCTTTTCTGGGGCTGGACAGGTTGTCACATTTGCCAAGGGCCAGCACGGAGCAGGGGAAGCGCCCAGGTCAGGGCTTGCGGGGCCTGGCTGTGCACCTTGGGCAGGTCCCGTGGCCTCTCTAAGCCTTGTTTCCTTGCCTGTAAAATGGACTCAGTTCCTGTCTTGCAGAATTGCTGCAAGAATTCAATGAGATCACAAACTTCGGAGCCCAGCCTGACGTCCCATGCCCAAATCGGGTCCCGCCTGCGAGGTGTGGCCCGTGGAGGGGGAGGCAGCGGGTTCCTCTGGGCCTGGGCTGCAGCCCTCATCCCGCCTGCGTTCCACATGAACAGGTCTCTGGGCTTGAGGGTGGCAGATGGCAGCATCCACCCCACGGGGAGCCACAGCTGGACCTGAGGCTTGTGGGGGCACGGTTCACTTGGGGACATGGCTCGGTGGGGCAAAGTTCACTAGGGGACAGGCAAGTTTTCCAGAGGAGGAAAAGCAAAGGAAGCTGCCCTGGGAACTAGTTAGACCCAGGAGGCAGCCCCTTTAGTGGTGGGCGGGGCTGGGGGCTGTTGAGGGGGCCCCTGGAATGGCTCCTCTGTCTCTGAAGAGCATTCATTCGCTCCCTCATTTGCTTCCTGCCCACTGCAGCGGGCCAGGTCCAGCCCAGACGCAGGGGTGCAGGCCACAGGTACACTCCCAAGGGACTAGCTTTGGGAAGGGTACGAGGTGCTGTTGGGCCCAGAAGGAGAGGTGGATCACCACGCTTGCAAAGTCAGGGTAGGCTCCCCAGAGGAGGCGCTGCTGGCCTGGGCCCTGAGGAATGACAGGAAGGGCATATTCCCAGAGGAGGGAACCACATGTGCAAAGGCACAGTGACACTTAGGAGCCTGCACGCGCAGGAAGCAGAGCCGAGGTCCACAGGGGAGAGTGGCAGCACGTGAGGCTGCAGATGTCAATGGGACCAGGACACCCCAGGCCTTGAATGCCCTGCTTAGAGGTTGCCATCTGGTCTGTAGACCATGGTCACCGTTATGGACAGATGGGCACAGCCTGGGACCCATGGCTATCCACTCATGGCTCCTCCATCCCCAGCTCACAGCTGACCACTGGGTGGCAGAGGGGTCTGCTAATTGCAGAGGGCACTAAAAGAAGGGGCAGGGACCTTAGAGATGGAGGAACAGAACTGGGTGTCAGTCCCAGCTCTGCACATTATGTGCTAGAGGGACTGATGCATACAGTTGGGCAGGTTGTGCACTGCACAACTGCAGGGAAGCTGGCCACTCTGATATTTGTCAGTAAGGGCCTGGAGTTACGCAGTGTACAAACACAAGGTATCCCCACAGAGTATCTGGGCCTCAGTGTCGCCATCTGTTCCATGGCAGTTATGACTGTCCAGAGCCAGCACGTGGTCCTCTCTCAGGGTTGGCCACAGTCCCCCAGGACTCCTGGGAGTTCCATCAGGCAGGGCTGTTGGAGCTGGAGCCCTGGCACCCTACTTGTCTCCCCTGCCCTGTTGCGCCCCTTCCTCTCCTGGGATGTGACACCGGACACCTAGCCTCGGGCCTTGATTGCTTTGCTCTGTGTGAGGGTCTCCCTGACTGAAACTTCCAGGGCTTTAGATTCCAGTTTATTGAGGAAAAAAAAAAAAAAAAGGCTAACGGCTGAATCTGGTTGAGACTGACTGTTGACTTCAGAACTTTGGCTCGAGGATGGGGTGGGGGTGGAGGTTGTCAAAAACCCCCAAATAAACAGAGTCTGCTTCCCAGCCGTGGGGCCCACGGTTTTCCTGTGGAAAGAGGCAGTGGGAACCGCGTCCTCCCTTCCCCCTGATTCATGGCTGATTCATCTGCGTGTTGGGAGGAGGAGCTGGGGCACGGGGGCCCCTGCCCCCACCCCACCACCCACCGAGGTCCGCTTAAAGGGACAGGACCTGGTGGGGCCCTGCAGGGGTGCCCCAGGCTCTGGGGTTGCCTAGACCCTGAAATCCAGCAGACCTGGGCCAGCGCCAGGCCTGCCCTCCCTCAGTGATTGATCTTTGCCTCTAAGCCTCAGTCTCCTGGGCCATAAAATGGGCGAGTGCTGCTGCTTTTGTGAGGCTGCTTGGAGACTTGGTTAATCAGCTGACCCACATTCTTTCTTCAGGGTGCTCTTTGCAGACCTACTGTGTGCTGGCTCAGAGAGCATCAAGAAGGGCCCCCTTGAACTTCTCTCCCTTCTCTCTATCTTCCTCCCCTCCTCTCTCCGCCCCTCCTCCCCCTCCATCCCTTCCCTCTGAAATGTCTCAGCGGCTGTCTCACCCTGTGCTGGTTACCACTGGGGTGTGGAAGCGAACCAGATGGTCTCTGTCCCAAAGGAGCCTGGGGTGTGGGGTGGGCACGTGCGGGCTTCTCTTTGGAGACTCTGTGGGAAACAGGCCACCTCCCAGCCCAGCCCCACGGCCCTTCTGTCTCAGGCCTTGCTCTCCCTCCCTGTTTTATTTTCTCTTTGAAAAATGAAAAAAAGTCACTGTAACTTTACCCCAACCACAAATAACCACCATGTAGTAGAATTTTGATGTTTCCTGCAAGGCTTTTACTTAACGAATATTTCACAGAGGGTTTTAAAACAAATCATCCCCTATAAAATCGAGTGTCACCTATTTTAAGTGACCTCTGGGAGACCACACTGGGGAGAAAGTCCTTCCGGTGGAGGCCGCAGTGCTGTGCAGATCTTCAGGCTGCCGCGTCAGAGCTCAGGGGCCCAGCAGCCCAGGCGCTTGAGGGGGTCCAGGGGCTGGGCTTTGGCAAGCAGGGGGTGGACACGTTGGGGTCCAGAGAGCTTTCCGGCCCTGGGTGTTGGAGTGTCTGAGTCCAGGATGGAGACACACAGGAAGGCAGCCTTTTCTAATCACCTGTGGGAGGAGAGGTGCTGCCATTCCTCCTTCTGCTGTGTTCACACTGGGCCCAGGTCCCTGTGTGCCGTGGCTGCCTGCACAGGCAATGCGGGCTCAGCCTGTGGCTTTCCATGTGCTGTGCCCCTGCCCGTGGGCTCTTCCAGGCCTGGGTCAGGGCACCTCTGCACTCACCCACCCCACGCCGGGCTCCTCTCTGCCTCATCCCTGGTGATGCTGTGCTGTCTCTGGTCGGTCACTGACTTGACCCTTGCCCCCAGCTGAACCACTGTGTCTCCAGCAGCTGTCACAGGTGGGCACACAGGAGGCACCCTGCACGAGTGGCTTGAATAAGGCTGTGAGCAGCGGCAGATTCGGTACAACTGGGGCTGCTGCGGGGCTGCCTGGAGGAGGCAGGATTAGGGCCGGGCCCAGGACCAACCAGAGCATCTTGGTAGGGAGAGTAGAGAGAGGTCGTGCAGGGGGAGGTGTAGAGAGGTGGATGATGAGCAGAAACTGGAGTTGGTGGCCCGACAAAGGCCACACGGTAGGAGAGGTAATATGGTCCCACCTGGGGGCTGTGCCCGTGCCCTGGCGCTTCTCCTCAGGCGAGGCACATGGGGCGCCAGCCTCAGGCCCCAGGGCACACAGGGGAGCAGCAGACCGGCTGAGTCCTCCCTCCTGGAGGGAGGAGGGCCTGGGCCTGGGGGTTGCCCTGGGATCCCTCTGGGTCGTGGAAATTGTGGGTCTGAGCGCATCTTGTGAGAGCTCTGAACCAGCTCCAAACCTCACCAGGGAAGCAGGCTTTGTGGCTGGTGTCCTTCCTCTCTACTTGGGTGCTAGAAAATGAACTCAAGTTCCCAGGGGCAGGGAGGAGAAGCAGACAGGCCTGGGCTGCCCACTCGGGCCGCACGGCAGCTTCACCTCACCAAGGGAGCCGCCTGCTTTGTAGGTGTCGAGCAGGGCAGCGCATCCCTCATGGAAGCAAACGTGGGCAGAGAGAGCCCTGGGCCCACAGCAGGCCCTGCCCCTGGGGTGTTTGTTAATGTGACCTCTGAACCTGAGACCCCGCTCTGCCGCAGTGGTTTGATCTATGAGGAGCCTCGCGGTGGCCGGCGTCTCCCAGCCAGGCTCTAGCCACCCCAGACAGGTGGCCTTTGATTCAGGCTGACTGAAGTGGACGAGGGCTGGTGTGGTTGGTGCCTGCGGGCCGGTTGAGAGGCAGACATCGGAAGTCTGGGAGACCCAACACCAGAGCTCGAGCCAACCCCCTAGGTCCCAGCTCAGGCTAAAGGGCTCTTCAGGGCCTTGGGGAGCTGCAGGGCAGAGGTGGGGGCACCCAGGGAAAGGAGGCCTGCGGCCTGCGTTCAGATCCTGGTTCTCCCCTCCCAGCCGTGAGTCCTTGGGCAGGGGGGTTCTTCTTACAGAGCCTCAGTGTCCCCACCTTTAAAATAGAGGAAAAGTTTCCTTCCCCTGGCTGCCCCTGGAGAGTTGGGTGAATGAATTGGGATGTGCCTGGGGATTGTGTTTGCCCTGTGATGATTCCTAGAGCACGGACCGCGGCCCGGGCCCTGCCCCCACAGTGGCATCCACCATGGTACCTTCGTGCCTTTGGACGATCCAGAAAACCAGATTTTCCCTCGGTCCCCATGCCCGGCCACTTCCCAGAGATCAAGAGAAATGTGGGCTGCAAAGCTGGAAAGCTGGACGTTATGGACTGAGCCCTCTTTGCTCCCCATTGCCAAGGTGGCTGGGTGGGTGGGTAGCCCCCCGGGCAGGGACTCGAAGTTTGCAGTCCTCCACACTCAGTTCCCACAGATGTGGTAGGAGGGCATATTCAGTCCCATTTTTCAGATGAGGAGTTGAGGCCCAGAGAACGTAAGTAATCTGTCTGAGGCCACACAGCTAGAAAGCAGCCAGGCCCAGCCGAACCCCTGGTGTGTGCAGCCCCCAGCCCAGTTGCTCATTGCGGGGCTCGGGAGCCACGAGCGAGGCTGAGCAGCATGTGTTCCAGATGGTGGGAACTGGAGAGAGCCCGGCACAGGCCCGTGCAGGGAACCCCGAGGGCTGTGGGCCCCGTGCCACTGCATGCCTCAGGCCTGTGGTCCTGGCAGCCACAGCCCCTACTGCTGACGGCAGCAGGAATCTGAGCCCGGGAAGGGTCCAGGGAAGTTCGTGAACCATCTAGCAAGTCGGGCTGGGGTGTGGCCAAGTTAGACACAGATGTAGGGCCCTGTGGACTCAGAAATTGGCAGCTCTTTTGGCCCAGAGGGGCCACACTGTGTCCGGGCCTGGGTAGCTCAGAAGGGTCACCTGGGGGTCTTCCACTACACCCCCGCCTGGACACTGCTGTAGCCCCAGGGCTCGGAGGGACCAGCTGGAGCCCATGAGGAGAGGGCCAGTTCTCTCCTGTAAGGGTATTGCTGTAGCATGAGGGAACAGACAAGGCCCAGGGGGACTAACCCGAGATCCAGCCCTGGCCTCACTCCCGTGTGGCTCACGGCAATATCCTAACCTCTCTCTGAGCCTCCTGCCCAGCCTAGCAGGGTCCAGTGAGGGGGGTGAGGAAGCCCAGCACGTGGAAGCCTTTTTAACCATTCTCGGGGTGAGCGAGCCCCTTCCCAAATGCCTGGTGTCACTGCACTGCTGTGTGGTAGGGGGTCCCCAACGGGCTCAGTGTGGGCTGAGGCTGGCTCTGAACTGGGACAGGGGTCTCAGGAAGAGCCTCCTCCTTCTGCCCACTGGGCATAGGCCTCTGGGAGCTGGCAGCATCGTGATCTCACTGATGCACCTGGCCCTTCCCGCCAGCGCAGGTCTCCACCAGCTGAGCAGCCCGCGCTACAAGTTCAACTTCATTGCTGACGTGGTGGAGAAGATCGCACCAGCCGTGGTCCACATAGAGCTCTTCCTGAGGTGGGTGAATACCCCTCGCCCCTCTCTGCCTCCTGGTGTCCCCTGGTACACCCGCCAGCTGCTGGGGCCCAAACCAGGCTTGATTCTGCAGCCTGGGCCACAGAAACTGGAGTGGCCTGGGGTCAGGCTGACCTCAGTCACATCTGCTGGCTGCCTGTGTGCCCCTGGGGAAGGACATCCCCGCTGAAGTGACTCCGCACCTGCTGGAGCTGTAGGCACCAAGAAGGTGCACAGCTGTGGGTCTTTGTCCCTTCATGCTGCTGCCCATGCTATTGGATACATGCAATGTGTTGGTCGTCCTGAGGGGCCGTGCAGTAAAGCAGACACAGACAGAACCCAGCGGAGGAGATGCCAGGAGACAGCAGGTGTGTGTGCAAGGAGCAGAGGCATGGCAGGCAGAGAGCAGGGCTCGGGGCAGTGGGAACCGGGGGCTCGGGAGGCCTCACAAGCTAAGCCTGAAGTAGGCACCCCGGGAGCTGGGCCAGTGGATGCAGGGCAGTGGGGGCAGCTCGCAAGCACCGAGGCCCGTGTGGCCGGAGCGGGGAGGAATGAGGGATGGGTGAGTGAACGCACGAATCAGTGCATGGATGAGTGAGGGGAGGAATGAGTTAGTGAAGGAAGTGGCAGAATGAATGAGTGAGGGAGGGAATGAGTGAGTGTCCAATGGATGAGTAAAAGAATGAATGAATGAGTGGAGTCGGTCAATAGGGAAGCGGGATGTCCCAGCCCCGTAGAGGAAGTGGTGTGTACCGTGTGGCTTCACCCCCGAGCAAGGCCTCTCCTTGCAGATGCACAGGCAAAGCCTCCTCCCCTTCTTCCCACAGGGCCTGCCCCGGTCCCTGCCACCATCCCCAGCCTCTCCTACTTCCCCCATCACAGAGACCCTCTGAGCTGGTTTGGGGGAGCCCTGCCTTCAGAACCTCCCGCTGTGCAAGCTGCCCAATGTCTGATCGCTCACACCGAATCCTGAGGGCTCATCCCAGATTGACTTATATCCCGCAGAAGCAGACTGAATGACTCTTCTGAAGTTTAGAGTGTTTCTCCCATCCACCTTTGCTGGCCCTTTGGTCCCTGGGTGTGCACAGAGCCGGCAAACAGCCTGATGAGGAGGCCCCGGAACCAAGCCTCATTCCACCCTGATAGGGATCAGACGGCGGGTCCAGGCGGACACGGAGCCGGCAATGAGCAGTCACCAGAGGCCGCAGGCCAGGGCTCCAGGGACTTGCTTGTTTTCACGGTACTTTCCCTGAGGCCTCCAGCCTCCCTGTGACGAGGCTCCACTGCCCTAGGCCCGGCCCTGGGGACTGAGCATCTGGTGGCTCATGGGGAGATCCCAGGAGTGATTCCTGCTCCAGCACCGCCTCCCTGCTGGCTGGCTCGGCGCTTGTCTGGTCCAAGCCCCTGTCACTAGGCGTCACGGCCCCTCTGCCCTCCCCATCCCGGGCTCTCCAGCAGAGGTCGTGCTCCTTGAACAGGGGTGTGAGAGCGCGTGACGGGCATATAGCACCTCAGCATCACATCCTCCACACCTGCTGGGAGCTCCCTGGGCTGTGGGCTGTGTAGCCCATGTTTCTCAAAACAGCCCTGGAGGCACCACCCATGCAGGACCCACAGCCCTGGTTGCCACCCTGTCCGGTGCCCCGTGCTGATGGACCTCTCACTGCCCCCTTGGCAGCACACTGACCCCTCACTGCCCTTCCCTCGAGCCCCGGGCCCTGAGACATGTCATTGAGGAAATTATAACTGGATGCACTAAGTGGCACGTTGCTGGCCTTCCAGGAGGTAGGGATGGGGGCAGCATCTTTCTGGAAGGCCCCAGCCACCAGGCTCTGAACCAACTAATTACTGACTCCAGCCCGGCTGGGAGGCCGTTTCTGCCCTCAGAGCCTCCAGTGACTGATGCTCTGAGTGGGTGGGTGAGACCCAGCAAAGATGAGACAGATGCTTTTCCAGCACAGGCCTCCCGGCTGTGACCCCTGACCTGAGGTCTGAGTGTGGGCATGGAGGCCAGTGGGCAGCCGCGGGCATTTTCTGCAGACCCCGCAGGTGCCTGGCCCTGTGAGGCACCCTGGGGCTTCCGCAGGCAAAACAGGTGCAGTTCCTACTCTGGGGCACACACGGAGTGGGTGTGGCAGAAGCTGGCTGCGGATGTGAGTGGACAGATGCTGGGGTCACCGTGTGGGGTGGCCAAGTGGCCAGATGCCCAGGCTGCCTGGGGCAGACCCCTGCTTTGCCCTTTGCCTGCCCGCCTGACCTAGGCAAGTAGTTCAGCGTCTCGGGACTCAGTTTTCCCACCATAAAGACCTGAGAGTTAGGGACGACAGTAGTTTCTTGTGGCTGCCATAACAAAGTACCACAGACTGCATGGCTTAAAATGACAGAGATGTTTGCTCCCATGGTTCTGGAGGCTGGAAGTCCTAATCAAGGTGTCAAGGTCCTAATCAAGCAGGGCTGCTTTCTTCTGGGGGATGTTGGGGGAGTGTCCCAGGCCCCTCTACTGGCTCTAGTGTTTTCCGCAGTCCTTGGTACGCCTCGGCCCTTAGACCCCTCTCTCTGCTCTGTCTCCATCATCTCATGGCCTTCCCCTCTGTGAGACTGGACTTCCCTCCCTTAAAGACAACACAGACACACTCTGATGTCACCGTAACTTCAGGACACCTGCAAAGACCCTGTTTCCAAATAAAGTCACATTCACAGTCACATGGGGTTAGGACTTGGCCGTATCTCTTGGCAGGGATACAGCTCACCACAGCACCCCCCTTGCAGGGTGCCCATGAGCATTCAATGGCCTGCCTGCCTCAGAGGGAGCACAGGGTGGCATTCGCTGCCATCTCTGGTCCTGTGGGTCACAGCGAAGCTCCTGTACTTTGCAGAGACTGTCACCTCCCTGCACGTGCCAGACGCTCCCATCCCTCCATGCTTTGTCTCTTGCTCTCACCTGCCTGCACGTGCCAGACGTTTCCATCCCTCCATACTTTGTCCCTCGCACATTTTCCTTGCTCATCTCTACTAAGCAGCCTCAGGGAGTGAGTACCTGCTCTGGGCTGGGCCCCACGCTGGGGTCCCGAAGGTTCCCACCCTGGAGAAGGTCCCAGGCTGTGTCTGGCATTCAGCCTCCTCCCCTGCTGGATGTGGGGCTGTGGTTTCTACTCAGAGAGCTCTGGTGAGAACTGGGGATTGTTGCCCATCGGCAGACACCAATGCAAACCCAGGCCAGCTCCACACCGTTCACAGAGGGCAGGGCCCAGGCTGGCCTCATCTGTGCCTCTGCACCCCTGCCCTCGGGGTGTCCAGGGCTCGGGTCCTGCATCTGCCTGCTGCCAGCACTGCCACATTTGGGGCTTTAGGCAGCTAGCCTGGGGGTGAGGGTAGAGGGAGGTGGGAATAAGCCTTCTCAGCCCTCCCAGCACTCACCCTGTCGGGATGATCAGGAATCTGCCCCAGCCTCTGGGGAGCCTCCCTTCCTGGGTACCTGCTGCAGCCCTGCAGGATGCTGTGTGTGCAATGGGGCTTTTCCCCTAGGGCCAATTATTGTCCTGTTTGTTGAGAGGCGTTTTAGAGCCCAGGCATCACCACTCGGCGGAGGAGGTGTTGTTGTCCCATTTCCCAAATGGGGAGACCAAGGCTCAGAGAGCTTCACTGACCTGCCCACGGTCAGGCAGATAATAAGTGGGTCCTGGACTTGGGATTAGCATCCTGGTCTGTCTGGCTCCGTGCTCCGTAGTCAGGATGGCGAGTGCAAGCTGGGAGTCATCTGACATGTCGCAGGCAGCCTGTCTCATCTCAGCAAATTGCAGCGAGAGGTGATCATCATCACCTCTTTATGGCTGTGAATGGGTGCAGGCGCCGGTGACTTGGCCAGGTCACAGGGCCAGGATTCAAATGGGAGCTTGAGGGACTCCAGACCTGTGTTCTGTCAGCCACACACTGGCTCTGCTCCTCGCTGACCAGCCCCACCACTGCGCCTGACTCCCCCGCGTCCTAGCCCCACCCTAAATGCCCGCCTGTGTCTCCCTGGCTGCAGACACCCGCTGTTTGGCCGCAACGTGCCCCTGTCCAGCGGTTCTGGCTTCATCATGTCAGAGGCCGGCCTGATCATCACCAATGCCCACGTGGTGTCCAGCAACAGTGCTGCCCCGGGCAGGCAGCAGCTCAAGGTGCAGCTACAGAATGGGGACTCCTATGAGGCCACCATCAAAGACATCGACAAGAAGTCGGACATTGCCACCATCAAGATCCATCCCAAGGTGGGTGGGCGTGGGTGGAGGGGCGGAAGCACCTGGGGCTGGGCATGGTGGCCTCTTCCCAGACGCCGGAACCCAGAGGCAAGCTAGCCCCACCTTCCATCAGCCAGGGGGAGGAAACTGGGCCCAGGGAGGACTGGCAGCTGGCCCAGGGTCACGGCTTGGAAAAGACCTAGAACCCAGGTCTTTGGACTCCTTGTCCTGCGCTCCCTGAGCCGCTAGGTGCAGGGCAGAGCCAGGAAGCATGTGGCCCACAGTGGGTGGGCTGTGGTCCCATATCACACCCCACGGAGGCTCTTCACTGTCTTACCTGGGCCCACTACTGGGGATGCACCTGCCCCATGGGATGGCATCTGGGTTTGGGCGTGGAGGCCAGGGGGCTGCCGTGGGGAACACTTGGGACAGGGACCCCATCCCTCCACCTTCACGTCTGTACCTCCCACCAGCTGACCCAGAAGAGGCCTGCACTGAGGCCCCCAGAATCCTCTTCTTCCTCCACCGGCTGTTTCTGGAAGGCCTGCTCTCAGCCAGGCGCTGACTGCACTCCTCTAATTCTCACCACAGGCCTGGGAGGAAAGGGCCTGTATGAGTCTGTTTTCACACTGCTATAAAGAACTACCTGAGACTGGGTCATTTATGAAGAAAAGAGGGTTCGTTGACTCAGAGTTCTGTAGGCTGTACAGGAAGCATGACCAGGAGGCCTCAGGAGACATACAATCATGACGGAAGGCAAAGGGGAAGCAGGGACATCTTCTCATGGCAGAGCCGGAGAGAGAGAGAGTGAAGTGGGACATGCCACACATTTTAAAACCATCAGATCTCGTGAGAACTCACCACCATGAGAACAGCATGGGGGAAGTCTGCCCCCATGATCCCATCACCTCCCACCAGGCCCGTCCCCCAACACATGGGGATTACAATTTGACATGAGATTTGGGTGGCGACACAGAGCCAAACCATATCAGGGACCTCATTATCTTGGGATTTCAGACGGGGCAACTGAGGCTTGGAAGTTAGGTAACTCGTCCAAGATCACAGCGCACTGGAGCAGGGCTGGCCCGCTCAGCTAGGACCCCGGCCTCCCTCCAGCTTGTTCTTGTCTTGCCCAATGCCATGCTTATGTGACCCTGGGGACCACAGTTGAGTTACTTGCAGCTCCCCATGCCATGAGGTCACTGAGTCCCATGTCTCACACCAGCGTTGGACCCGGAGCTTCCCTTGGACTGGGAAGTTCACCTTGGCTGGTTTGAATTTGGCTTCCTCTCTTTCTGAATGAACGTTTACAGCATTTGTGATGAAATCTTTTGCAAGGGGGTTTCCTCTTGCCCCATCAAGGGAGAGGAGATTTAATGGTTCCAAGGAGTTCCCCTAATGGGGACCCTTCCCTGCTTTTCAGACTTTTCACGGTCGCGATTGAGTCTGGGGGCATCACCTCCATTTTAAAGTTAAGGAAACCCACTGAGGGGTGTGCTCACGGACAGGAGTTGGCAAATTTTCTTTTCTTTTTTTTGAAATGGGGTTTTGCCCTTGTTGCCCAGGCTGGAGTGCAATGGCGTCATCTCGGCTCACCACAACCTCCGCCTCCCGGGTTCAAGCAATTCTCCTGCCTCAGCCCCCCGAGTAGCTAGGATCACAGGCATGTGCCACCACACTGGCCAATTTTTTTGTATTTTTAGTAGAGACGGGGTTTCTCCATGTTGGTCAGGCTGGTCTTGAACTCCCAACCACAGGTGATCCACCTGCCTTGGCCTCCCAAAGTA
Organism: Homo sapiens; assembly: GCF_000001405.40. Classification (NCBI taxonomy): domain Eukaryota; kingdom Metazoa; phylum Chordata; class Mammalia; order Primates; family Hominidae; genus Homo; species Homo sapiens. The sequence goes on from NC_000004.12 coordinate 8,288,541, forward strand.
CCGGGATTACAGGCGTGAACCACCGTGCCTAGCCTTTTTTTTTTTTTTTTGAGACGGGTTCTTGCTCTGTCACCCAGGCTGGAGTGCAGTAGCAGGATCTCGGCTCACTGCAACCTCCACCTCCCAGGTTCAAGTAATTCCCCTGTCTCAGTCTCCCAAGTAGCTGTGACTATAGGTGCATGCCACCACCCTCAGCTAATTTTTGTATTTTTAGTAGAGATGGGTTTCACCATGTTGGCCAGGCTGGTCTTGAACTCCTGACCTCAGGTGATCCCCTGCCTTGGCCTCCCAAAGTGCTAGGATTACAGGAATGAGCCACTGCACCCCACCCCCAAATTTTCCTTCCTTCCTTCCGTCCGTCCTTCCTTCCTTCCTTCCTTCCTTCCTTCCTTCCTCCCTTCCTCCCCCTCTCTCTCTCTTTTTTTTTTTTTCAGGGTCTCGCTCTGTTGCCCAGGCTGGAGTGCAGTGGCACAATCACAGCTCACTGCAGCGTCAAACTCCTGGGCTTAAGGGATCTTCCCACCTTGGCCTTCCATATAGCTAGGACTACAGGCATGCACCACCATACCTGGCTAATTTTTAAATTTTTGGTAGAGATAGGGTCTCGCTGTATTGCCCAGGCTGGTCTAGAACTCGTGGGCTCAAGCAATCCTCCTGCCTCGGCCTCCCAAAGTGTTGGGATTACAGGTGTGAGCCATGGTGCCCAGCCAACAAATTTTCCATGAAGCCAAATGGTAAATATTTTATCTTTGCAAGCCCTGTGGTCTCTGTCACAACCACGCATCTCTGCTGTGGCAAAAATGCAGCCTTAGGCTGCACAGGTGGGTGTGGCTGCGTTCCAGTGAAGCTTGATTCACAAAACAGGCAATGGACAGCGTTTGGGCCTTGGGCCAGTTTGCAACCCCCGCTCGAGGACCCCTGTGGGAAGAGGAGAGCGAGACTAGGGGCAGGTCTGTCTCCCCTTCCGGCGGCTGTGGCAGAATGCTGGCAGGACTGGTGGGGTGGTATCCAGGTGGGCCTGAGCAGGACGCCCCACCAGCCACCTGTGGCAAATGGGTGCCAGCAGAGCTAGTGTGATTCATGTCCTGCAGGCCCTGGTCAGCACCCATGGCCATGAGCTGAGGTGGGAAACGCCCTCCTAGCCCCTAGGCATTAAATCGAGCCATGGGAAAGGCTCCTGACCCTCACCTGTGCCCCCTCCTTGGGTGCAGGGAGGATGGCTGACCCTCCCCAGCTCACGGCCTCACCTGTGCACCCTCCTTGGGTGCAGGGAGGATGACTGACCCTCCCCAGCTCATGGCCTCACCTGTGCGCCCTCCTTGGGTGCAGGGAGGATGGGCTGACCCTCCCCAGCTCATGGCCTCACCTGTGCGCCCTCCTTGGGTGCAGGGAGGATGGGCTGACCCTCCCCAGTTCACGGCCTCACCTGTGCACCCTCCTTGGGTGCAGGGAGGACGGGCTGACCCTCCTCAGTTCACGGCCTCCCAGAGATTTCAGACGTTATTTCTGCCTCTTCGGCCGGTCAGCAATGGAAAATGTCATCTCTCCGGGCCCTCACCTTCCAATGTGCAGGCCTGGTTCCGCCACCTGGCATTCTCTCTGCCATTGACTGAAGCTTCTTGAGCACAGAGAATAGAGGAGCGGCCTGAGTCTTTCCCACACCAGCGCCCGCCCACCAAGGGCTCCCGTAATCCTGTGCGGGGCTCCACGTCGTCCCCATTATTGACAGCTTTCTCCTCGTATTGAAAGCTGCAAAGAGAAACTTTCTTATTTGACATGATGGTGTATAATAAAAGGGAAGAGGACTGAAACGATGAGAAGGACCAGTGGCCTGGTGGAGGGGAGCCATCCAGAGGGTCAGAGGCATGGGGTCCTGCCCCACTGATCTCCTAAGTTGGGGCAATGCTCTTGAGACCTGGCCGATCGCAGATCCACGGGAAGCTACAGGGTAGTGCCACAAGGTCCCAGGAGACTTTCCGCCAGCTTCCCTCAACGGTGACATCTTAGGTAATGGGTGCAAAACCAGAACCAGGAAGTTGATGTGGGTACGAGCACAGAACCGCCTTCCCCAATTTATCGTGTGTGTGTGTGCGCTTCGGCACCTTCTAACAAGCACCCGGGATTACCTTCTCAGAGTGTGCACCACGCAGCTTCTGGAACACAGAGCTTGGCTGTTCTCCTTGCTGCCAGGCTAGTTGCAGAGTCAGATAATCAGACAGACAGGCTCCGCTGGGCCCGCGCAAAAGCAGAAGAGGGGTGTGCAGGTGTCTCAGTGTGCGCGGCGTGGGGTGGAGCTCGGCTAGTGGCTTCACTTCTCCAGGCCTGAGTTCCCCCGTGTGTCTCTACTGGGAGATGAGATGGAACTGGATCAAGGATGTCAGAGTCCTTAGCTGGGCTCCAGTTGTCTGCAGATCTCTCTCCATCAAATGCATCAGTTTGTGTGTGGTGCATATGGTGTAGTAGTTTTTACCAGGTGTCTGCAGCTTTTACCAGATTTTTAGAGGCCATGTGACCATCAGATCATTGGGCTCAACGACCTTGGAGGCTGTGCTCAGCTGCACATGATGAGCACCCATGCCTGCCCTGGGGGAACCTCTGGTCCCTGGCACAGCTGAGCCTCTGTTCCGTGTACTCCAGCCCTGGGTCTCAGCACAGGACTGCCCTGGTCTTGGTCTGCACTGGTGACCTGCCTGAGCCTTCACAGTCCTGGTGGCTTTGCACAGATGTGCATGCCTTCCCTGGGACCCCCCTGCCAGGATCTGACTCCGGTCCCCGCTGAAGGTAGACGGCTAAGCCTCCCTCTCTGTGTCTTCTCCTTCTCTCTCCTAGAAAAAGCTCCCTGTGTTGTTGCTGGGTCACTCGGCCGACCTGCGGCCTGGGGAGTTTGTGGTGGCCATCGGCAGTCCCTTCGCCCTACAGAACACAGTGACAACGGGCATCGTCAGCACTGCCCAGCGGGAGGGCAGGGAGCTGGGCCTCCGGGACTCCGACATGGACTACATCCAGACGGATGCCATCATCAACGTGAGTCCCAGGGACAGGAGGCCGGGGCACCTGCCATCTGTGCCCAAGACCTCAACCTCGAGGTGGTCTCTGACTCGGCTTGCCCCCCTCCCCAGAGCCATTCTGGCACTCGACACATCCACTTGCTAGAAAGTTCTCTCTTTACATTCGGTGGAGCTCTAACCCTGTGACTTCCACCCCAGGGTGCCAGGCACGCTGGGAGTCAGAGGCTGCTGTCCTCGCTCGGGCAGCCTTTCAGAGAAACAGAGGCATGGCCACAGCCCGCAAACACCTTTGCCCAGCTTACACACCCTGGCCAACATTGCTTTTCATTATTATTGTGATTATGTTGGTGGCACGTTTAGCATTCACAAAGCACTTCACCCAGATGCCCCAGATCACGTCCATCCAGCTTTGCCGCAGCTCAGGCACTTGGCTGGAATCCGAGTCTTTGTAGAGGGCCCCCCCAGGCCAGCAGGATGGGAAGTAATACCCCCATTCTCCATGCACCAGGCGGTGCTGCCTGGCCTCCGGGGTGTAGATGCCGAAGCGTATGGTTTGTGCAGAGAACAGTGACAGTCAGACCTCGGTCATCAGGCAGCCATCCACATGGCCTTCTTATCTGTGAAATGGGGGCAGCACTGAGGCCTTTCGATGCTGCTGAGGATGAGACCTGCTTATGTGTCTCTGCACTGGTTAGAGGCAGATCTGGAGAAGGGGCTCCAGGAAGCCTCAGGCGGGGTCAGGCACAGCTAATGCTGTTTCCTCCCCTTGCAGTACGGGAACTCCGGGGGACCACTGGTGAACCTGGTAAGTGTCCCCTAGAGCCAAAATCTCTCAGGTTTCTGGGGTTCTTCTCACATGGGGGTGCTCAGCCTTGAGGTGGGACAGGGCCCACAATATGGTCCTAGAACATTTACACCAACAGTCGGGAGTGCAGCTGGGCCGGAGGCCTGGAAGGAGGAAAGACCAAGGCTGCCCCAAGCGCCTCGGGGATGCTAGTGGCCACCAGGAATGAGGACTCACCCATGAGCAGCAGCTCAGTCCAGGGCCATGTGCCTGTCAGGGGAGCTGGGGCAAGGGAGACGCAGGTGTGGGGCTGCTCACCTCAGCCCTCCCTGCCCTGGATGTACACACAGGATGACAGGGGCACCCTCATTCTCCCCTTCCCAGTTGTGTCTTGAGCCTCAAAGTCAAGCTCAGCCTCATCCCAGGTGAGATTTTTCCAGAATAAACCAGGAAGCTCAGTTCAGAGCTCCTAGGCCCTGAAGGATCGGACGGTCCCACCCCTGAAGCTCCTATCCATGGCTGGGGAGGTGTCCAGATGTGAACAAGCCCAAGCACCATGTGAGCCACATGAGATAGCTCTGGAGGGACGCTGGGCAGGAAGACCTGGCAGCTGATGTGAGATCAGGGAGGGCTTCCTGGAGGTGAGAGCATTATACAACAGCCATCGAGATTGAGGAGGACTGGGTACAGGAAGAAGAAATCCCAGGGAGAAGGCACAACATGAGCATTGCAGGAGGCTCTCAGAGGCTTAGGGAGGGGGAGGTCAGACAAGGGGACAATGAAAGGGGCTGGTGGCCCATGTCCTGCTGCCTCAGGCCTCGTGTGCAGATGGGGCTTCACCCTATGTGCCCAAGATGTCTCCCAGGCTTTTGGCAGGGCTGAGGCCGTGCCCTGGTTTCAAGGAAGCTCGTGTGTGTGGTTTAGGCTGGAGGCCAGAAAGCCAGGCCCAGGAGGCTGCTCCGCATGGTCCAGGCAGTAGAGATGGGCACAGAGGGCCGAGGGTGGACACAGAACTCAATCTACTGGATCTCACACTCGGATGCTCTTCCTGCCTCCTGAGCTTCCAGGGACCAGGAGGACAAAGGGTGCCTTGACCCAAAGCTCTGCCCCAGGCCCCAGAGGGATCCCTGGTGAGCTGGCCAGGCCCTGACAGGGAGGGCAGGGCTAGGGGTATAAGCCAGGCTGTGGGGTGGGGCTCCTTTCCAGGAGTGTGCCTGAGTGTGAGGTCCCCAGGGGCCAGGTCAGATCCTGCCCAAGTGGTACCAGCCTCATGGGGGGCAGGGCAGGTTTGGAGGGTCTCCAAAGAGAGGGATGGGGGGGTCAAGGAGCTCCCCTGGTCCCACCTGCCAGCCCCCCACTTCTGGAAGGTAGGGATAGACAGGGTCTCTGTCCCCGACAGGCCTTACCATGTTCCTCCCTCTCTCGGTCCCTCCAAACATGGCTTGGCGGTGTCCTTGGCCCAGTGGCCGTGCTTCTTAGAGGCAGAGTGGCCAGAGCCTGGGGGCAGGCCCGAGCTGCAAGCTTCCCTGGAAATACTCTCCAGGGATGGGGAAGGGGGATCTCCAGGATTTGGAGAGGTAGGGTCACTGACACAGGTGTGATCCTGAGAGTGAGCTTTTCAGGGGAGTTGGGGGCTGTAGGGGGATTGACAGCTGGGGTCAGCCTCTAGAAACAGAGCTGTGGACACAGTGCTTTGTGGGCAGGGGTTTGCCTGGGTTCCCCCAACTGATGCCTGCTCTTACCTCCCTGCCCAGGATGGCGAGGTCATTGGCATCAACACGCTCAAGGTCACGGCTGGCATCTCCTTTGCCATCCCCTCAGACCGCATCACACGGTTCCTCACAGAGTTCCAAGACAAGCAGATCAAAGGTAAAGAGCTCACCTGGAGGGGGCCAGAGGCAGGGGGCACTCTCCCAGGGCTACAGCCCCTTAACACCCCAGCCCTGGGACCAAGGCCCACCGGAGGTGCTGGGTGAACTTTGCTCACTACTGGACAGGTCCTGTCTGCCCACCCCAAAGCTGTGAGACCCCCAGGACAGCTTATCCTCAGCCTCTTTCAGGATCTTCCCCCTGCCTATCATCGATTCGTGATCGGCTTCATCCCCTGCCCCTCCAAGGCTGTCTCCTTTTGGCTGGGGAATCTCCGAGCTCAGCTCCCACCATCAGCTTCCTGGACTCCCTGGGCTCCTCTCATTTGGGCTGCTCTTTAGTTGTCAGGTGTTTCTTTCCTTCTATCCGTCCGTCCGTCCGTCCATCCATCCATCCATCCATCCATCCATCCATCCATCCATCCATCCATCCATCCATCCATCCATCCATCCATCCATCCATCCATCCATCCATCCATCCATCCATCCATCCATCCATCCATCCATCCACACCTTTCTACCCATCTACCCATCCATCCACCCACCCATCTTTCCATCCACCCATCCACCTATCCATCCATCCATCCACCCATCTATCCATCCACCCACCCACCCAGCCATTCATCCATTCATCCATCCATCCACCTATCCATCATCCATCCATCCTATATCCATCCATCCACCCAACCACTCATTTATCCTTCCAACCACCAATTCTTCCATCCATCATCCATTCATCCACCCATCCATCCGTCCATCCATCATCCATCCATTTACCCATCCATCCATCCATCTACTCATCCATTCATCCACTCATCCACCCACCTATCCACCCATTCACCCACCTGGCCACCATTTCTTCCTTCCTTTATTTTTTCCTTTCTTTTTTTCCTTCTCTCCTTCCTTCCACCCATCCACCCACCCACTCATTCACCTGTCTACCTATCCACCCATCCATCCATCCGTCTACCCACCTGTCCCTCTATCCCTGTCCGTCTATTCTTCCATCCATCTACCCACTCCTGAGTACTTCCTCTTCCAGCCTGTGGCCCATGGAGATCACATGGTAGAATATCCTCTATGCCAGGGGAGCAGAGTCCAATACCTCGTCTTTGGAAGTCACCCTCCTCCAAGCCCCCATTTCCTTGCCCCCATTTCCTCACCCCATCAAAAAGGGATACCCAGCCCACCCTGCCCACTCCTAGATTGCCATGAGCACCCATCTGGGAGAGGCCTCGCCAGGGCACTAGGCAACTCTCCCAAGTGAGAGCATGCCCATTGCCTCCTTAAGTGGGCAGTCGCAGCCACCTTCCAGAGCAGGGCCATGCTTCCAATCGCAGGGCCTTTCCTGGGGGCCTCTCCCTCCCCACCTTCTCTTCAGCCCTAGTGAGCTTCTCCCTCCTGCCATTGTGTCTCCTGTGCCCACCTCCTGGCCAACGCCCAGGCCTGACTCAGCAACTCACACTTCCACATTGCTTTGCTGTCTCCTCCCAGCCCCCTCACTGGCAGTTCATTGAGAGCAGGGGGCTTCCTCACGTTTCCCCCTCCTCCATGACCCCGTCAGCCAAGCACATGGACCCCAGTGCAGCCAAGGCTGGTGCCATGAGGGCTGGTCACATGAAGAGCTGCTGTTGAGGATGCCGCCATTGTTCTTCTGTGTCCATTATGGGAAGACAATCTGGAGCCAGGCAGAGCCTGTCTTTCCCAAAGAAGCTGAAGTCTTCTTCTCTTGAACAGTGGGGACCATCTAATCTCTTGAGCCCTTTTCCTGTTGGCTTCTAGGAAGCTCAGAGCTAGATTCAGGGGTGCACCCAGACCTGTCCTAGCATGCTCCTTTCCCTAATGACCGAGTCTTTCCTGTTGAATTATCCCATTCTCCATGGGTGCCTTTGACTTTGGCCTCCTTACTGGAAATTAGCGGAGCTGCTGTTTGCACACACTGAGCTGTGAGGTGGCTTTCCTTGGAAGTGGATGATAGTGTCCTCTTCCCTTCTTGCCTCTCTCTTTCTCCTGAGACAGGATCCCCCTGGGGCCTAGGTTTGCTCCTTTGTTGTACAGGGGCTGTCCCAGTTAGTGCTGACCTCATCCCAGAACCCCCTGGGAAATATCCCCTGTCCTCAGAGCTGTGTCCCCTCCCCAAGGACAGTGCAGACTAACTGAGGAGCCTGATAAACCTTAGCTGCATGGCACACTTGCAATTTTAAAATCCTTCTGAAGTTGACTGGTGTTTGTACTTGCTTCTCTTTTTTATTTAATAAAATCCAATGATCCAAACCCAGTTAATCTAAAGTTCTTTGAAATGAACCATCTTTTTATTAAATCAAGGAGATGTTAAGTGCATTTATTATTCTCGTCTGGAGGTGGGGTGCAGAGGCCTCTGAGGGGCTTTCAGGGTAAAGAGTGGCCACCATGCATGTTGGGGGAGCCCCAGGAGGGCTTGGGGTCCAGCCAGCCTTAGGACCAGAGAGTAGCCCCACATGGGGTGGTGTGGGGTGTTTGATTCATGGAGTGGGGCCGTTTGTGGGCATCTGCCCCTCTGTGGACTGTGGGGAACAGTGCAGTTCATAGGTGGGAGACCTCTGGCCTGGGGGGTAAACCCCTCGTTTATCCTGTGGCCCACAAGCCAAGGGAGAGCTGTAGGGAGGGGAGGGGACAGGGACAAAGACATGTGCTTTCCCTGGTCTCAGACATCACAGAGTTCCCAGATCTCTGACATCACAGGATTCCTCGATCTCAGAGGCCACAGGGTTCCTTAGTCTCAGAAGTCACAGGGTCCTGTGGTCTCAAAAACCGTAAGTTTCCCTGGTCTCAGAGTTCACAGGGTTCCCCAGCCTCAGAGGTCACAGGGTCCCTTGGTCTCAGAAGCCAAAAGGTTCCCTGGTCTCAGAAGCCATAAGGTCCCTTGGTCTCAGGCCCCTGTGCTGGGTAGAGTCCTGAGTCCTTCCCAATAGTGGAAAAGTCTGGGGAAGGCAGCCCAGCCACCTGGCAGGAGCAGGGCCAGGAGCAGGACGGGCAGGGAGGCTGGTGGCCCCATACTTGGTGTGTGTTCTGCTCACCTCTCAAGTTCAAGGAGAAGAGGCTTCAGAGTCCCCTATCCTGAGCACAGTGAGTCGTGCTTTCCCCAGCTCTGGCCCAGGGGCATTACCAGGCCTCTGCTTTCCCGCCCGCACAGTGGGTCTAAGTCAGAGGGGACCACAGTCATTGTTCAAATGCTGGCTCTGTGTCTTGGACTCCTGTGAGCCAGAGGTCCTGCCCTCCCGCTTTCCTTCTAGCAGGGAGACGGGCCACAAAAACGCCCCCAGATGCCACAGATCAAAGTGAGGGGTGCTGGGAGGAGGCTGGGGCAGGGCTGTGGCCTCGAGGGTGAGGGCTGCATGACGGGGCAGGAGACCTCTCTGAGGAGGTGACCCACCTCCAGCAGAGACTGTGGGAAGGGAGTGGGGCAGGCTCTGGAGATTGCAGGGGACTCCCAGGCAGTGGGAGTGGGAAGGGCCCATGTCCCAGGTGGGCTGTGCAGGTCCTGTCGAGGATCCCACCCCCTGGATTTAGAAGCCACCTAGAGAGTGATCCCCCGGATTTACGCCTCCAGCCTGGCCCCTCCTGCTCCAGGCTCAGACGCGCAGCTGCTTGTGGGATGGACCCACCAATGTCCACAGGCAGTTCCCACTAAGAGCACCTGTCAAGACCCCCCTGCTCCTGCAGCCCCACCTGCCGTCCCCACTGAGTTATGTCAGCCTTGTCCCTCTGTCCCTCTGTCCCTCTGGACTTCCCACATGCCTCATCCACTGTCAGCGAGTCCATTGGCCCAGGCTTCAGGATGCATCCACCCCGGGCCTCGTCGCCGCTCCGCCTCCACCTCCACCTCCGGGTCCAGCACCGGGGCACTCGCTGCCCTGGACCGTTACCTCTCTGGGCTCCTCCGGATGCTGCCCCATCCTCCACAGACCCTCCCACAGCCAGAAAGGCCCTTTCAAAACTAACGGCAGATCACGTCTGGTGATTCAAGGCCAAATCCAAAGCCTTCCAGGGCCCACTGGACCCATGGGTCAGGCCTCCCGGCCAGCTCTGACCCCATCTCCCACATGGTTTATTCATCAGCTGTTCATCTTTGGTGTGTTTAAATATTTGGCCCATTAAAAACATTTAGGTTATTTGTGTTCTTACTAGTAGGTTGTGAGAGTTCTTTCTACATTCTGGATAGGAGCCCTTTATCAGATAAGCAAATTGCAAATATTTTCTCCCAGTCTGTGGCTTGTCTTTTTCATTCTCTGAATAGTGTTTTTAAAGAGCAGAAGTTTTGTAAATTTTGATGAAGTCTGTTTTTTTTTTTAATTTGTCATGCGTTTGGTGTTGTATCTAAGACGTCTTTGCTAACCCAAGATCAGAAAGATTTTTCTCCTACAATTTCTTCTAGAAGTTTTACTTTTTGAGGTTTCAGATTTAGGACTGCGATGCATTTTGAATTAGTATATTTTTAAATAGTGCAAAGTATAGATCGAGGTTTGGGCGTTTTTGTTATTTTTGCCTTGGAAATTCAGTTGTTCTAGCACCATTTGTTGAAAGACTGTTCTCTACTGAAGTGCCTTCGCACCGTTGTCCAAAAGAGAATGACCATGTGCCATTCCAGCTGTCTGTGTTTAGGCCAATATTCAGTACTGCACTGGCCCGATTACTGTGGCCTCACGGTAGGTCTAAAAGGCAGGCAGTGTGAGTCCCCCGACTTTATTCTTCCTTTTCCAAGTTGTGTGGACTCCTCAGACCCTTTGCATTTCTATATGAATTTCAGAATAAGCTTGTCAATTTCTACAAAAAGAAAAATAAAGCCTGCTGATGATCTGATTGGGATTCCATTGAATTTACAGATCAATTTGGGGAAATTTGGCATTTTAACAATGGTAACTCTTCTGATCCATGAATACAGACTACCTCTCCATTTATTTATATCTTCTTTAACTTCTCTCTGCAATGTTTTATAGTTTTCGGTGTACTGGTTTTTGGGCATTTTTCATCAGATTTATTCATAAGTATTTCTTAATTTTGATGCTATTATAAATGATGTATTCTTTTAAATTTCAGTTTCTGCTGGTTGGTTAAGAGAATATTCAAATTAAAATGATTTTTGGATGTTCACCATAAGATATCCTGTAAGCTTGATAACTCACTTACTGCTTCTAGAAACTTTTTTTGTAGATTCCATCAGATTTCCTACATAGATGGCTATGCAGTCTGTGAATAAAGACAGTTTTACTTCTTCCTTTCCAATCTGAATGCCTTTTTTTTTTCTTGCCTGGCTAGAACTTCCAGTAAAATATTGAATGAAAGGGGTAAGAGTGGACATCCTTGTCCCGTTCGTGATCTTGGGGAGAAAACATTCAGTCTTTCACCATTAAGTACGGTGCTAGCTACAAATTTGCATAGATATCCTTTCTCAGGTTGAAAAGTTCCCTTCTATTTCTGGTTTTTATTGGGAATAGATGTTACTTTTTGTCAGAGGCTTTTTGTGCATCTCTGGAGATGATCATATGGTGTTCCTTTCTAGTCTGTTAATGTGGTAAATTGCATTGGTTGATTTTTAAATGTTAAACCAACTTTGCATTCCTGGGATGAACCTCACTTATCACTTATTTGTGATGTATTATCCTTTTTTTTTTTTTTTTGAGATGGAGTCTCACTCTGTCGCCCAGGCTGGAGTACGGTGGTGTGATCTTGGCTCCCTGCAACCTCTACCTCCCAGGCTCAAGTGATTCTTCTGCCTCAGCCTCCCACGTAGCTGGGATTATAGGTGCCCACGATCATGCCCAGCTAATTTTTGTATTTTTAGTAGAGATGGGGTTTCACCATGTTGGCCAGGCTGGTCTCAGACTCCTGACTTCAGGTGATCCACCTGCCTTGGCCTCCCAGAGTGCTGGGATTACAGGCATGAGCCACTATGCCCGGCTGTATTATCCTTTTAAATGTATTTATGGATTTGATTTGTTTAAAGAATTTTTGTATCTGTTTTCATGAGGGATATTGGTCTAGTTTTCTCTTCTGGTTTTTGTATTCAGATAAGGAGGTTAGAAGTAGCCACTCATTTTCAGTTTTCTGGAGGAGTTTGTATAGAATTAGTACTATTTCTTCCTTAAACATCTGGTGGAATTCTCCAGTGAGATCTTTTAGGCTTGAAGTTTTTTTTTGTAGGAAGATTTTTAACTCCAAATTCAATTTCTTTAATAGATGTAGTGCTATTTGCGTTATTTCTTCTTGAATGAGATTTGGTGGTTTGGAAATTTCAAGAAATTTGCTTCTTTTGTCTAAGTGATTAAATTCATTGACATCAAGTTGTTCACAATATTCTCTTATTATTCTTTTAATATCTGTAGAATCTGTAGTGATGTCACCTCTGTAATTTGTGATGTTGATAACTGTGTCTTTTTGTCATGATCGATCTTGCTAAAGATTTATCAGTTTTATTGATCTTAAAGAATCAGCTTTATTTTTTATTTTCACTATTGTGTTTCTTTGATTTACATTCTTATCTTTATTTCATTGATTTACACTCTTCATTGATTCACACTCATCTTTATTATGGATTCACACTCATCTTTATTATTGATTCACACTCTCAGCTTTATTATTGATTCACACTCTTATTAGATTCACACTTTATTACTGACTCACACTCTTACCTTTATTGATTCACACTCATCTTTATTATTGATTCACACTCTCAGCTTTATTATTGATCCAGTCATCTTTATTATTGATTCACACTCAGCTTTATTATTGAGTCACACTCATCTTTATTATTGATTCACACTCATCTTTATTGATTCACACTCATCTTTATTATTGATTCACACTCTCAGCTTTATTATCGATTCACACTCTTTATTATTGATTCACACCCATCTTTATTATTGATTCACACTCTCAGCTTTATTGAGTCACACTCTTATTAGATTCACACTCTTTATTGACTCACACTTTATTATTCACACTCATCTTTATTGATTCACACTCTCAGCTTTATTATTGATTCACAGACATCTTTATTATTGATTCACACTCAGCTTTATTGATTCACACTCATCTTTATTATTGAGTCACACTCATCTTTATTATTGATTCACACTCATCTTTATTATTGAGTCACACTCTCAGCTTTATTATTGATTCACACTCAGCTTTATTATTGATTTTCACTATCAGGTTTATTATTGATTCACACTATCAGCTTTATTATTGACTCACACTCAGCTTTATTGAGTCACACTCTCAGCTTTATTATTGAGTCACACTCTCAGCTTTATTGATTCACACTCTCAGCTTTATTATTAATTCACACTCAACTTTATTATTGATTCAGACTTTTAATTATTTTTTTTCTTCTGGTTATTCTAGGTTTTATTTGGTCTTTTTATAGTTTTTAAGACGGAAACTGAGGTTATTGATTTGAGACTTTTCTTATTTTCTAATATAGACACTTTAGTACTATTAATTTCCCTCTACCTCTACAACCTACAAATTTTAATATATTATACATTCATTTTTATTCAGCTGAACATAATTTCTAATTTCTCTTTTTACTTATTTGAAGATGAGTAATTTAGAATGTATTATTAATTTCCAAGAATTTGGGAATTTTCTGGATACCTATTATTGATTTCTAATTGTGGTCAGAACTCTTATATAAAATGAAAATTCTAAATTTATTGACTCTTGTTTATTTCTGGATCTGAGACACCTGCTAACTCACAGATTGGAGCAGCTTGGGGGATGGAGACACTATCTCAGTGAGTTGCGTGTGCAGTGCCCCAGCCACAGGGCCTGGCACATGGTTAGTACTCACTGGACATTAGCAGCGAGTATCGTTTTGAGGAAGACCAGTGGGAGGTGATGAGTTCAGTTCCAAGCAGGGAACATTTGGGGAAGCAGCAGTATGGAAGCCAGAAAGGACAGCCCCACTGGCCACTGGGGTTGGGTTGGAGCTCAGCTGGGAGAGCAGATGTCGGAGCTCACATGGTTGGATGCAGGATGCGGTGGACATGAAGCCACCTGTGGGGCGAGCCACACTAGAGCTAGAATACCCCTCAGCTCCATGATGATGGTCAGGAGAGGGCAGCTTTGCTGGACCGCAGGGGGACTGGGCCAGCTCAAGCAGAATGACACCTGCTGCTTCCTGGTCCTGCAGGGGAACTTCTGTCCTCTGCCTGTCCCCTGAGGGAGCGTGGTGGCTTTTCACAGCAGCCCTAACGGAGTCTCGCCGTGTTTCATTTCCAGACTGGAAGAAGCGCTTCATCGGCATACGGATGCGGACGATCACACCAAGGTGAGTGTCTGAAGAGTGCCATCCCCTGCTACCCCTTCCTCTCATCCCTCACCCTGACCCTCCCTCCAGACCCTGGCTGGCTGTGTTCGGCTCCTTGCAGGTGCCCAGACGGGCCGATGCACTCAGGCCTCTGACCGTTGCTCAGGCCAGTCCTTTTGCGTGGACCTTTCCCTCTTTGCCTTATAGATTCCTTCTGCTCTTTCAGGACGCTATCTCTTTCCATGGCTGCTATAACAAATTACTATAAGCCTGGTGGCTTAAAACAGCAGAAATGTGTTCCCTCTCAGTTCTGGAGGTCGGGGATCTGAAGTCAAGGGGTCGGCAGGGCTGCACTCTGCCTCTGAGGCTCCAGGGAAAGCTACTTCCTTGCCCCTTCCAGCTTCTGCTGGCTCCAGGCATCCTTGGCTTGTGGCTGCCTCCCTGCAGTCTCTACCTCTGTCTTCACTTGACCTTCTTTCTCTCTGAGTATCTGTGTGCACATCTCTCTCTCGTTTCTCTTATGAAAACATCCATCATTGGAGTTAGGGCCCACTCTAAACCAAGAAGGTCTCTTCTCAAGATCTTCAACTAATGACATCTATAAAGGTCCTATTTCCAAACAAGGTCACATTCTGAGGCTCTGGGTGTACACGAATTTGGGGGAACACCATTCTGCATTCCCAGGACACTCAAGTGGCAGAAGGTGCCTCCTCATAGCACACAGAGCCCTGGCCTCCCTCTCCAGCCTTGAACTCATCCTGCTGTGTCGGAATCACCTGTGGTGGGACCGCCCCACCCCATCCTGCCTCCTCGGCTGTCAGCTCCTTGGGAGCAAGGACTGTGACCTACTTATTCCTCCACTCTGCCCCAAAAGCAGGTCCACTGCAGAGCAGGTGCCTGGAAATGCTGAATGAGTGCAAGAAAGAAGGGGCTGGGGGAGAGGAAGCAGGGGCAGGATAGAAGGGAGGCTGGAAGTACAAACTTGAGCTTCGAGGTTTGAAGAAGGGAGAGGTCACTGCATCGGGAGCCTAGGAAGAACTCGAGAATGCTCAAGTGACCATTTCCTCAAAGCACACAGTCCCTAAAGCTGTCATTCCTCCTGTTTCACCAACTCTGCTAATCTAGGGGTGACATTTGAAAAAAATTATCAATGTCCAGTATGCCAATTTATCTTTTGTTTTCTGTCTCTTTTATCTGTCTGTCCATCCCACCTCTGTCCAGTCTTCTGTCTGTCTGTTCCATGACTCAGCATTGTCTGTTCATTCCATGACTCAGCATTGTCTGTCCGTTCCGTGACTCAGCATTGTCTGTACGTTCCGTGACTCAGCATTGTCTGTCCATTCCATGACTCAGCATTGCCTGTCTGTCCATTTCTCCTTCTATCCACCCATCCAGCATCATTCCTTCATTCATCCATCCATCCATCCATCCATCCATCCTCCCGCCCCTCCTCCCACCTGTCTACCCACTCTCTCTCCTCTCTTCACGCTTCTAACCAGCTATTGCTACCACGTTTCTCTTAAGAAGCACATCTGGTAGGGGACACAGAGTGGCCAGTGGTGGGACAGGGCAGTATGGGGGCCCAGAGGTGGCTCCTCTTCTGGTCTGGTGCTGGAGGGAGGGAGGGGCAGCTTCATACCAAAGAGCTGGGCAAAGGCTCAGGGGAGGGGCCTTGACGGCAGACTCTTTCCAGCCTGGTGGATGAGCTGAAGGCCAGCAACCCGGACTTCCCAGAGGTCAGCAGTGGAATTTATGTGCAAGAGGTTGCGCCGAATTCACCTTCTCAGAGGTAGGCTCTGCCAGAGGAGATCGCTCGAGGCATGGGGCAGGCGTGAGGTCTGGGCTGGGGCTGCCCCACTGACCTCATGTGACCTTGAGCTTCCCAGCAAAGTGACCGGGAAGGGGCAGGTGGATTCTAGCGTGTCTGCTAAGCCAGAGGAGGCTGGAGAGCTGAATGGTCCCTAGAGCCCTGACTGTGTACGTCCTAAGTCCCACAATGTCATTTCCTTCGAGAAGCAGAGGCTGAAGAGTCCCTGTTGGGCTAAGAACCCACTCCAAGCCAGACTCTTTCACTAGCTGGGGACCAGCCTGGGTCCTGGGTCTTTCTGGGACTCAGCTTCCTCATTGTAAAGTGGAGATAATTCAGCCTATTGTTTTTTTTTTTTTTTTTTTTTTTTTTTTTTTGAGACAGTCTCCCTCTTGTTGCCCAGCCTGGAGTGCAGTGTCGCGATCTCAGCTCACTGCAACCTCTGCCTCCTGGGCTCAAGCGACTCTCCTGCCTCAGCCTTCTGAGTAGCTCAGATTACAAGTGCCCACCACCATGCCCTGCTAATTGTTTTTGTATTTTTAGTAGAGAAGGGGTTTCACCACGTTGGCCAGGCTAGTCTTGAACTGCTGACCTCAGGCGATCCACCTGCCTTGGCCTCCCAAAGTGCTGGGATTTCTACCCCCAGGAGACTTTGTAGATGAAATGGATAAAGGATTGCTTTCTTTGAAGTCTTCCAGTACTAGAGAAATGTTAAGCATTGCAACACCATAGGCTGAGGCAGGCGTGCAGCGACACTACCACATGCTGGCATGGCTGACCCACTCCCAAGAAGGGCTCTGAACCAGTTGCCTCCCCTCCTTAGCCTCGGTCTTCATCTGCAGTGGGAAAAATCCACATATAAGTGGACCCACACAGTTCAGACCCATGTTGTTCAAGGGCCGACTGTACTGTGCATCCTCAGAGGCTGGGCTTGAAGGTGGGAGGCCCCGCGTGAACTTCTGTGATGAGCACAGATGGCACACTTGTCCTGCCCGCAGCAGGCCTGCAGTAAAAATTGTTGAAATTGGGTGAAATTTTCCACACACATCTCAGTTAATCCTCACTGCAGCCAGGGAGGTGCAGGCTCCTGCCCTCACCCATTTTACAGGTGGAGGGACTGAGGTTTAGAGAAGTTACTCTTCCAGGTCACACAGCTGGCATGTGAGGGTCCTGATGCTGGTGCCCACGCAGCTGAGCACAGTACCATCACCTTCCTTCCCAGCAGTGGGGAGGTCTCAGTGAGCCTCATGCAGAGAGAAGGCTGGCCCCGTGAGCTCTGCCTCCCACATAGACGTCTTCGTAACTGCAGTAACAGCAGAACCTACTCCTGGGCCTTTATAATTTGCAAAGTGCGTTTCCACATAGGATGGTAGACATGAAAACTGAGGCACAAGGGGACAGAGTGCCTGGCCCAGCTAGGAGGGCTGCAGCGGGAGCTTGAACCCACCCTTCTGACGCATGGGAGAAGCAGTTTGAAAGGTTGTTTCCCTGTCGTGTGACATTGGTTTTCTTCTGGTGTGAGAGCTTTGGGGCTGGGGCACTGTTCTTTCCCATCGAGATGACTTTTGTTGAAATGTTGTCATTGACCCTGACTGTGCCTCGCTCTGGGCCGGGCCTGGGAAGGCTGTGCCTGGGGAGGCGGTGGGTGGTGACCCCGTCTCTCCTGTTGGCAGAGGCGGCATCCAAGATGGTGACATCATCGTCAAGGTCAACGGGCGTCCTCTAGTGGACTCGAGTGAGCTGCAGGAGGCCGTGCTGACCGAGTCTCCTCTCCTACTGGAGGTGCGGCGGGGGAACGACGACCTCCTCTTCAGCATCGCACCTGAGGTGGTCATGTGAGGGGCGCATTCCTCCAGCGCCAAGCGTCAGAGCCTGCAGACAACGGAGGGCAGCGCCCCCCCGAGATCAGGACGAAGGACCACCGTCGGTCCTCAGCAGGGCGGCAGCCTCCTCCTGGCTGTCCGGGGCAGAGCGGAGGCTGGGCTTGGCCAGGGGCCCGAATTTCCGCCTGGGGAGTGTTGGATCCACATCCCGGTGCCGGGGAGGGAAGCCCAACATCCCCTTGTACAGATGATCCTGAAAGTCACTTCCAAGTTCTCCGGATATTCACAAAACTGCCTTCCATGGAGGTCCCCTCCTCTCCTAGCTTCCCGCCTCTGCCCCTGTGAACACCCATCTGCAGTATCCCCTGCTCCTGCCCCTCCTACTGCAGGTCTGGGCTGCCAAGCTTCTTCCCCCCTGACAAACGCCCACCTGACCTGAGGCCCCAGCTTCCCTCTGCCCTAGGACTTACCAAGCTGTAGGGCCAGGGCTGCTGCCTGCCAGCCTGGGGTCCCTGGAGGACAGGTCACATCTGATCCCTTTGGGGTGCGGGGGTGGGGTCCAGCCCAGAGCAGGCACTGAGTGAATGCCCCCTGGCTGCGGAGCTGAGCCCCGCCCTGCCATGAGGTTTTCCTCCCCAGGCAGGCAGGAGGCCGCGGGGAGCACGTGGAAAGTTGGCTGCTGCCTGGGGAAGCTTCTCCTCCCCAAGGCGGCCATGGGGCAGCCTGCAGAGGACAGTGGACGTGGAGCTGCGGGGTGTGAGGACTGAGCCGGCTTCCCCTTCCCACGCAGCTCTGGGATGCAGCAGCCGCTCGCATGGAAGTGCCGCCCAGAGGCATGCAGGCTGCTGGGCACCACCCCCTCATCCAGGGAACGAGTGTGTCTCAAGGGGCATTTGTGAGCTTTGCTGTAAATGGATTCCCAGTGTTGCTTGTACTGTATGTTTCTCTACTGTATGGAAAATAAAGTTTACAAGCACACGGTTCTCAGCCAGCAGGGCACTGGGGCAGCCTACCCACCACTGGCCAGGGTTCTTCCTGGGGACCCATCTAACACATGACTGGGCATACCTGCAAAGACACGGGCCTTTAAAGGGTTTCTATGACAGCTGAGCACTGGGGCACACCAGGTCTCGGGGTCATGTGGCGCTGTGGAGGGCCAGCTCCGAGTCAGGCAGCCCGGCTCAAGTCCTGGCTCCTCCGCTTACTTCCGGCTTCGTGGTCTTGGGCAAGAGATGTTCCCCTCCCTACCTTGGCCTCTGCCTCTGTCCAGCAGGAAGGCTGGCTCTGCTGTGCTGACCTCCTGGATGCCCTGGGATGCAAGGTGACAGATGCAGCACTTGGGAAGCCACCCGGCTTACGGGGAGCTCCCACTAAGCCCCACTGTGCACGTCTGGTCACATGAAGAACCCTTTCTCACATCTATTTCACCCTCCCTGCCACCCATCCAGCGATGGGGAAACTGAGGCAGAGAGCAATTTCAATGAGCAGGAGGTCCAGGGACACTGCCCAGAGTAGCTGGAAGCGCAGCACTGGGAACCGTGAACTTGCCCCCAACCCTCTGCTCCACCCAGAGTGGGCCACCCCTGCCAGGCCCCCAGCCACTCTGGGCCCATCTAGGCTTCCATCCACCTGCCAGGCTTAGGCAGCCATGTCCACCTTCCAGGCCCTGCTCTCACTCCCGCCTGCGGCCTGGGCTCTCCACACACACCCTGGCCCCAGAGAGTAGGCTGTTGCCCCTCAGTCTTTGGGCCCTGGCTGAGAGGAGCCTATTGGGTGTTGGGGGGCTGAGGTCGGGAAGAGGGCATGGAGAGCTCTGACCTTACCAATTATTGGAGAGGCGAGCACTTGGGGGAGGGTTGAGGGCCACCAGGGAAACCACGACCCCCATTCCCACAGCTCTCCCAAATCTGGAGGGTCAGCGGTAACTGTGGTGATTTCTGGGGTCCTGTAGGTTCTGGGGGAACCGGGTCTGGAGATTCTGCCCATTCACACTGTCCCTGCATCGGTGTCCACCACATGAAGCCACTTCTCCCTTGATGGCTATTCCCACCTTGCGGGGGACAAGTCTTGACACCCCAGCTCAGACCACCTTCTCAACCCCCTGTGTCTGCCCTGCAAATGCCTCAGGGGAGAGCGGATCACAAATCCCAAACCCACCCACTCACTCACAGATGGGCCATGCTCTGCCTCAGGGGAGAGCGGATCACAAACCCACCTGCTCACTCACAGATGGGCTGTGCTCTCCTGGCTCTGTCTGGGTCGCGCTCACCTTGCAGCCTGGCTTCGGAGTCCCAAGATCCCTTGCAGGGGCCTGACGAGCACAGCGGAGCTCCTCATCAGGAGGCTGAGCTCAGATGAGCCTCTGAGCCTCGGTTCCTCCACCTGTCAAATGGAGATAATGTTGTTTTCCTTTTTCTTTTTTTTTTTGAGATGGAGTTTCACTCTGTCGCCCAGTGGTGTCACCTCTGCTCACCACAACCTCCACCTCCTGGGTTCAAGCAATTCTCCTGCCTCAGCCTCCCAAGTAGCTGGGACTACAGGTGCCTGCCACCACGCCCAGCTAATTTTTGTATTTTTAGTAGGGACGGGGTTTTACCGTATTGCCAGCTGACCTTGTGATGCGCCTGCCTTGGCCTCCCAAAGTGCTGGAATTACAGGTGTGAGCCAATGTGCCTGGCCGATAATGTTGTTTTCTTAACAGTTTGGGTTCCATTGAAGGAGATAAACTGGCTGCGTGAGCACTGAATTAAACAGCATGAGGAGGATCCTACTCACACTCCAGGACAGAATGTGCCCCCGAGATGTTGCCTCCCACCACCCTCCTTCTCCCTGCCCCTGGCCCCAAATGACCATGGCCTCCGGATGCCCATCTGTGCAGCAGGGAGGTGGGACGGGGGTCTCTGAGCTTGGGAGTGAGCGGGCCTGGGCTGTGGTCCCAGTTCTGACACCCTTGAACTGACCTCTGTGGGGGTCTCCAGCTCTGGGCTTCTGCATTCAGGAGGCCTGTGGCTGCCACCTCCAGAGGAAGAGGGACAGTGGCACTCAGACAGCCCTCCCTCAGGGTCACACTCTCGCCCACCCCGGCTGGCCCTGTCGTAGTGGGAGGTTGAGACCTCTGTCCTCTCAGCCCCCGAGACCTGACTGTTCCCTCCGGGCAGAGCCGCCTCCCTGGCTGCCCTTCCAGCTGCACTCCGTAAAAAAACAACCTTTGCAGAGGCTGCCGGCTGCTGCCCCGCCATTGTGCAACCCTCTGGCTCCTGTGCAGCCCCAGCTGCTGGGCCGCCACCCACCCCTCCGCGTGTCCCGTGAAGATGTAAACAGGGTGCTCACAAGGCCAGCGCCCACCAGGAGGAGCACCCTGCCCCAGGCTGGGTCCTCAGTGAGCACCTGGAATCTCACAGGCACAGGTCCCCATGTCCCAACACCCCATGTGACAGAGACAGAAACTGAGGCCTGGAGAGGGCGAGGACCTGTTCCAGGTCACATGTGAGCCAGTGGCTGGGCTCCAGGTGACCAGCATCAGGCTCCCGTCTGTCCCTTCAGGCAGCCGTGGTGCAACTGCTGCAGGACAGACCTCCACTGCCCTGACGCGGGGCCCAGCCAGTGCCTCCAGGAGGGCAGACCCTGCCTCCCACTGCTCACCCGTGGGTCACACATCTTCCTTCCAGAGTCCCTGCCTGCTCCCTCTGGGGTGAGTGGGTTCAGAATGGATGAGCACAGTTGGAAATTTCAGAATGGGTCAGAGTTGAAGGAGAAGGGGAGTGCCCGGGGCTGTCACCCACACCTGCTTCATTCCTACTGACCATTCCCTCTATCATGGGCCGAAGAATGGCCCCCAAAGGCATCCATGTCATGATCCTCGGAGCCCTGGAATGTCTTATATGGCAAAAGGGACTTAGCACATGTGATCAAGGCAGACTCTAAAGTGGGGACATGATCCTGATTGTAGGGTGGGCCTGATGTGACACAAGGGTACTTATAAGAGGGACACAGAAAGGTTCAGCAGAAGTTAGAAAGTGGGATGATGGAGTGACAGGTGGGGGCTCTGTGGGGAGTGGCTGAGAATGCAGAGGACTTCCAGAAGCTGGAAAGGCAAGGAAAGACAGGAAATAGTCCCTTCAGAGCCCACAGAAGGAGCCACCCCACTGACTCCTTGACTTTAGCCCAGACAAACTGATTGTAGACTCTGGCTTCTAGGACTGTGAGAGAAGGAGCGTGTGCTGTCTTAGTCGGTGAGGTTCATGGTCATTTGTTAACAGCAGCCGCAGGAACCACATCCACTCTTCAAGCTGGCCTCCAACTTCACTCCCGCCGGGAAGCCCCACCCTGCCCACGCCGAGGGCCTGGGGACCCTTTAGAGCCCTCATGGTCTCTGGTTTCTGGCTTATTTCCTTGTTCCTCTGGATGTTGACTGCTCCTTGCTTCCCCACCCGCTAGAAACATTGGCTCCAGGAGCTCAGGAACTTTGCTTAAACCACAGCCATGTCCCCAGAGCCAACCCCAGTGCCGGGGCAGAGCAGGTGCTCAGTGAATGGGTCTTAGTTTGAATGGGACTCGTGGGCTTGAAAGTTCATCTCAGCTCTGTAACTCTGGGGCCTATGTTGCCATGTCACTCCAAGCAAACCCCAAAATCCAATATCCAGGAAGGCCAGGATGTCAGGGATGGGAAGATGCAGGGTCAAGAGGTGGGGGTGGGAGGAAAATGGCCCCACTCTCCTCATAGCTACTGATCCTCTGAGCCTCAGGATCCTCTCTGAAAGTGGAGGAGCAATCTTCACTCTGCAGATATCCCCTCCAAAGGAGAAGCCCACGTGCTGCCCTGCACCCATGCAGCCATCACTGATCCCTGCACCCACGCAGCCATCACTGAGCCCTGCACCCACGCAGCCATCACTGAGCCCTGCACCCACGCAGCCATCACTGAGCCCCTCTCCCAGGACCTCTCTAGGCTCCAGGGACACCCCAGGCAGGAGAGCCTCCAAGGGGAAATCCCCTCTCCTCACCTCGCCAGTTCCTGCCGCTGTCCCACTCCCTCCTCTCACTTCAGAAGAAGGGACCCCTCCTCCCTGGGCTCTGGGGCCACCCTCCATGGCTCCTTAGAGGAGAGGAGACCTTATCTCACCTCTCACCAACTGAGAGCTGCCCTCTCCTTGAGCTGCCCAAGTCCTCTCCTGTGATGTTTTATCATCACCTCACACAGTGGCCACAATCCGCACTCACCTTCCTGTCCCCAAAGAGCTCCCTTTTGCCTTCTGGGGTCCGGAGGAGAGTTCGGAGGTCGGCCATCTGCAAAACACTCCCTAACCCACTGTTCTCCTTTGACTACTGTTCACACTTTGCAGGGGACAGGCCCTGACACCTGAGCTCAGATCACCTTCTTGACCTGTGTCTGCCCAAAAATGCCAGGGAAGGAGGCGATCACCTCAAGAGGCAGGACGTCAGTGATCTTTGGGGAGAGGGCTGCTGATGGGATGGGCTGAAGGGAGGTTCTGGGGAGTCAAGACTTGGGTGCTGGTCACCTGGGGTTTGCTTTGTGATAGTGCATTGGATTGTTAGGTTTCTCTGCAAATCCTCCCAGACCAGCAAGCCCGGCCCTTCAAACCCAGGCCAGGCAAACGTCAGAAGGATGTCCACAGCACACATGAGTATGTGAACTCACAGCTCATGTGTGTGCACACTCAGATGCTTGTATGCATGGCACAGCACGTGTGAGTGTGCAAACACAGCTCACATGAGTACACACACTCGGATACATGTGCATGGCATAGCACATATAAGTGTGTACACTTCCAGCTCACAGGAATTTGCACACAGAGATGCATGTGTGCCTGCCACTGCACATGTGAGTATGTACACTCAGAGCTCATGAGTTCATGCATGCGTGCATGGGCACAGCATACATGGGGTGGGTTTTCTGGGAGCTGACAGACATGCTTGAAACACTTTTATTTTTTCAAAATCATTTTTTACTGTCAAGTGTGGCACATATAACAATGTGCCACAAACCTAAACAGTCCAATGCACTATCAAAAAGCAAACCCCACATGACCAGCCCCCAAGTCCTGACTCCCCAGAACTTCCCTCCAGCCCATCCCATCAACAGCCCTCTTCCCAGAAGGGTCACTGACGTCCTGCCCCTTGAGGTGATCGCCTCCTTCACTTTATAATTTTGCCACCTAAGCATGCATTGCTAAGCACAGTTGCACGCTGCCTGCATTTTTCACATGAAATTACACTGATGTACTCACTTGCATCTGGCTTCTGCTCAACATTACATTTGTGAGATTCATCCATGTTGATGTGTGCAGCTGAAGGCTACCAATATCCACCATTGTATAGTATCTGCTCTGGGAACATGTGGCAATTCCTTTACCTGGTCTCCTGTTGATGGCCACTTTGGGGTGTTTCTAACTTGGGGCTATGGTGCATCATGACATAACATCCTCATAGCTGTGTCTTGTGACTTGTGGAAGCATCTCTGTTGGGCGTATTTCTAGGACTGAAGCTGCTGGGCCATATAGTATACATATATTCAGTTTTGGTAGAAATGCAAACTTTTCAAAGTAGTTTAACTACTTTGCACTCCCAACAGCAGTGTGTGAATTCCTGTTGCTCCACATCCTCACCAACACTTGATGTTGTCATTCTTGGATGTGAGACATTTTGTGGGCATGCAGCGGTAACTCATGGATTTCAATTTGCAATTCCATGATTCTTAATGAGGGAGGTCTGGCAACTTCTCAAGTACTGTATTTATTGGTAATTTAGATGTCCTCTCTGGAGCAGTACCTGTTTGAGTCTTGCCCATTATTCTCTTAAATTGCCTTTTTCTTACTGTGTGGCAGGAGTTCTTTTATATACTGTAGAAATGAACTCTTTGTTTTATGTATATAAAATTCCTTCTCTTGTGGATATATCTGGAAAACATTATGCTAAGTGAAACAAGTAAGCCATAGAAGGACAAATACTGCATGCTTCCTCTTACATGAGGCATCTAAAACAGTTAAAAGCATAGAAGTAGACAATATAATGGTGGTTACCATGGGATGGGAAGAGAGAGATATGAGGAACTGCTGTTCAATGGTTATAAAATTACAGTTACACAAGATGAGTAAGTTCTAGTGACCTATTGTTCAACATGGTTTCTATAGTCAGCTATATGATATTATATACTTAAAATTTTGTTAAGAGGGAAGATTTATTTTCTGTTCTGTGGGAGAGTTTGTATAAGTTTGGCATTCTTTCTCTCTTAAATGGCAATAGAATTGACATCTGTTCTTGGAGTCTTGTTTGTGGAATGGTTTAAATTATGGATTTAATTGTTTGAATAGTTATAGGACTGTTTAGATTTTCCATTTCTTCTTGTGTCTGTTTAGGTAAGTTGTATTTCTGAGAATGTGTTCATTTCATCTAAAATGTCAAACGTAGGCTGGATGCGATGGCTCACATCTGTAATTTCAGCACTTTGGGAGGCCGAGGTGGGCTGATCACAAGGTCAGGAGATCGAGACCATCCTGGCTAACACAGTGAAACCCTGTCTCTCCTAAAAATACAAAAAAATTAGCTGGGCATGGTGGCAGGTGCCTGTAGTCCCAGCTACTCGGGAGGCTGAGGCAGGAGAATGGTGTGAACCCGGGAGGCGGAGCTTGCAGTGAGCCGAGATCGCCACTGCACTCCAGCCTGGGCGACAAAGCAAGACTCCACCTCAAAAAAAAAAAAAAAAGTCAAATGTATCAACATAAAGTTGTTTATAATTTCCTCTTTTTATTTCTTTGATGTCTTCAGTTTCTCCAATTACGTCTCTATTTTCATTTTTGACTTTGCTATTTGTTCTCTCTCTCAAGCTTTATCAGGAGGTTAAATTTTGTTACTCTTTAAAGAACCAAATTTGGCTGTGTTGATCCTTTTCATTGTATATTTGCTTTCTATTTCATTAACTGCTGCTCTTACCCTTATTATTTCTTGTCTTCTACTTTCTACCTTGGGTTTAATTTGCCTCTCAAGAAGAACTTTAAAACATATGCTGAAAGTATAAACTACCCGCTAGCACAGCTTCAGCGGTATCACTCATTGGGTTTTTCTGAACTTCTGCTCGACAAATGTTGCCCTCCTAGGTTGTTCCAGAATCAATATCATATTATGTTTAGAGCACAGAATCTGGAACCACACAATCTGCATTTGAATTTCAGCTCTGAAACTTTCTAGCTATGTGGCCATTGCCAATTTAGTTAATTTCTCTTTCCTCAGTTTTCTCATCTGTGAAATGGAGCTCATTATCATTCTCCCTTGGAGAGCGAATGATTAAACAGTATAGATACCCACTCATAATATGCTGTTAGCTATTACCATTTTATTACTCTGAGTTTTCTACCTCTTCGTCTTTGGCTATATAAATTCAGAAAGATTACCTTGACTTTTCCTTCTATTTTATTTTT
Organism: Homo sapiens; assembly: GCF_000001405.40. Taxonomy (NCBI): domain Eukaryota; kingdom Metazoa; phylum Chordata; class Mammalia; order Primates; family Hominidae; genus Homo; species Homo sapiens. Next base: position 8,314,556 of record NC_000004.12, read on the forward strand.
TTCATGTACTCCTTCTTATTCTCAGATTGCTTCTTTCTTTATAGTAGCCTATTCTCGTTTTATGGATGCAAAATCTGAAATCTCTCTGGGGATAGTAATTAATATGCTTTTAATACAACTTGTTAGAAAGCACGGTGGGCTCTGTTTTCTCTATAGCTCTTGTCCACCCCAGACTGCCTCCTGGCCACTGGTCTTACTCTAGGGTCTGCTGGTCCTGTGTGTCTGTTTGAACATATGGCTGGAGGACCTGGCAGATTCAGCTAAGCACCTGTGTGGGTTTTCTTGGACATCTCCAGTCTCTGTCCTGAAAGAGAAGCTGGCCTTGACCTGTGGGTGCTAGGCAGGTGTGTCTACCAGCAGGCTTCACTTGAGGGGGCACCGAGGGGAGAGGGCAGGGAGGCTGCCTTCCAATCCCCAATGAGGAGCACCTTCGTTTGGAATACCGACCCCTGCCTTGAGACCTGGCATCTCCAGAATTGCTGGAGAGCTTCCTGCCACCACCCAGTTCAGCTCATCTGCAAACAAGTCTCAAATCCACCTGTGGGTTTTCTTTCCCTCTTCCCAGTCCATGCTCCAAACCTGTAAACCCCAGGAGGCCCTCCTGTGGTGCTGGTCTCCCGGCACCTCTATAGCCTTCTTTCCCTGGTCCTTCAGCAGCGGCTCCTGCACTCTCAGCTGAGATGCATCTTACAGAAATTGTCAGAATCTTCAGTTGGTGCAAGCCCCTGTTCAGAGCCAAACCCTGGCTCTGGCAAGTTTGGCAATCTCTCTGAACCTTAGTTTCCCTATCTGTAAAATGGAGTCTTTAATATGCATCTCACAGAGTTGTTACAACAGTTACCTGATCCTCCTCCCCTCTGGCCTGTTGCATGTCTTGGTGAAACTAGAAAAAGCTTCCTGTTCCCCAAGACACCTTCCTGCCATTGCTGAGGAGATTGCAGTGGCGGATGTACAGCACGCTCTGACCTTGAACGTGAATGGCACGGTCTAGGGAGGGCCTCCTGGATGTGATGGACATGGACATGTCTGAGGACCCAGCCACAGCAGGCACTGCAGAGCTGCTGTCCCCACTCCTGCTTCAGGAGAGAAACCCTTTCCAAACAGACCCGTTCTGCTCCTCCACTCTCCCCTGGCTGACGGCATTCCCTGGGACTCCTGGCCCTTAAGCAAGGGTGCAGGGGACACCACGCTCCATGTTTGGTTGGCCACACCTGAGTCACTGGGTGGCAGAGTGTAGGCATGGCAGGTTCCCGCCACACACGTGCAGACAGAATGTGCCCCTGCAGGGCCTCCTCGCCACCTGCAAGGCTGGCTCTGTGCCAGCGCCTGGCAATGTGAGAAGCTCAGGAAGCCGGGGGCAACTCCAGCCAAGGGTGGCCAGCAAGGCCCCCTTTGTGTATTTTCACATTCACTGAAATGAAGCAAAGCCTGCTTTTAGAGAGTTCGTGACCCGAAACGTGATTGCAAGGTTACCGAGTCTTTCCAAACATTTCCCTTTGCATCTGTGCTGTGGCTCCGCCTTCCCTCCAGTTCAGCCCTGCTCCGATGCTGACTCAGAGACCAAGGAATGCTCCTTGCTGTGTGTGCCCCCACCCTCCCCCACCTCCAGATGCGGCCTTCCTCACCCTGCCTCAGGCCCACCGGAGACCCGGAGACAGTGAGGGGCTTGAGACACTTTGGGTAAATTTCTTCCTCGGCTCAGCTTCATGGGCCGGCTAGTTTTAGAGTCCCCTCCACAGTCAGTGCCCAGGATTCATGCATCCCCAGCCAGGCCTCATCCGGCCCAGGCACCTGCCCAGCTCCTTCTCCTCATGCCTGGCTTCCTTCTGTCATTCCAGGACCAGGCCCCCCTGTGACCAGAACTCCTGCGACTACGCCCTGCTGTAGCCAGCACCTCTGCAACCAGGACACCTGTGACGGCCCCCTCCCTGCAACCAGGCCTCCTGTGACACCCCCCGATCCCTGCTGCAACCAGGGCCCCCTGTTGCAACCAGGGCCCCCTGCTGCAACCAGGGCCCCCTGCTGCAACCAGGGCCCCCTGAGACAGTCTCCTCCCTGCAGCCAGGCCTCCTGCAATGCCCCGCCCTGCAACCAGGCCCGCCTGGGATGAGGCCTCCCACCCCCGGCCGTGACCAGGCCCCCTGCATTCTTCTCAGCCCCTTCACCATCTCTCCTCCTGCCCACCATTGGCTTACCCTGCAGGTTGTATCACCACCCGGGACCCTCTTCCTCCTTAGGCTCAACAGTAATGCTAGTCTTGTTGTGGGCCGACAGGTGTGCAGAATAAATGTTGTGGAATCTTGGGTAAAGAAGACCTGGCGGGAGCTGAGAGCCAGGCACACACGTGTGAGCATTTGTCTAGCGTGTGAGCACGCTGTCTAGGGCCAGGGCCCCAAGCCGGGCCTGAATCAAGTATTCAGGTGTGAGTGGTTTGTTGCGAGGTGATCCCTGGAAGCCCTAGTGGGACAGCAGGGAAGCGAGACAGGGAGGGAAAGGAGCCCATGTGCCTTCTTCAGACTGCCCTGGTGGGTGCCCAGGCACCATCCTTCTGTGACCTCTGCAGTGGTGTGTGGGACACACGGCAGCCTCGCCCACCAAGGGGAGAGGGAGCTGGGTGTTCCTCCTCCACTCCTGTCGTCCCTGGCCGAGGGCTGCTCTAGAAGACGTGGCCGGCCCGGCCCCTCCAGCAGGCCCTGGGTGAGGGCAGAGAGGAGGACTCAGGCAAAGAGCTACCGGCACTTACAATAAGACACGGTCAGCAGGGTGGGGTGATGGGGGGCGTGGAAACCCCACAGGCAGCATCTGCGGCACAGGACACACCTGTGGGGATGCACACCTGAGATGCTTCAGTGCATTAGGTGTTGTGCAGCCCTCAGAGCCCACGGTTTAACCTCTTTTTGCCTTGTTTATATTCTAGATAGGAACATTTTAAGATCATGAAATATTTCAAGCACATAACAAATAGAAAACATAGTTAACCTATGAATCTATCATCTGGCCTGTCACACTGTTGCATTCTGATAATGAAATATCTAAAATATACCACAGCCTCGGTTCTGATTTCTGTCACCTGCCATTTGTTCTGCCAGCGGGTTCTATTGTGGTGGGGTCAGAAGCATGCCAAAGTATAACTGTCAGCCTTGTAGGCAAATGGTCTTTTCTCTCTAGTGGATTTTACAATCCTCTCGTTAGGCCAGCACAGTGGCTCACGCCTATGATCCCAGCACTTTGGGAGGTCGAGGTGGGAGGATCACCTGAGCCCAGGAGTTGGAGACCAGTCCGGATAATATAGGGAGATCTTGTCTCTACAAAAAGATTTAAAAATTAGGCATGAGCCTGTAGTCCCAGTTACTCGGGAGGCTGAGGTGGGAGGATCACTTGAGCCCAGAAGGCAGAGGTTGCAGAGGTTGCAGTGAGCTGTGATTGCACCACTGCACTCCAGCCAGGGCAAGAGAGCGAGACCCTGTCTCAAAAAAAAAAAAAAAAAAGATTCTCTGTCTTTGGTGTTTCAGCTTTGTCACAATGTGATTATTTATGGCTTTCATTTGTTCTGAAAAATGGTTATTGTCCTTTTAATATTACTTATCCTCATGTTAAATACATCGTAGTACATACATGTAACAGACCCCAATGTTACATACACATTACAGACCTCATCCTCCTCAGAAGGGATTCCCCAGGCCAGCCAATTCTCCGGGGCAGATGTCTGCAAACTGCAGCCTGCAGACCACATCCAGCACACAGCCTGTTTTTATATGGCCCAGAAGATAAGACTGGTTTCTATATGTTTAAAAGGTTGTTAAAAGAAGGAGGAGGAGGAATATATATATATAGCTTGCCACAAACTTTCAAAGTGAAAAAGATTACTCCTGGGGCACACTGGTACGGGCTTTTTGTAGAAAAAACAAGGAGATAAGTCTGTTTTGTCCCTAGTCTGTGTGGCAATGAAGTCTGGTTTGGTTTTGTTTCTTCATGTCAATAGAAATGATCACTTGTGGAACTCTGAGTGTTCACCAGATACCAGGCTAAGGGCTTGAAAGGCTTGATTTTTGGTTCCACATTCACGGTAACCCTGGGATAACAGCAGTGTCTGCATCCTAACAAAGTGAACGCTCAGACAGCTCAGGTAGCTTGTCCATACCAGCGTGTCTAAAACACGGCAGAGGCCCGGTGCGCTGGCTCACATCTGTAATCCCAGCAATTTGGGAGGCCAAAGCAGGAGGATTGCTTGAGTCCAGGAGTTGAAGACCAGCCTGAGAAAAATAGGGAAACCCCATCTCTATAAAAAATCAAAAAGTTAGCCGGCATGGTAGCACATGCCTGTGGTCCAGCTACTTGGGAGGTTGAGATGGGAGGATTGCTTGAGCCCAGGAGGTCGAGGCTGCAGTGAACCAAGATCGCGCCACTACACTCCAGCCTGAGCGACAGAGCCAGACCTTGTCTCAAAATAAACTAAAGTAAAATGTGGCAGTGTGTGAATTGCAATCCATGCCACTCTGACCGTGGGATCTAAGACTCTGATCACCACACTACACAGCTCACTGCCCCTCCCCTTAGACCTTGGTTTCCTTTCCTATAGAAAGAAAAGCTTCGTTGATCCGGCATCAGACCTTTCCAGAGGGAGTTGCCTGGTCTGGGCTTGAAGGCTAACAGAGATGGTCACACACAGTCCCTGGCCTCGGGGGATCTCCGTCTGGCAGAGAAAGCATCTTAGCGTGATCACTGCTCTGAGAGACGAAGCATCCAATCCAATCCAGCAGACAGGGTGTGCTTCCTGGAGGAGGTGACATTTGAGCTGGGCTTTGGGGGTGAATAAGAGGAGGATGAACTGCAAGACAGAGGAACAATGTCATGGAGAAATTAAGCTCATAGTCTTTGGGTTCAACAGATTTGAATTCAAATTCCAAACCACCTACTTACCAACTAGTAGGACAAATTACTTACCCCTTTTGAGCCTCAATACTGTCATCCATGAAATGGAATAATAAATTATCCATCTCATGGGTGGTTATGCGGGGACAATGCCTAAAATGTAGGCATTCAGTGCAGTATCTGCACATGGTGAGATCATGATAAGTAACTTGGGGCTATGATAACTTGTGTATTGCTAAGATGGTCCAAAAAGTCTTCCCAGGCCTTAGATCCAGTGGCTTTCAACTTAGTATTAATTACAATAACAAACTATCTTGAGCGTACTCACTGTAACAAGTAGGATCTCTGCTTCCTCTCTGAGGTCAGCGTGCTCACACACGCCTGGCACCATGGCCTGCCCCAGGAGGAAGCTGCCTTTTTATGAGATGAACTGCAGAGCCTTTATGCATGCATTTTTATGCTGTATTTGGTAGGAAGCACTGATGCGCCCAGGTCATCCAAGGGCTGGGTCGTGATCTGGCCTCCGTCCACTGGAAGTCAAAGCCTCTGCCAGAAGTCCATGTCATCCACAAAGAGATAAATTTTCTTCTATTTTGGTGTAGCGAAGAGGGCCTGTTCATGGAAGGGATCCAAGTTGGCCACTATCTTGACAATGTGTTTGATTTTAATGCTCAATTACATCTAAAAATAGGTCTGGGAGAGGTGACTGCCGAGGCGGCCATCCTGCTTGGCCAGCTGAAGGTTTGAGACTCAGGATGGGGTCATGGCTGAGACTATGAGGGCTGCTCGTGCATGACCCTGCCTGCTGGCCTCCATGGGCCCACTATCTGAATGTGGTTACCCTTCTCCCCAGGACCAGGTGCCACCTCCTCTGGGAAGCTTTCCCTGCCCGTCCACAGGGTATGCCTCCTTGTTCCTCTCCTGCCATCGGTTTACGTGCCTGTCTCCATCAACAGACCAGGAGCTCCTGAGGACAGGGACTGAGTCTGCCTGATTCATCTCTGCATTCCTAGCACTTACCTTGGTGCTTAGTGAAAGCTCGAACCTGCCTGGGTTCCCACCTTGTCTCTGCTACCCCCAGCTCTGTGAACTCAGGTAAGCTTCTCTCCCTCTCTGGGCCTCAGCTTCTATGCACAGGAAGCAGAACAGCCGTCCCTCCTCATGGGGGTGGTAGTGAGCCTCAGAATTTCCAGACATCCCCTTCCTTGCTGCCCCTGGACTCCTGTGCTCACATGAGCAGCTCTTTCACCTGGTGCAACCTGTACATGGGACTCAACAATAGTGGTGCACACCTCAAAGGGGTTCTGTTAGGATGAAATGGGATAATTTTGGCAAAGTTAAACTAAAACTAAAACTCCCCTCCCCAATATTAGCAACTATTGGCATTGTATGGGTCCGTTCTCACACTGCTATGAAGAAATACCCGAGACTGGGTAATTTATAAAGAAAAGAGGTTTAATTGATTCACAGTTCTGCATGGCTGGGGAGGCCTCAAGGAACTTACAGTCATGGCAGAAGGCACCTCTTCACATGGCAGCAGTAGAGAGAATGAGAGCAAGCAGGGGAAATGCCAGGTGCTTATAAAACCATAAGATCTCAGGAGACTCCCTCATTATCAAGAGAACAGCATGGGAGAAACCACCCCCATGATTCAATTACCTCCACCTGGTCCCACCCTTGACACATGGGGATTATGGGGATTACAATTCAAGGTGAGATCTGGATGAGGACACAGAGCCACACCATATCAGGCATCATCACTATCACCATCATCATCGCCATCATCAAAACCAGCATCATCACCATCACCACCAGCATCACCATAACCCACATCCTCATCATTACCACCATCAACACCATCATCATCACCATTACCCTCGTCATCACCATCCTCATCATTATCATCATCACCATCACCACCATTACCATCATCACCACCATCACCCTCATCCTCATTATTAGCACCATCAACACCATCATCATCACCATTACTGTCATCATCACCATCACTATCATCATCAGCATCATTATCATTATCATCATCACCATTACCACCATCACCATCATGATCAACATTACCCTCATCCTCATCATTACCACCATCAACACCATCATCACCGTCACCATCATCAACACCATCATCATCATCACCATCACCCTTATCTTCATCATTGTCACAATTACTGCCATCACCATCACCACTACCTTCACCATCACCATCATCATCATCACCACCATCAACATCAGTGTTTCCCAAGAAGAATCCACTTGCATAAATATAGAAGAGACAAATATTAACTTTACTGAAAATTTCCTGGGGTACAAGGGAAGGAAGGCATATCTCAGCCTCTCAGCAAATGACATGAAGATTTTTCAAGATCCCCACAGTAGGATTTGCTCCCTTTGGAACCCTAGTCATCACTGGAGGGCTGTTTTCCCCTCCAACCTGTCCCACCTGCTCTTTCACTTTCCTCTCTTCCCCTCCCAGTTCTCCCTGAGTAACGCTGAGTCCCTTGAACTGTTTTGCAGAGTCATTTTTCTCTCCCCGAGTGGCACCGGGCTCAGCAGACACTCTGGCCATGAAGGCATCTTCTGACTCAAGCAGGTCTAGATGTCTACCCCCAAGGAATCCCAGAACAGTTGATCTCTCTTTTTATTTTTTTATTTTTTGAGATGGAGTTTTGCTCTTGTTGCCCAGGCTGGAGTGCAATGGCGTGATCTCGGCTCACTGCAACCTCTGCCTCCCAGGTTCAAGCAATTCTCCTGCCTCAGCCTCCCGAGTAGCTGGGATTATAGGCATGCACCACCACGCCCAGGTAATTTTGTGTTTTTAGTAGAGACGGGGTTTCTCCATGTTGAGGATGGTCTCGAACTCCTGACCTCAGGAGTTCGCCCGCCTCGGCCTCCCAAAGTGCTGGGATTACAGGCATGAGTCACCAGCGCAGTCGATCTCTTCTATAACGTTTGTTCCATGGTGTTCTGTAGAATGTGTATCCGGCCTTGTGCTAAGCCCTGGTGCACTGCGTCTTATCCAGTCTTTCCAGGAGAAACTGTAGCTTAGAGATGTTGGAGAACTTACTCTTGCAGCACAACCCATAAGTGGTGGTTTCAGGAAGAAGATGCTTGGCACAGCACCAGCCAGGGAATTGCCCAAGTGTCAGCTGTTATGTCATCCGTGCCACTAGTTCAGTGAAACTAACATGAGACCTGGGACTAGCTGTGTGGCCTTGGAAGAGTGATCTCTTTCTAAGCCTCAGTTTCCTCACCTGTAAAAGAAGGATGATAACAGCTACCCCTGGGGTTTTGGAAGGTTGTGGAGCAGTGGGTGGTAGATGACCCTGAGAGAAACAGCATAACTGAAGCATACCCTGAGAATGACCCCATGGTCTGAGAAGAATATATGTTCAGAGTTCTGAGCTAAGGAACGTGGGAGTGGCCAACCCAGAGTTTCATTCCTTATCTGAGTAACATCTGAGCTCCTGGCCCCATCCTATGGAATGCAGGCCGTACAGGGGATTGAGACCCTGTGTTTTGGGTTATGTGAACGTTGCCAGGTGGAGGGAGGTTGTTAGGGGGAGGCGCCAAGGAAAAGTGCTACATAAACCACATGCTTTTTGCAAGCAGTTGAGGTTCTCCTGTCCACCCAGCCACCACTGGTCCATCCCTGTAAGCTTCCGTCTAATGAAGCCCTAGGTCTCGGTGCTGTCCCTGGGTCTCTTCTTCAGCCTCTTGAATCTGGTGCCATCCCTATTGAAATCAATAGGGCCTGACAGGCAGGCTGAAGAATGTGTGCAGGAAGGTCCTCTGACAAAAGGGGTTCCAACAGGGTTTTTCAATAAAGGTCCCAGGATAGTCACAGCCATGCAGTCCAGGGGGCAGTGGGTCTTGGCCACCAAGTGCAGTGGGGCAGGCCTGGAAGTGGCCTGAGGCAAACCCTGCCCCATAGTGTGCCACACACATGGAAAAGGACACCCAACCCAGTCAAAGCCTCCTCTCTTTTGGGAAGACAGTTGCTGTGCCTCCAGAGGGACACACGTTTGGATGAAGGTGGCTGTCCTGCCCAGCTTCTTCTCTGGTTCTCTTTGAATCAGGAACAGCTGAGGACCTAGGGTGGCTCAGCCGATGAGGGCACGCACTCAAGTGGTTCCCACCAGACACAATGGTGTGCATCACTTCCCCTCTCCAAGTTCAATGTCATCATATTGGTAGCTTGAAATTGGCTGTAGTGAGAGCATTTACACCATGGAAATTGGCAGACACAGTCTATATTTTGTTCTTTTGTTTTTTTCAGAGCCAACTACTAAGCCTGTAGCAGCCTCCCAAACTGCCCAGTCTTGTTCAGATGCACCTCCAGAAACACAGGGGTCCAAAATGCCCCTTCCCAGACACCCTGAGGAGTAGAACAGTGCCAGCAGGCTCCAGGGATGAGGGACTAGCTACCACATTCCCTTTCCCAAGCCTCAGTTTCCCCACCTGTAAGATGAGGGATATGGGCTCTGACTTTCTGAGTTTGGAAAATAAAGTGCTCCCCAAACTGGGCTGCTTTCTCTGCCTCAATTTTTCTTACTGGAGAGTCAAAGGCCCTGAATTACTTTCATCTAAGGGATGCTTAGGCATGGGCACACAGGACACTCACACCTTGCTGGTGGCCACACCCTCCCGCTGACCCTGCAGGACAGTTTGGCTCTGTCCGTCTATTCAAGAGGTAAATGCTCATCCCCTTTGACCCAGCAATTCCGCTCCTAGAAGCTCATTCCAGAGAATCACATACATGTGTGTGCCAAGAAGCACTTGCTCATGGGGATGTCCATCCATTCAGCTGCTAACAAGCCCTCACTTGGCCAAGCTCAAATTCTATTGTGGGGGAGGGTAACCTTGAGTGGCCTTAGAAAAACAAATTGTCGCTTCCCCAGCTCCTGCCTCTGTGAGTCACCCCCCCAAGTGCTCTGCCTGCAGCCACTTGCCCTGGCAGGAAGACCCTTGGGCAGGCCCCACCATGGCTCCACTCTGGAATGCTGGGCACTTTGCCCCACTACGCTCTACAAAGGCATCCCTTCCTTCTGGGCAGGTGAGCAGTCTCTCTATACCCCTCACCTGGCTTTCAGGCTGCATGCTCCTCTTTACCAACCTGTGGGTGGAAACACCCAGTCCTCTCCAAAACACCCTCACTCCAGTCTCTCAGCCATTTTTAGCAAACTGATGATGGGCCAAGGTTGATACACCCAGCACCCCTTAGTCTCCCCTTGATCCCTCCTTCAGAGAGGTTCTGGCTCCCTCTTCAGAAGGTGTGGGCACCCAGTATCTTTGCTCTCGGCACAAATTCTGGGCAGAGAGAGACCCATCTAACATGCCCATTACCATAGTGATGCCACGTTGACCACTCACCATGTGGAAGGCATTGTGCTGAGCACTTGATGTCCATGATGTCATCAAATCCTCAGGTGACCCTGTAACCTCATTTGTGGTCCACTTTTGCAGATGAGGAGATGTGCTCAGAGAGGTTAAGGGACATGCCCAGGATGCACAGCTGGAGGGTGGCAGAACTGAACGTAAGACTGGGCTTATCTGATTCCAAAGCCCAAGCTGTGCATACCACGCACGCTGCCTGTAAACACACCCCGCACCTCCAGCCTCTGCCTTCACTTGTTTTTCAAGTGACTAAGGGTCCTACTTTTGAGTCAGGATCTCTGAGCTGCAACTAGCCTTTGGGACAGGCTTAAGTTCAGGGCTTGGCAGTTACAGGCTGCCAATAAATATTTGTTGAATGAATGAATGCTTTGTGGCCTCTCCAGGACTGGGTTAGAGCTGGCATGAACACTCCTTACCCTCTGTTTTCTTCATCAAACCTCCCTAAGTACCTGCTTTGGGCCAGAGGAGACACGGACTCAGAGAAGAGGCAGGTGGTCTCACTGTTCAACTCCCCTGGGCCCTCGGCACAGGCTAATCATCAAATGCCGCTCCTGTGCAGGACATGGGTGCAGTCTCAGAGGTCCTCAGGTTGTCGGAGGACACAGAAGCAGGCTCCGATGATGCTCTGTCCGCCCACCCTTGGCAAGCTCACCTGCAGATGGCTTCCATCATTCCAGCTAAGGGCCACTTCTGTCTGTCTGCCTGTGGCAACCTCAGGCCACAGGACCAGCCTGGGAGTGTGCCAACCTGTCCGCACTGCAGGCCAGACATGCTGGGGAGGCAATGTCTACAGTTGCCCTCTACCAGGAGGGAGAGCAGTTTATGGGTGAAATCAGTTTTCTCGTGCCTCAGTGGGGTGTGCTCCACAGTCTCCCAGAGAGCCCCACTAGGAGTGAGCCCCAGTTGCCCACAGCTGTGACCTGTGTGTTGATGCATCCTCCTTTCTCTGACTCACTTGCCCACACCCCTACCAAGGCTTCCTGGGATCAACAACTACTTACTCCCAAAATCTTGCTCCCCAATCAGCTTTTGGGGAAGTCAAACTATGCTTATTAATGCAGTCAGGAAGTGGCAGAGAGGGGACATGTCCCCTTCCCCAGCCTGATCCCCTTTACCAGATTCCATTGCAAGGGTGAAAAAGCTCAGTGAACCATAATGGGGCTGGTCAAGTGCTTTAAGCAAAGGAGCAAGCTCTGTGGGCCCAGGAAATCAGAGAAGGCTTCCTGGAGGAAGTAGCACTGGATTCTAGCCTTGAAGGCTTAGCAGAGTATGAGGGGCAAGTCCCTAAGTGCCTTTAGGCCTCCTTGAGGCCTTTCCACTGTGGGTTCTGTAAACAGAGAGACTCAACTGTGAACTGCAGTTGAATTTTTTGACAATATCCACTCCATCATTTATTATAAAGGCCTTTTAAAGTAAAAGACCCCAGCTGGAGGAATAATCCCCTCTTGGATGGGATCTAAGCCATGGAAAATGGGATGCTTCCCAGGTGTTCCATCTCTGCAGATATAAAACACAGAGGGGCCCAGATCTCAGGCCAGCCTGAACTGAGCTTCTCTGCAGGATGATCTCCTCACCAGAACCCCTGGACAGGAGGGTCTGCCAGATCCCAGGAAGGAGATGTGTGAAGCCAGCCTTGGTGACACTCCTGGGCCCCATCCAGTCAGTTATGAAAAGTCTCTGCTGCTAAACTCATCTGCCTCAGCCTGTCTCTGGCCTGTCTTCTTTCTTTCTGCATTTCTTCCTTTTAAAAAAGTTTATTGCTCTTTTCTAATGTTAAAAGTAACACATACTGATTGCAGAAAATCCAGAAAAGCACAAAGAAAAAAATTAAAATCACTCGTAATGTCAACATGCAGTGACATCTACTGATGTTTGAGTGTGTGTCCATATAGTCTTTTTGTAAGGTCCTGGACAGAGCAAGCAAGCAGTCTTTTTTGATATCCACAGAATAACTTGCTAGGGTCTTGATTGGAATGGCATCGGGTCTATAAAGACTGACATCTTGATGATATTGAATCTTCCTATCCATGAACATGGGATATCTCTCTATTTATTTAGTTCTTTGATTTTCCAGTCTTTTTTCTATGTCTGAATTTTGTTGACTGAAAACACCCTCTAAGTAGGTTTCAGTCCTGCTTTCTCCCTTAATGTTATGTCATGTTAAGCCTCTCTCTAAGCAGAGATGTTAATTACTGCCTCATTTTCCAATATGTGGAGACACAGAAATGTGCCTAACCATTCACCATTATTGTACTTCTAGGTTGTTTTCAGGTTTGTCACTAACTATAAAAACAATAATAAAATCATGCTTGACTTTTGTTCATTAAAATTTCAAAGCAGTTCAGCAAAAAGCTCAGAAAACAGCTCACGCACACTCAACTAGCCATCTATATTACTGTGCAATCTTCACCCCCTCAGTGTCATCGCTGAGACCTACTGTATGTCGGGCCCTGGGAGAATCAGAGCCCAGGAAGCTCCTAAAGTATGGGATCAGCCGGGTGCGGTGGCTTACGCCTATAATCCCAGCAGTTTGGGAGGCCGAGGCGGGCGGATCACAAGGTCAGGAGATCGAGACCATCCTGGCTAACATGGTGAAACCCCGTCTCTACTAAAAATACAAAAAATTAGCCGGGCGTGGTGGTGGGCACCTGTAGTCCCAGCTACTTGGGAGGCTGAGGCAGGAGAATGGCATGAACCCGGGAGGCGGAGCTTGCAGTGAGCCGAGATCATGCCACTGCACTTCAGCCTGGGCGACAGAGCGAGACTCCATCTCAAAAAAAAAAAAAAAAAAAAAGTATGGGATCAGGGAAAGGGCCCATCTGCCAATGATCAACCAGTCTAAGTGTATGGGGCTGACCACTTTCTTGAGGGATGATCTATGATTTTTCAAAAACAGCCTCAGATTGATTTCTTTGGGGGCTCTTATGAGACTCTATTCCACTGTTGACACCTTCAGAATTCACTGTTGCTGAAAACCCTAAAACTTTAGAACAATTCCTTCATCCTATTTTCCTGTGATTTTTTTTTTTAAATGAACTTCTTACTGGCTGTAACCTACACACAGAAAAGGGCTCCAGTTGTAAATGTGCTGCTTGAAGAATTTTCACAGTGTAAGTACTCCATGTAACTAGCACCTGATCAGAAAGAGAACACTACCAGCCCCCCGGGGATTCCCAAGTAGAGTCTAGTCCAATGATTCTCAATCAGGGGCAATGTTGCCTACAGGGGCATTTGGCAATGTCTGCAGACATTTTTTATTGTCATAATTGAGAGGAATGCTGCTCGCATCCAGTGGATAGAGGCTGGGGATGCCGCTCAATATCCCACGGTGCGCAGGACAGACCCACAAACAGAATTGTCTGCCCCTAAATGTCCAAAGCACTGAGGTTAGGAAACCCAGTTCAAATCTACCCTAACTTCTAACTGCACAGACTAGTTAGAATAGTTAGACTAGTTGTGCTAGTCAGGCTGCTTTTCATTTAATCCAACAACTGGGCCTGGGTAGGTTTTGTCTTACAGAGTCGGCTTCTGATTCTCATCAGTTACTTCCTATCTTCTCCTCAACTGAATCCAGACTCTCATCAAATCCTGCCTGATTTAGGGCCAAAGCTCCCCGGTGGCTCCCACCCCTCGCTCCAGCCCAGGTGCAGAATGGTGCCTGACCTAGAACAGACATTCCAAGGTTATGAATGAATGAATAGGGGGATGAATAAATGATGCCACCCCTGCCTCAAAGCCTGCCAAGTCAGCATGATGCTCCCCCAGGGACCAAGGCAGCTCACCATGGTGGGATCCTCACAGGGTCAGGGGCTCTCGGGAAACATGAAAAGCTTTCTCTCAAAGTTGAGAAGCCCTGGGAGGAGTGATGGGTGGGCATCCCTGGTGTTTCTCCCATGCTGGGGACCCAGAGATAGGCCCAGGAGGCACCGGCCAGCCCCAGGACTCCCCAGCACTGTGAATGACCTGGAAACAGGTGAGCTGCATGACAGGGATATCTATGGCTAGAGAGGCAGGAGGAGGATAATCCCTGGAGGAGGCCAGGAGGAGGCTGGCAAAACTCAAGGGACCAGGGGGACGAGGAGGCTGGTCATATGCTCTAGAGCTCTGCCCGCTTTGACTTCCCAGGAAGGCAGGAGACTGGACTCTGGCCTGGGGGAGGAAGGGATGTACCAGGTCTGGGGAAGGCAGTGCCAGGAACAGGCCCAACAGGCACACAGGGTCACTGGGTCCCCCCTCAGCGATCTCCCTCATACTCACTGCTGTGCAGAGGAACTGGACCTTGGAGACAGCACAGGCCAGGTGGCTCTGTCCTCCTCTGGGCCTGGACCCCACAGTCCCTGGGACGCAGAGCTGCTGGGGCGGCGTCAGGCCCCGCAAGATGACATCCTGCACTTCCACGGCCCTGAGAGTGGGCAGCTCCTTAAACTAGGGCCCTGGGGCCCACCCTAGTCCTAGCCCTACGCAAGCCACCTAGTTTTTCAGTTAGGGCATGGGGGTGTAGGGAGGGTGCGATGGGCAGGAATGACTTGGGAAACAAGGACCCGCTTAGAAGGTAAGGCCTCCAGGGCAGGGCCCCCTGCCACTTGTCTGCAGAGCTCCAGCCCCAGCACAAAGATGCCAATGACATCCTGCACAGAACTGGCACAGATGCCAGGGAGTGTGTGATGGGATAGTTAGCCCGGGCACCAACTAGGATGGGGCAGATAGGTTTGGCCTGGCGTCCTAGCTCCCCCTCCTCCAGCTGTGAGACCTTGAATGCGTCAGGGGATCTCTCAGGCCTCAGCTTTCTCCTCTGTTGAATGGGTATAGGAGTCTCCACCTCACAGGCTCATCACGGGGAGTCTCAGATTCCCTGTGGGCAAGTGCCATGCACAGTTGCTCAGCTCAGGCTGGGCGGGCATTCACTCTGTCCACTCTCTCCTCCCTTCTCCAGCGCGTGAGTCTGAGACATGAACAGCAAAGAAGGCCACCTCCCAACCCCTCGGCACACACAAGTCTGTTCAAGGAAGACTTATGAATGGCTGTCCCTGCTCCTAGACTGGCCAGCTGGCCATGGCTGAGGTCCCACAGGCTGGCAGACCTGGGCGGGGTGAGGTAGTGTCTGGTGCCGGGCCCGGGTCTGGTGCCTGCATGGTGACAGCAACAAAAGCAGGGCCGGGTGGTGCATGGGGAAGCCCCCGGGGAGACTCTATGACACAAGCCAGTCCCCCTGAGCCACTTCCCCACTTGGGACCCTCAACCTGTGCAATGGGAGAGAAAGCCCCAAGCTGGCCTCCTGCCCAGGGGACTGAGAGGGAAGTGGGTGGGAGGTCCTCAGGCACAGTGGTACTCCTGGGGTCCCGCCAGCCAGACCATTCAAGGTCACAGGGACAGACAGCAAAACTTGATTTTGCAAAAACAAGGTCACTTGGTTACAGCAAAACACCTGCAGCCAGAGACGCCACAGAGAGTCACACACAGTCCCATGGACAGAGGCACACTGACCTGGAGGCACCCTTGGCCCTGAGCAGACCAGGCAGCCTCAGAAGCCCCGGGGCCTGGGTACTCGGGCCTGGGTGGGAGCAGCCGTAGCGGGGAGGCCTGGTCATCAACTGGCGCGTCTGCAGAAGGCTCTGGCGGCAACAAGAGTGACACCTGGTCTCCTGTGAGGAGCCAGCACTGGATATGGGCTTGAGGTTCATGGTCTCCCTCTGGTTCTGTGCAGTTACTGCTCTGTGCTCCCGGGGATGGGGCCCAGGCCGTGTGGGGACGGGGCGCAGCAGGGAACCCTGGATGGAGCTGCCACAGTGAGGTGAGCTGCCCCAGACCCACAGGCAAGGAGACCCCAGAGGCCTTTGGGGGAGGTGGGGCTGAGGCAGGGGCAGAGCCGAGACCACAGTGGCCTCCATCTCCCCGATGGATACCAGGAGAGGAGCAGACACAATGGCTTCATCCTTCACATTTTAAAGAAGGAGCCACTGAAGCTTGTGACCTGGGCATGAGAGGCATCCAGGCTGTGGCCTGTGGCCCGGGCACAGAGAGAGGGGCTAGGGAGCTGTGGGGCAGGCAGGAGACCACTGTCAGTGTCTGTGACATGCGTGTCCACACACACCCTGGACTCACGTGTCCACACCCATTGAACTCACACGCCTCACCCCACTTCGAAAGCCAAGCCCTTGGGGAGACATGGGCAGCTGCTGGGGTGGCTCCCCCTCCACTCTCCAGGGAGCCTTCTCCAGCCGCCAGCTGGCACTGTGTCCCACACATGCCGTCTCTGAGCTCCAGTGTCTAGAGGAAGGAGTGAGAACATCATGTTCACGTCAGCAGGAGGTCAGGATCTGTCCTCGTAGCTCTGGACATGCAAAGCCACCTCCCCCTGGAAACCTTGTCAGAACCAAGAAGGCTGCTTCGGAAGACTCCCAGGGCTCACTGTGGTGGGCAGAAGGCCAGAGGAAGGAAGGAAGGGGGCTGACAGGCCCCCAGGTACTCGCAGTGAAAGCATTCCCGAAAGCACTGCTTAAGCACCATTTGTGTGCCTGGCCCAGTGCTGGTCACTTGAGGGCATCAGGGATCAAAATTCTCACTGTCAGCCAGGAGCTCCTGGGACCATAGAGGGGCGGCCTTTACCACAAGGCTGCCGAGAGTGGAGGAGGCTTGTCTTTGAGGTGCAGGTGTGGCCAGGGCCCTGCCAACACATCCCTGGATCCATCCGTGCCTGGATAAGGCATGATCTCCTGTTAGTCTTATCCATTGCTGAGTCAATCAATGGCCCCTTTGGCTGAAGGTGATTTGAATTGTGTTTCTGCATCTTATGATCAAGAGAGTCCAGACAAACTCAGTCACTGGTGAGGGTTTTCTGTATCTGAAAGTCATGATCTGAAGACTTGGTCCGAGGATGCCAGGGAGGAAGCAGCTGCCAGTGAGTCAGCCTCAGGTGCTTGAATCTTGCTGAGCCCTTGTGCCCCCTCTGCCCATCTGACCCAGGCCACGCGATGACTCCCATGGGCCCCAGGAGCGTTGGCTTCAGTGGACGTCTCCCTCCATTAAAACAAAAGTTAAAACTGCGTTTTATAGCTGTGTTGGTACAAAGATGAACAGTATGCAGGCTGGATTCACTATTATACATGCATCATTATTATATTCACTTTTTCCTCTGACTTTGAAAGAAATTGAAACATTACCATGTGTGTTTTCCCAGCCAGATGGGGAGTCAGCCCTGACCTAGTCAGGATCCGAGAGGGTTGGTCCCTCAGAGACTCAGATGTTATATTCTATGGACAGAATGTCTGTGTCCCCCAGAGTTCACGTGTTGACACCCTAACCCACAATGGGATTGCATTAGGAGGTGGGGCGTTTGGGAGGTGATAAGGTCATGAGGGTGGGGCCCTCATGCAGGGGATACGTGCCCTTATAAGAGAGGCTTGGGAGATGCTCACGCTCTTTCCACCACATGAGGATGCAGGGAGAAGGCAACTGCCTGCCAGCCAGAAAGAGGCCCTCACGAGAACCCCACCATGCTGGCACCCTGACTTCAGACCTCCAGCCTCCAGCACTGTGAAAAAGAAATGTTGTTTGTAAGCTGCCCAGTGTATGGCACTTAGTTCTAGCAGCCAGGATGGACTAAGACACGTATTCATCCTGCAGCACACCCCAAACGTAGGGCAACCCTGCTGCCGAGGCAAACTGCCCACTGGGCACACTGTGCAGGAGCCCGTGAAGGGGACAAGGGGTTGCTGGACATCTGCTAAAATACCCACAGGCACTGGCACAGGATGGCCTGGCAGAGTGAGACCACTGGACCACACAGGAAGAAAAGTCCACAAGGATGGAGATCCGAGAGGTGTGATCAGAAAAAGGTGATGCTAGTAGCTCAGGTGGCCCCTGGAGACGTAGAGGGAGCCCCCTGCAGAGTACCTGGCCAGGTGCCCAGTGACCTCCTCACCATCTCCACCCATCAGCCCCATCCCTGGCACCCAGAAATCACTCTGGACACCTGGCTCCCTCACCCCACACCTCCAGGAAATCCACACCTCCACAGCCCTTATCCCAGTATTCCAGGCCCTCCACATTCTTGCCCTGCGTGTCTCTGTCTCATGGCCACCTTCCTGAGCCGTGTTCAACTGCTGGCAAGAGAGAGACGTCTGGAGCAATCCTCACTGCGTCTGGAAGGCCCCAGGCTACCTGGTTCAGGTTGCTGGACGGCTTCCATGGCCCAGCCCTACCCAGGGCCTGGATCTGGCCAGCGTTCACAAGCTGGGTTTCTGCACCCCCTTTCTAGAAGGTGTGGGTTCCCTGGCTTGACACTGGTGAGCACACTGGACTTGGCTGTGATGATGGTCCCAGGAGGACGGTGAGTGATGCTGCCCAACAGGGAGGGCAGGGGCAGGGTAGGTGCCAAGTCCTCATGAGAACCACAGGGAGCCAGCAGGCCCAGCTCGGCTTTGAGGGAAGCTCCTGCATCCCAGAATGCTGCAGCTCTAGGGTGGGGACCAGGGGGCCACAGTCTGCATGAGGTCTCAGCTTCTTGAGGATGCACTAGAGGCCTGCTCCAAGCAGAACCTCAGGAGGTGTCCATCATGAGTACCCGGGGAAACGAAACTCCCCTGGCTCTTTTGCAGGCCACCCAACACCTGGCAGTAAGAGGAATAATAGCAAATATGGGAACCCACTGTATGCTGCTCAGTGCTCGCCAAACCGCATCTCATTATTGTTTTGGTTCTCAAAATATCTCTCTTCTCCCCATTTTGCAGATGAGGAAACTGAGGCCCAGGGTTCCAGATCTCCTAACCTTAGTTTATGTAGCTGTAAAGGCAGCACTGTGATTTCAACCTTATAACCTGTGCTCTTAACCAAGACAATGCCACTTCCAGTTCATAGTAGACAGGAGGGGACAGAGTGTGCTTCCTCTCCAAGAGTTACCTGCAGCAGCGGCAGGCTCTGGAGCCTCGAGTGCCCCCCAGTATCTTACAACCTCACTCCGGGTCCATTCTCAGAGAAAGGCACAAGAGACACTGGGATGCATTTGGCAAATGCATCCTCAATGTCCCACTGGGTCAGGGTCACGTCATCTCTGCTGCCCTTGACTCCCCTCCCCCTCCTGCCAAAAGAAAGCCAATGGGCAGGGAGCGGGGGCTCTGTTCATGGCTGAACCCTCCAGAGCCACTGGAGGTCACAATGAGTGCAGGCCTCTGGGCCGAAAGGTGAAATCCGGCATTAGCATTGCAGTTGACAAGGTTTGTCACCGAACCAAACTGGGTTTGGTTTGTTTGCCTATGTGCAAGGGAAAGCTGAACACAGAAGCACCAGTGACAAAGGCTTATTGCCAGGCAGCTGAACAAGGAGACAGGAGTTGAGCTCAAATCTGTCTGCCCCCGTACCAGCCTTGCCACCATGGATTTAAGGGAGAGATTCTGAGTTTGGAGTTTCGTGGTTGGGCAGTGACTGGCTAGAAGGAAGGGAGTCTGGGGGGTCCCTGGGGCTTGGGCTGCTGCCCTAGCATGCTTCTTCATGGGTTGCATGTTCAGAAAATGGCAACATCTAATCTGGAGGTGGAGTTTCTGGCCCTCTGACGTCAAAAAGCCACTCATGGGGCACGCAAGTCTATTCTGCACAGACTCCAGTCAGCCATGTTGGTTCCCGCGAGTCTCAGCTCATGGGCGAATTTTGTTGCAGATGGAAGGCACGGTAACAAACTTTTCTCCCTTGCTGTCCTGCAAGAGCAGCTCAGAAAATTTTGCTAGTGAGCAAATTCTCTTAACCCTTTGGGGCCGGGTTTCAGGTGCTTACATTGTTTCTCCTCTTGACTTCACCTGGGAAGTCAGGTTTTTACCCCCATTTTATAGATGAGAAAGGGAAGCTCAGAGCACAAAGCAACATGCCTGACTCCCAGCGGGACATCTGTTCATTGACTCTACAGACACTGCGTGCTAGGTCCTGGGTGCTGGTGAGGCTGGGACCCAGCCTGGGTCTCCTGACCCCATAAGAAAGAGGTTTCCTGGGGTAACAGCTGCAGCCTCTGAAAAGGAAAAATCCTTCTCCAAGTTCCTGGAAATATCCAGGGCTTTGCAATGCAGGGCGTACTCCTCCCAGGGACCCTCCTGGCTTCTCTGGAGCCTTGGGTGAGTGGTCAGTGCTCACCTGCCCCTGGGGTTGTGGCACTATACGATTGGGTCTTTCCCAGTCAGGGTTCCTTCTGGAACCCACCACCCTCCCACTCCTCCCCTACAGTGATCGTCCTGGTGCTGTGCTCAGTGTCCACTGAACACACCACACGTACAGCCAACACTAGCTTCGTGAGTCCTACTCCACGCCACGGGCAATGCGAGCCTTGGGGATGTGGACACAGACACGCTGGGTTGAGACACTCAGCTGTTGTCCCAAGTGGTGCTGTGCTGGTAAATGTTTAACAACTGGCTCTTGGTTGGGGCAGTGTGACGTGCAGCATTCCCCAGTTTCCACAGTGTGAATACTCCCCCTACGTTGCCAACACAAGGTCGCTGGTGCAGAGCTGGGAGGAGATGCACACAGTTGGCTCTGCTAGCTGAGCAGGGTGAAGCCGGCACCAGGACACCATTGACTAAGGGCCATGGAGACCCAAGAGGCAGCTGTTGTAGGAGAGGGCCAGGGCCAGGTATGTTTTAGGTGTCTCAGGAAAACCTCCTGCTCCAAGCGGGTGGATGGGGAGAGAGCAGTGCTGCGGTGCAGGAGAAGATAGTTCTGGAAGCACCACCTGCCATGGGCCTACTTCACAACAGGCACTGTGTTCAGTGTGCCAGACACCACCTCAGCCAGTTCTCACAGCTGACAGGTGAGATAGTTGTGACAATAATAAATTGATTGTACTTTTAGTTCCCTCACATTGTAACGCCCCAGTGGCTCCACATTAGATGAATTTGAGGGAAAAAACAAAGCCACTGTTTCAGCCTTGAATTATTCTGAGTTTTTTTTAGTCTAGTCTCCATGACCATATGTAAAACCAAGACTTAACTTTTTTTCTATCCAAAGAACACATGAATGAGGGCCAAATAAGACTTTTCTAAAAATCAATCATTTATTTGTTCATTTAAATTTTGTATAGGTAACAGAAGAGGGAAGGGTCACATATAAAGAATTAGGAATCAGAACAGCTTCAGACTTGATGATAGCTATACTGACAGCTAGAAGATGATGAGGCAATTCCTGCAAAATTGGCCTCTGCCTGCCTTTTACTGAAGGAAAGTGATCTCCAAACTAGAATTCTATACCCAGCCGAACTGTCGATCAAGGCTGCAGATCTGATAAGGTCATTTTCAGACATTTAGGATTGCAATAATTTTTACTTCCCCAGAACCATCATTAGAAAGTCAACAGAGCATGAACTGCATAAAAACAAGGGAGATATGGAATAGCTGATGTGTCCCAAGGTCTAGAGAGGAGATTTAGACAACAGGCAGAGAGTTTGGGGTTACATTAGCATTAGGCATGCACACGCACACACACACACACACACACACAAAAACAAAAAAAAAAACAAAAAACAATATCTTTATGGGGAAAAGTTAAGAAGGGAAAAGTAATCATAGTATATTACACAGCTCTGCTCTGAGTTACATTTATATAATCATGCTTATCTATGTGGTGAGTTCTTATAATTTTATGTTGCCTCAACATTGATTTTGAATATAAATTGGACTTTCTCATACAGAAGCAGGGCTCAATCACCATCGACACGGTTTCCAGTTCTCCACTTCCTCCCAGTTCCTTGATGTGTCAATCCAGATATCTGGCATATGCAACTTCCTCCTGGTGAACACCTCCATATGGAACATCCAGATACAACCTTCTTGACTCATCCCACTGACTCACCCCACATGGACCGTGCAGATATGCCACAGTAGCCACCTCTCAGTCACAGCATGACTTCTGGAACTTGTGCCTGCTTGCTTCAAACCCACCGATTAAAACTTCCTGCAGGAAATCTGTATAGAGAATGCCCTAGACTCCAATAAAGGCAAGGGTCCTTCTGTCTCTCTCCCTCACATGCTCCCTGACTTCTGTGTGTGTGGCCTCTGGGCATGCCGTGTACCCTCAGGACCTGTAAGTAATAAAATCTTTATTTCCATCTTGTGTTTCTCCTAATCATTGAAAGGCTGCTTTCCATCTCAGAGATCTTAAACTAAAACAATCTGACACGAATCACACTCTCTTTGCGCTTGGGGGTAGGCTGATGGGAAGGAGGGTGTGAGGTTGGGGGCAGGAAATGAGGGAAAGCTAAAACCTCCTCTTCCATGAAGGGAAGTCAATAGGTCTTGACTAAACTGGAAAATTGAAAAGCAGCAATATAAGAATGTTATTTAGGAAAATACAGGCATACATTGTTTTATCGCACTTCACAGGTACTACATTTCTTTTTACAAATTGAAGGTCTGTGGCAACCTTGCATTGAGCAAGTCTATCGGCACCATTTTTCCAACAGCATGTGCTCACTTGGTGTCTGTGTCAGCATTTTTTAGCAATAAAATATTTTGAAATTAAGGTATATACATTTTAAGACAGAATGCTAATATTATATGCTTAGTAGACTACAGTAGAGTGTCAACATAACTTTTATATGCACTGGGAAACCAAAAAAGTTGTGTGACTTGCTTTATTGTGATATTCACTTTATTGCAATGGTCTGGAACAAAACTTGCAATATTCTGAGGTATTCTTACACCAACAAAATTGGCTTTTTTTTTTAAAAAAAAATAAAGGAAGTGGTTGCCTATGGGGAAGAATAATTTGAGTGGGTGGGGTAGAGGGGCAGGGCACTGCTGGTTTTTATAGAAAGCCCTGGGGATTATTTAACTTCTTAGATTACATGCACATGCAACCTTTTTTTTTTTTTTTTTTTTTTTTGAGACGGAGTTTCGCTCTGTCGCCCAGGCTGGAGTGCAGTGGCGCGATCTCGACTCACTGCAAGCTCCGCCTCCCAGGTTCACGCCATTCTCCTGCCTCAGCCTCCCGTGTAGCTGGGACTACAGGCGCGCGCCACCATGCCCGGCTAATTTTTGTATTTTTAGTAGAGACGGGGTTTCACCGTGTTAGCCAGGATGGTCTCGATCTCCTGACCTCGTGATCCGCCCGTCTCGGCCTCCCAAAGTGCTGGGATTACAGGCGTGAGCCACCGTGCCCGGCCGCAACTTTTTTCTAAGATCTTTAAAATTTTTTAATTGATATGTAATAATTATACCTATTTATTTTGTACATGTGATAGTTCAGTACATGTATACAATGTGTAATGATCAAATCAGGGCAACTGGGATAGCCATCACCTAAAACATATGTCATTTCTTTGCGTTGAAATCATTCAAAATCTTCTCTTCTAGCTGTTTTTAAATATTTAATACATTATTGTTAACTGTAGTCACCCTAGTAATTTTCCATTCATTCACTAACTTCTTCCTAAACCACTCTTCCTTACCCTTACCAGCCTGTGAGAATTACTATTCTACTTTCTATGAGGTCAACTTTTTTAGCTCCCACATATGAGTGAGATCATGCAATATTTGTCTTTCTGTGCCTGGCTTATTTCACTTCACATAATGACCTACAAAATCCACGTATCTAGACATGACAGGATTTCATTATTTTACATGAACAAATTGTATTCCATTATATATACCACATTTCCTCATCCATCCATCTGTTGATGGACACTTGGCTTGATGTTGATTCCGTCTCTTGGCTATCGGGAATACTGCCACAGTAAACATGGGAGTGCTGATATCTCTTCAACATACTAATTTCATGTCCTTTGGACATAATCCCAGTAGTGGGATTGCTAGATCATATGGTACTTCTATTTTTAGTTTTTTGCAGAACTTCCATGCTATTGTCCATAATGGCTGTACTAATTTACATTCCCACCAACAATATGTAAGAGTTCCCCTTTCTCCCCATCCTTGACAGCATTTTTTGGTCTTTTTGAATAGTCATGTTAACTGGGGCAACGTGACTTCTCACTGTGGTTTTGATTTGCATTTTCCTGATGATTACTAATGTGGAGCATGGTTTCATATGCTGGCCATTTGTATGTCTTCTTTTGAGAAATGTCTATTCAAACCATTTGCCCATTTATTTCTTTTTTTGTTTCCCTTTTTTAATTTAAAAATTATTTTTGTCATTTTTTAGTACTTTTTATTTTTTCTTATTTTTCTTTTCATATCACAGCCAAGACCAACATTTGCTCATTTTAATTGGATTATCTGATTTTTACCAAGTTATTTTAATTCCTTATATATTCTAGATATTAATTCCTTGGTGGATGAATATTTAACAAATATGTTTTCCCATTCTGTAGGTTGTCTCTACTCTTTGTTGATTGTTTTCTTTGCTGTGGAAAAGTTTTTTAGTTTGATATAATGCGCTTTGTCTATTTCTACTTTTGTTGCCTGAGTTTTTGAGGTCTTACCCAAAAAATCTTCGTCCAGACCAATGCCCTGAAGTATTTCCTCTGTTTCATAGTTTCAGGTCTTATGTTCAAGTTTTTAATCCTTCTTGAATTGCTTTTTGTATATGGTAAAAGATAGGGGTCTAATTTCATTCTTCTGCATATCAATATCCAGTTTTCCCAGTACCATTCATGGAGAGACTATTCTTTCCCCAACATATATTCTTACCACTTTCATCAAAAAATCAGTTGACTGAAAATGCATGGATTTAGTTCTGGGTTCTCTATTCTATTCCACTGAGTGATATGTCTGTTTTTATGTCAGTACCAAGTTGTTTGGTTACTATAGCTTTGGTTACTATAGTATATTTGCAGTCAGGTAGTATGATACCTCCAGCTTTGTTCATTCTAGGGATTGCTTTGGCTATTCGAGGTCTTTATGGTTTTAGATGAATTTTAGGATTTTTTTCTATTTCTGTGAAGAATGTTATTGGTATTTTGATAGAGATTATATTGAATCTGTAGATCACTTTTGGTAATATGAACATTTTAACATTAATTCTTTCAAATTCCAACAAAATTAATTCCATGAACGTGGAATATCTTGAAATTTTTTGTGTGTCCTCTTCAATTTCTTTCATCAGTGATTTATAGTTCTTGTTATAGAAATCTTTTACCTCTGGTTAAATTTACTCCTAGGCATTTCATTTTTTGCAGCTATTATAGATAGGATTGCTTTCTTGATTTGTTAATATTGCTCACTATTGGCATACAGAAATGTTACTGATTTTTGTATGTTGATTTCGTATCCTGCAACTTTACTAAATTGATCAGTTCTACCAGTTTTTTGAGGCATCTTTGGGTTTTTGTTATTTTTGAGATGGAATCTCACTCTTGTTGCCCAGGCTGTGTGCAATGGTGAGATCTTGGCTCACTGCAACGTCTGCCTCCAGGGTTCAAGCAATTATCCTGCCTCAGCCTCCCAAGTAGCTGAGATTACAGGCGCCCGCCACCACGCTCAGCTAATTGCTGTATTTTTAGTAGAGATGGGGTTTCACCATGTTGGCCAGGCTAGTCTCCAACTCCTGACCTCAGGTGATCTACCCACCTCAGCCTCCCAAAGTGCTGGGATTACAGGCGTGAGCCACTGCGCCTGGCTATCTTTGGGTTTTTCTAAATATAATCATGTCATCTGCAAACAGGAAAAATTTGACTTTCTAATTTGTCTAATCCTTTCTTTCTCTTGCCTCATTGCTCTGGCTAGGACTTCAGTACTAAGTTGAATAAAAGTGGTGAAAGTGGGCATACTTTCAACTTTTCCCATTTGGTATGATCTTAGCAGAATGCATATTCAACTTTGATTAAAAACAAACTTAAAGAAAAGGCTTTATGATCAGCCATCAACTTTTTTAAGGGACAGCTCAAATGGTGGCCTAAGGGAAGTTTGCCGCAGCAGCGGATGAAGACCCTTTCCTCCCATCTACACCTCAGGAGGAGGAAAACACGGGCCCAAGTGTCCCAGATGCACGGGGAAGTCATAGTAGAGGAGGCAGTGGCTTGGGGTGTGGGGCTGTGGCCGCTGACAGCTTCCAGAATCTTGGCCTCGCCTCCCCTGTTAGGTCTTAATGGACGCCCTTGAGGGAGGGGCCATGTTTTCCTCAGCCTTGGACAGGACACAGGCCTGGGCTGGCTGCCGGTGCTCAGCCCTGCGTGGCTGGCTGACTTGGCCAGCTCTTGTGTTCTGTGGGGGACTTTGTCCTGCTTCCTCCACCAGATGTAAAGCCAGTGATTGTTTTTTTCTATTTGAAGGCCACAAACAGAGGGAAGGCCAAGGCTCACTTGTATTCTGAGAAAAAGATGATGTTCTGGTCTCTCTACACCCTGTGTGGGAAGAAACAACCCCTCAATATGGGGGAGCGGCCAGAACCATGATCCCAGGCCCCATCTGTCTTCAGGCTTTGGGCGAATTTCCTCCAAATTACTGGCAAATTCTACAGTTCCCACGACAGCTGCAAACACTTAATTTTTTTGTTGTTGTTTTTACATTTTTTTTTTTAAATTTTTGAGACAGAGTCTCCCTCTGTCTCCCAGGCTGGAGTGCAATGGTGACATCTCAGCTCACTGCAACTTCTGCCTCCTGGGTTCAAGCGATTCTCCTGCCTCAGACTCCCAAGTAGCTGGGATTTCAGGCACCTGCCACTAAGCCCGGCTAATTTTTATATGTTTAGTAGAGATGGGGTTTCACCATGTTGGCCAGGCTGGTCTCAAATTCCTGACAGGTGATCCACCCGCCTCGGCCCCCCAAAGTGCCGGGATTACAGGTGCGAGCCACCGAGCCAGCCTGCAAATATTTTGTTTTCTCCCTATAAGCCCTATGGCCAGATATACCAGGTCCAGTTTTCAAATCCCTACATCTGCCCTAACCCCTGTGTGCCTGGGAAGTGACTGTGCTCCTGGGTGGTGAGGGGGACGTGGAGGGGATTTAACATGTACTTGGTTCTGTGCTGGGCATTTTGTAGCCCGCAGTACTGGGATTACAGGCCTGAGCCACGGTGCCCAGCCTGAAGTATGGTTTTATTCAGTGGCTCCCTTACACTGTCTGTCTCTGTCTCGGCTGCCCGCTCTGGCTCTGAGTCTCCTGTCGCTCCCACGCCTGCAGCTGCATTCCCTGGCCTGCAAGGCTGGCTCTCCCTTACAGGGTCAAAACCTTCACTCTCTCTCTCTGGGCGCAAGCCAAATGCACAGCAGCAGCAGGACAGTCATACCTTTTACAAACAGCAGTGACTCTGAGCCAGGTGATGAGCCTTCCCATGTTATGGCTGTCTGTGAAACCGCTTTGTGATGTGTGGATTCATCGCACAGAGTTAAACCTTTCTTTTGATTCAGCAGACTGGAAACACTCTTTTTGTAGAATCTGCGAAGGGACATTTTGGAGCCCATTGAAGCCTATAGTGAAAAACCGAATATTCTACGATAGAAACCATGGAGGCCTATAGTGAAAAACTGAATATCCCATGATAAAAAACAGAAAGAAGCTATCTGCGAAACCACTTTGCGATGTGTGGATTCATCTCACAGAGTTAAACCTTTCTTCTGATTCAGCAGACTGGAAACACTCTTTTTGTAGAATCTGTGAGGGGACATTTCGGAGCCCATTGAGGCCTATAGTGAAAAACCGAATATCCTGAGATAAAAACTAGAAAGAAGCTATCTGTGAGACCGCTTTGCGATGTATGAATTCATCTCACAGAGTTAAACCTTTCTTCTGATTCAGCAGACTGGAAACACTCTTTTTGTAGAATCTGTGACGGGACATTTCGGAGCCCATTGAGACCTGTAGTGAAAAACCGAATATCCCACAATAAAAACTAGAAAGAAGTTATCTGTGAAACCGCTTTGCGATGTTTGTTTTTAAAATCCTCCTCTTCCCACTAGAATGTAAGCTTCAGAAGAACAGGCTATTCATTCTGCCCACTGTGTGCACCCAGCCTGGAACGGTGCCCAGAGTGGGTTAGTGTGCGGTGTGCACGTACTGACCTGGTGGTGATGAAGGGCGCAGGAAGGACACGCGACCTGATCTTTATCCTAAGGAGCCCACACTGGAACAGGATTAGATTGAAGGTAGATTAGAGGGAAGCATGGAGGAGGAGCGGCTGGCCTGGTGGGCTCAGGAGGGCCCCCTGGAGGAGGTGAGCCAGCAGTTGCTGTCACATTCAGAGACCCTGAGGATGTCTGACTGCCCTGCGAATTGGGCTCTGCAGAGGGCAGGGGTCTGTCGATTTGCTGTAGCCCCAGGAACTACAGGCACCCAATCCATGGAGGCCTTTGTCCAACAAGTATTCATTGGACGCTTGTCATACATGTGGTTCTGAAGACCCGGAGGAGAACCGCAGAGCCATGGCCCGGCCCTCATCTCCATTGAGAGCTGGTCCCTGGTACAGAGGCAGGCTCCTGGGGCGGCAGAGATGGGTGGGGGGCAGGGCGTTGGGAGTTGAAGGCACCACTGCGGGTTGGTCTGGGAACAGCCCCTGGATGAGGAGAAGCAGGGAGGACAGTGACAGGAACGATTCTGGAGTGGAGGGAACCGCTTGTGCAGAGGCTCTGAGCAGGAGGCCCGCTGTCCCGCTTTCCTGGAGCAGCCTCAGGGGGTTCTGGAAGGCCTGGCCGGACCCGTTGCACAGAGAATTCCAGCCAGGGAGGGCCGGGCGCTTGTGAGCCGACCTGCTCCAGAGCAGCTGTCGGTGCTGTCCGTGGGTCCCGCTGCGACCTGGCAAGGGCCCACTGGGGATGAGTGGAGGACTGGAAGTGTCCAAATCCCACTCCGCTGTTGTGTTTTGGTTTGGGTGTGTGTGTGTTTAAGAAGAAACAGCTGCAAGGCCAAGAGAGAATGGATGTTTGGAAAAAGTTCTGATGCTTATAGACTCAGGGCTGGCCACGGTGAGCCCACATACCGCGGGGCTGAGCTGCCTGGTCCGGGATCAGAAGCAGAACCCAGCCACCGCAGTGCCAGGCCTGCCTCCTCAGGCCCCAGACTTAGGCCCGCACAAACTCCTCCTTCCTTCGTCCTCTCTGACGAGCTCACAGCCCTCCCGGCAGAGGGGCCTCAGACCCAGCACGCTCTGTGGGTGTCCCACGCGCTGCTGGGAGCCCAGCCCCTGGGCAGGCAGGGTCCCCGGACATAGCCATAGCATCCGGCCTGGGGATTTCTGCCCCCTGAGATCCCTCTGAGAGTGGAGCTGGCCCTGTGTGCCCTGGGGTTCCCCAGGCTGGACCCTCCTGCCTCACTCTGGTGGCTGCACGGCAGCGGCCGTCACCATCTACTGAACCCCAATATGAGCTGGGTCCGGCATCACAGTGAGTCTTCACAGGAGCCCTGCCATGTAGGCGATGCTGTACCTAGTTTACAGACGAGAAAACTGAGGCTCCGAAAGTCTGTGTCACTTGCTGGGGTTCTGGAGTCATGGCCGGCCAGGAACTCTGACACCAATACACGAGATATTTCCCTCCTAGATATCCAGGTCAGGCCCAGGAAAGGGATAAGAGCCGGTGGGTTTAGGGAAAAGGTGCAGGCCTGGAAAACCCAGAACAGGAGTCCGGCTAGATTCCTGCATCAGTGCTGAGAGCTCAGGGATGCTGAGCTCCCAAGCACAGAGCCCAGGGAAGCTCACTGACCTTCCCCATCCCTCGCTGAAGGGGGCCGGCTTCTTCCCGTGCCCCTGTAACCGCCACCGGCCTCTGCGTCCACCCTGCACACCCACAGCAGGGCGGCAAACCCAGAGCATGCCACACATATTTGGGTCGTCTGTCCACCCTTGCTGTGCCGTGTGTCATCATGAGACTTGGAAAGCAGCTTCATGTCCAGTAGTGGGGAGGGGCTGAGTGCTGGTGATCACTGGTTTCATGGGATATTAGGTCACCATTTAAAAAGAGGCGAATGAGGACGACGCAGTGCCACGGGAAATACTTACAGCCGAGGTCAATGGAGGAAGTGAGAGGAAAAGGCACATGAGTGACAGGAGCATAATTATATTCAGAAAATCACTCCAAGAACAAGTCTGGAAAGAAACGCCCCAGAATGACGGCATTTGTTGTTTGGGGGTGAGCAGGTGGGACTCTGGGAGATTCTTTTCCTTGATTTTAACATTTTACATGAAGTATTTATTTTGTTTATGATTTTATAAAGAAACCTTCACGGAGAGAAATGACCTCAGCTAGAAGGCTAAAATCAAAGGACTTTGCGTTCCAATGCCTTCACTAAGCAGGTGGAAAGAACTGAGGCCCAGAGGGATATGGTCACCCAAGGCTCCACAGCAGAGAGAAGGATCCAGGCCCCTTAATGCATGGTGGTGCTGTTCCCACCACAAAGGCTGGGCCAGCAGCTGGGGGTCCCAGGGAGGACACAGCCTCACTTCCAGGGGCCTGGCCAGGCAGGGATGGAGATGGAGTCGGGGGGAACTAGGAAAAGCCTCCCAGGGCAGCCCGGCCGTGGAGGGATGAGCGCCCGAACACGATTTGCCTTGAGTTGGAATCGCTCTTCCACGCCCTGCCCCAGGAGCTTCAGAGGTTCAAGGATCCATCTTGCAATCTTTAGGTGGACAGAACACAAATGGGCCGAGTCCCTTTTTGCAGAGGTGGCGTCAGCCTGGGCAGGGAAGAGGCATGGGCGGTGGAACCAAATCACCCTGATTTCAAACAGAGGGAGTTGGGCAGGCATTTCACAAAGGAAAGCGTCCCACAGCCAATTAACTTGGGAAGATGCTCGGCTCTGTCAGCCATCAGGGCATGCAAATTAAAACCCCTCGAGATCCTCCTGCGCGCCCACCGGAAAGGATGAAGTGAAGCGGATGGAACATACCAAGTGCCGGTGAGATCCTGGGGCGAGGGAGCTTGGGGAGGGTGCAGCTGCTGGGAGTGGGAACTGGAATGAGTGCTTTGGAGGACTGTTTGGCAGGATCCACCCAACATTCACAGGTGTCCTGGGCAGGTGGACACCCTGCGGATGTCTTGTTGGGTGCAAGAAGTTCCGCCTGTTGAGGGCTTCGCTCAGCGCGGCGTCTACCCCTGGCTGAAGGACACACGGCCCTTTTTGTGCGTCTTTTCCCTTCTGAGGAGCCCCTGCCTCGCTGAGCTTCCCCGTCCGTCCCTGAAGGGGGCTGGCTTCTTCCTGTGCCCCTTTAACAGCCATCGGCCTCTGCGTCCACCCTGCACACCCACGGCAGGGCGGCAAACCCAGAGCACGCCGCACAGCCCTGCTTGCGCACAGCCCTGCTCCCGCGCGCCCGTGGTCGGCGCCGCTCGGGCTGGCTGGCGTGTTTGGGATCACTGTTTAGAGGACAGTCCTGACACGTCCCGCTGTGACACGCGTGCTACCTCGCCGGCCGGCCCTGGACTTTGCTCTGGCGTGTGGCCGAGCACACTTGTCGTCAGAACCCTCTCGTTGGCAAGAGGCACTGGATGCAGGGCTGGGGCTCAGGTCCTTGCTGTATGATGGGAATCACGTTCCTGGCTCTTTCTGGGCCTCAGTTTCCCCATATACAGAACCGTGGGAGAGCCAGAAGATTTCCAAAGGCCCTCTTAGGTGCCACCTCTCCTGGCACACTGCCTCGGGTTCCCCGGCCTCCTGAGAGCCAGGCAGCGGGAGGTGAGGAGCCGCGGTAACCTGCGCCTCCGGAGGCTGGCCCTCTGCTGGGGAGTTCAAACACGGTGTACCATGTAGCACCCCCAATTACTCACTTGTTCAGAGCCCAGCACATAGCAAACACTTAGTAGGTATTTGCTGGATAAATGGCTCATTGCGAAAGGGGCTGGATGGAGGTGGGAAAGCCGCTGGGTGTGTCCAGGCAATGAGCTGGGGTGTATGTGGGGATGCTCTGGGTGTATGTGGGGGTGGAACCAGAGGGGATGGGAGCACTGGATGGAGATGATGGGAAGGGCTGGGTGGTTGGGAGGGGGACTGGGTAGATGTGGGGGAGGGTCAGGAGGCATGAAGGGTGAACACTGGGTTAAAATGGGGGAAGCGTCTGGGAGAAGTTGGGGAGGGGTCTCGGGAGGGTGAGGTAGGTGGGGAGGGGCTGGAAGGCTGGCGCTGATGGACGGCGGCCACCACAGCCCTCTTGTGCCTCTGAAGCTCATTATCTTAGAGTTTCAAGGTCACGTCAGGCAAGTGTGGAGCCCAGGTGGGGGCTGGAGTTTGTGGAAACCAGCCTGGTCTTGGAGCACATCAGGGAAAGGAAATCACTGCCCGGCGGCCGGCCCGGGGGCGCTTCTCCAGCCTGGCTTCAGGAAGACCGTGAGCAAACACAGACCAGACGGGGCTGAGGCCAGCAGCTGGGCAGGGAGCCACGCTGGCCTCATGCTGTCCCCACAAAGGGCTCCTGTCCCCTGGGCTGGGGATGGTGTCACAGCTTCCTGAGCAGTGTCGTCTCGGCTCCCGGAACTCCTGGTAGGTGGGCCAGGCCTGGGGTGGGATGCCTGGGCTGGGGGTAGGGGAGCAGCATCCCCAGAGCTGTTATCCTCTTCATCATTGTGGCTGCAGAGAGGGGAACTGAGGCAGGGCCTAAAACCGAGGTCACTACAGAGATGCCACCAGAACCGCAAGCCTCTGCCTTTCTGCCCCGTGCACTTTCTGTGATGGTTAGGGTTAGGGTTAGGGTTAGGGTTCATGTTAGGGTTAGGGTAGGCTTACCTCACTGCAGAGCCAGAGAACACACCCCCGTAGGGGAGCTGAGGGAGGTCTGAGCCTCCAGCTGCTGCCTGTTTCTCCATGGGTCCTGGTGAGGGTGGACCACCCCAAGCCTACCTTGAATCTGTTCCTTGACATGCTCCTTAGATTGAGTCTTTAAAACCCTGCCTGTCCCAAGTACTCAGAATCAGAAAGAATCACCCAACTGTGTTCTGTGGCACCAGGTATCAATTCCCTGTGTACCTCCATGGACTCAGCGCCATCTCAGAAGTGAGGGCGGAGGGAAGGAACCTTCTAGAAGGAGGAGTTTGCTGCAGAACATCCAGAGCCCACAGCACTGAGTCGTCTCCATGCCCCTTGCCTGTGGTTCTCTGTAGCACATGGCAGGGGGGTGGGTGGTGCAGCACCTCCTTCTGATGCGTTGAGTGTCAGCACTGCAAGGTCCCCTACCCCATGCCCAGTGCCCAGTGCCCAGTCCCGTGGGAGCTCCTCATTTGGGGCAGAGACCAGGGCAGAGGCAGCGAGGGCTCCTCTCCTCCCTCACTCAGGGGCTACAGGCTGGTCACTTGAGCTCTCTGGAAATCAGTCTCCTCATCTGGAAAACGGGGCTCATCCTGACCTTGTGATGGGCATGAGGTGATGGTATCAGATAATGTGCGCGAACGACCCTGTAAATCATAAATTGGTTGCAGTTTCTCTCCAGCGACACCCTAGTACACTTTGGAGCCTGGTGAACTTGAGTTTGCATGCCAGCTCCTGACCTCCTATGGCCCACGTCCTCACTGGAGGATGGGCTCTGGAGGCTGGAGGGCTGGTGGAAGAGGAAGTGAGATGGCAGTTCGCTGGCTTCTGCATCAGGCCCCAACTGTACCCTGGGCCTCCCAGGCTTGCACGTGCCTCCTCACAGCTTCCCTTGAACATCCTGTATCATCCAGCAGCCCTAAACCGTGTGATTTTTTCCTCTGGGAGGTGACAGCCTGGACCAGAAGTTGAAACCTGGCCCCAGGGTATGGTGTGCCCCACTGTCAGAGGGACCTCAGATGAGCCACTAAGCCTCTCTCTGCCTCAGTTTCCTTATCTAAAATGGGTGGAATCAGCTGGGCGCCGTGGCTCATGCCTGTAATCCCAGCACTTTGGGAGGGCGAGGCGGGTGGATCATTTGAGGTCAGGAGTTCAAGACCAGCCTGGCCAACATGGTGAAACCCCATCTCTACTAAAAAAATACAAAAATTGGCTGGGTATGGTGGCGGGTGCCTATAATCCCAGCTACTCGGGAGGCTGAGGCAGGAGAAATCACTTGAGCCTGGGAGGCAGAGGTTGTGGTGAGCTGAGCTCGTGCCACTGTACTCCAGCCTGGGTGACAGAGCGAGACCCTGTCTGTAAAATAAAATAAATAAAATAAAATAAAATAAAATAAAATAAAATAAAATAAAATAGGTGGAATCATCTGGTCCCTGGCTGGGCTCACAAAAATCCCACAGGGAATGAATGATTATCAGTCTACTGGGGCTGCCATAGTGGGGTTCCACAGACTGGGGGCTGGAACAACAGACATTTATTTTCTCACAGCTCAGGGGGCTGAGAGTCTGAGACCAAGGTGTCGACAGGATTGGTTTCTCCTGAGGCCTCTCTCCTCGGCCTGCAGATGCCACCTTCCCTCCGTGTCCTCACCTGGTCATCCCTCTGTGACTGTCTGTGTCCTCATCTCTTATAAGGATACCAGTCAGACTGGATTAGAGCCCACTCTGATGACCTCACTTTACCTTAATCACTTTTTTTTTTTTGACACAGAGTTTTGCTTTTGTCACCCAGGCTGGAGTGCAATGGCGCGATCTCAGCTCACAGCAACCTCTGCCTCCTGGGTTCAAGTGATTTGTCTGCCTCAGCCTCCCGAGTAGCTGGGATTACAAGCATGTGCCACCGTGCCAGGCTAATTTTGTATTTTTAGTAGAGATGGGGTTTATCCATGTTGGTCAGGCTGGTCACAAACTCCCTACCTCAGGTGATCCACCCACCTTGGCCTCCCAAAGTGCTGGGATGACAGGCGTGAGCCACCGCGCCCGGCCTAATCACCTCTTAAAAAGCCCTGTCTTGGCCAGGCGTGGTGGCTCACGCCTATAATCCCAGCACTTTGGGAGGTAGAGGTGGGCGGATCACGAGGTCAGGAGATAGAGACCATCCTGGCTAACATGGTGAAACCCTGTCCCTACTAAAAATACAAAAAAAATAGCGAGGCGTGGTGGCACACACCTATAGTTCCAGCTACTCGGGAGGCTGAGGTAGGAGAATCCCTTGAACCTAGGAGGCAGAGGTTGCAGTGAGCCAAGATCGCACCACTGCACTCCTGGAGGTTAGGGCTTCAACATACAAATTGTAGGGGGATGCAACTGAACCTGTAACACCTTGTGTGGTCATCACTCCAGGGAAGGATGTAAAGAGCTAGGACTCCCACAGCATTGTGTTTGCAAAGGAAGACCCGGGACCTTCAAGGTCTTTGTTGCTGACCTCCTCTCCCTCAGGAAAGGCAGAGGGTCATCTCCTCCCTGGAGTGGCTTCTCCCATGCTGACCTCACTTCTGGGAGGGGCCAGGAGGAACCTGCCTGCGTTTCTGAAGCCCAGCTCTAGCACATTTCACCCAGAGGCCAGGATCCCATGCAGAATGCCAGAGGCTGAGGGCAGCGGGCCGACCTCCCTTGGCAGTTTCAGAGTCTTTCTTCAGTGCTCTGTTATTTTATACAGGATTCCTATATGCGAAAAGAAATGCATACCTTACAAAATTCCTCAGTTACTGTAATTGGCAAGTAAGGATCTCTGGAAAGAGCATTTGCTCATTTAATAGGACTGGAAGGGAGCCGCAGCTTTTTAAATTTTTTTTCCTGGTGATGGTTTTTAAAGAATTTAAAATGCAATGATATTGCAAGGAAGAGTGGACTTTTCCCTGGTTGGCAGACTCCATCTAGCCATGGCATACTGCAGCAAGATTTCTGCGGCTGCCCACACGTCCTGCCTGGTGTAGAGGTGGTTCCGTCCAAGCTCCTCGGCTCACCACTGACCTCAGCTGAGCCCCTCACGCGCGGGTCCTACGAGAGGCACAGCAAGGAGACACCCGTCCCTGGTCAGGGGAACAGAGGGGAGCCGGCCCCTCATGCACAGCCCATAGTTGGGGGACAGCAGAGCCCATGTCTCCTGTGGGGAGGGCAGAGACCCACACTGGTTGGAGTGGCGAGGCCATGCCTGGAAGTCCGGCACTGGCGCACTGGCCAGCATGGCCCCCTTCCTGCTTCACCATCTAGACCTGCCCAATTCATTCCTTTAATTCATTAACTCACTTCTTCATTCACTCACTTCACTTGTTCATCATTCCCCCATTCCACTCCAGGGCTTGCTGAGTGCTTTCCCAGTGTTTGTGTGCGGCCCTGTGCTGGGAGCTGGAGACAGGGACCCTCCAGACCTGGGTCCTGGGCTCCACGAGCTTCCAGGCCGCTGAGAGGAGTGGCCAGGCCCAGTCAGTGCTGTCCTGAGGGCTGGGGCTGCTGCAGCCAATGGTGACAGAGGCCCACCAAGTGATTCCTTCTGGAGAACAGGCCATGGCTGGGTCGGAAGGTGACAGGCTCCTGTGACCCTGACGCCAGGGGAAACTCGAGTCTTGCCGCCTATACTATGTTCACATCCACACAGAGGCTGCTGGTCAGGGACGTGGGGAAGGGTGGGGAGGGCACAGAGGGGGAGCGCCTCCCAGCCGTCCTGGGTTGGGAAGGGCTAGATGGCCAGGTGTGTAGGGGTGGTGCTCACACAGATACAAAGGCCAGGCTCCGCAGGGGCCAGGCCTTCTGTGCAGGACTGGGATGCGCAGACAAGGGTCCGCCCAGAGCTCACACTGTGGCTACCCTAGATCCTGAGAAAGCCCCACACTGAGGAGGGAGAACCGGAAGCCGAGAGCAGAGCCGGCCTGGGCACACACGGGCAAGGACACAGAGAACACAGGGCGGGACTGTTGTCCTCACCTCAGCAGCTTCACCAGCGCACGGATGGCCCCTCCCCTGCCCCCAGGGACACTGACCACCCCCCTTTCCTCCTCAGAATTCAGGCCCAGTGAATAGGCAGAGGTCCTGAGACTGTGGCCATCAGAAATGTCTAAGGGTACAAGAAGGAGTACAGTTTCCTGGGCCCAGCTCCTAGGGTCCAGTCTAGCCACAGCCCCTCTGTGTGCTCAGGACTGTTAGAGACTTTCACATATATTATCTCAGCCTATGCTTAGGACTCTGGAAGGCAGGTAGTTCTACAACCTTTACATAGGAGGAAACCAATTTGGAAAGGTTAAGAAACATTCCCAATGTGCCACTTCACAGCAAATGACAAAGTTAAGATTTGAACCTGGGCCTAACTCCCAAGCCTGTCTGCTTTATACGCTCCTGTGCCATGTCCCGAAGGCTGGCAGAAAAGACATCGACCAGGGTCTTTAAGGATGATGACGTAGGAAAATCTTCCTAAAAAATTATTTTGTTTTTAGAAGCCTTGCTCTGAAGCAAAGAAAAAAACAATTCAAGAGATGTCAAGAATTTTTGGCAAACAAATAATGCATCGAAGAACAAACACCCAGGGAGGACGCGTGGGCAGCTGTTCTTGGGTTGTTTTCATTCCCCAAGTGCTCGGCCCTGTAAGACTAGATGTGTATTTTCTCTTGCAAAGCAAACAGTTCAGCACAATGTGGGCCTCCTTGCTTGAAAGAATTCAGATGGAGCTTGTGAACCACATAAAAGGTTGAGCAAACCTTGTTCCAAACTCAGTGCAGTGGCTGGGCACAGAGCCGCCCGGGACTGAGCAAACCTCCTCGTCTATCTCCTAGGCAAGGGTGTACATGGAGGGGGTGAATGGAGGAAGGTCCTTCCACAAGTCACTGCACATTTTCCCTTCACAACACAACACGGGGCTCCCACTGACCACTGCAGAGCTGGGGACATCCTCCTCCAAGCTTCACAAAGCAAACCAAGTCCCTTCCTGGGCGGCTGCTGGACAGCCTGGTGGGATGGAAATGAGCTGAGGTCAGTCCCTGCACTTGAATGGGTGCAGGTGGGTGGGGCCTTCCTGGAAGCCACAGGAACACCGGTTTCTGGGTTCTCATGCAGAGTGGCCCTGACTTCCCAGATTTAGGATCAAAGCCCAGAGCCCAAGGGAAACCCTCTGATGTAAGCTGCATGACAGCAAGTGGCCCCAGAGGGGAATGCAAAGGCGAGAGTGCCGGGGACCACGGCACAGCACATGCGGCACAGGCCCGCCCAGGCCAGAGACTGAGCGCATCTTCCCCTCCTCACATGGAGAGTAGAGGCTCCGGCAGGGCCACAGCCCCCCAGCTGGGTTCTTCTGCACGTGCCTGTGGGGCCAAGCAGTCCCCACCGTGGCCAATGCTGGGGCTCCGTGCAAGAAGTCTGTCGCACCCTGCCCAGCTGCCTCGAGCAATTAGGAGGCGGCTCCCACACCAGGAAGGCCACCTCCAAGGTTCCTAGGTCTGGTCCAGAGAGACAGGATGCTCACAGGCAGGCAGCAAGTCCAAACAGAAGCCTGGGCTCCACTCGAGCCATGGCCCCAGGGCTCAGGAGAGCCACCCAGGGTGGACGGAGTCGCATCTGTGCATGCCCACCTTGCACTGCAGAGGGACCCAAAAGTGCTCTGCCCTGGTTTTTATACCCTGGGCACCACTGGGCTCACCGAGCAGACGTGTTGCAGAGTATCCTATCTGGGAGGACCAAGGCCACACCCTGGGCTGTTCGGGTCATTTCCTCCTTTTTCCAGGGTGTTGCATTCGGTCAGTTCTGCAGGAGAACTGCAAGCCAGAGAGGGAAGAGTTGTCGTCCATCCAGGGCCCTGTCCTCCTGCAGTCACGGCCTGTAGTTGTGCTTCCACTGTGGTCCGTGATTCCCATGGCATGCCCCACTCCATAGGGTGGCTTTGGTCTCATCGTGGTGGCACCATGGCTGAGGCCACCTGAAGCTCCTAAGTGTCCAGGGCAATGTCCCCCGGAAGTGAGAGGCCACTTCTGTCCCAACGTCCCCAGCCAGTCTTTAAGACTCAACAGGACCCTTGGACTTTGCCTCATCACTGAGCCAGTCCTTGGGGCCAAGGGAATGGAAGGTGCTAGGGCACTTCAGCTAAGGCGAACCAGTGCCAGTGCTGGGGCAGGGCAGCTTCCCAAGGCTTGGGGCTGTCCACATCTGGGGAGAAATCTGGACAGAACTGGGGTTCTGTTAGTGAGGAGGAAGGGTTGGAAGTTGGACAGGAAGCCCACAGGGTCCACCACACAAGGAGAGAAGCCAAGACCCCCTGACTTCCAGGGGACCCATGGCTGGGGCATGCTTCAGATGGGGACACGGCCCCATGGGACCCATGAAAAGCCTGTGAAGTGTCTTAGTAAAAGGCCCACATGAACAAAGTCAAGGAGGAAGGCAGTTTCTGGTGACGAGGAGGTGGTCCTATGGCACATGCTGTCCCCACACAGTGCTACGTGTAGCTAGGTGTTCACTAAATGCTGGTCAGATGGACACTCCCTGCTGGCCGGCAGCCCAGGGGCTGGAACCACCTAAAACCTGGAGGGTGGGGTGGATACACAATGATGGGGGAACGTGATTCACGCTTGGGCTGAGCCGTCAGAAGTGCATCCAAACCAAGTTTCCAAGAGGCTGCTCCATGTCAACTACACATCCTAAAATGAAAGAGTTCCCACGCCTCCGCCACCATCAAGATCCTTAGCAGTGACAGCCGCAAAGACCTCAACCCCAAGATATTTCTGGGCTTTCACAGATGATGGGGTCTGGCTGATTTTTATCTTCTTCATCCGCCTGTGGTTTTGAGATGTCTCTGCAGGCATGCATCCCAGCTGGCCCCGTGTAGCCGCAGGAAGCTCCCTCTGTGTTTAAGCTCACAGTGAGAAACTTCTCTCATTCTGCAGG
The DNA here is from genome assembly GCF_000001405.40 of Homo sapiens. Lineage (NCBI taxonomy): Eukaryota > Metazoa > Chordata > Mammalia > Primates > Hominidae > Homo > Homo sapiens. The sequence continues at coordinate 8,354,352 of NC_000004.12, forward strand.
CATCTCCCTTGGTGAGTCACAGAGATTTCTGGCCACGGGCACAACCATGGGCACACACTTGTGTCCACTGCCAAGCAAGACTGTCTTTCCAGTCCACCGTCCACATGGCATCAAACTAATACGAAGGCTGAAGGCATTCCCATAATGGCAGACACCAAGCAATGGTTCCCCAGCATGGTGTGAAAGATTGATCCCGCAGGGCCAGCAGATGTCATTAGACAGGAAAGTTAAATGACGGGTAAAAGTTTTGGAAGGTGTATTAGTCCGTTCTCACGCTACTATAAAGAACTGCCCAAGACTGGGTAGTTTATAAAGGAAAGAGGTTTAATTGACTCACAGTTTAGCATGGCTGGGGAGGCCTCAGGAAACTTACAGTCATGGCGGAAGGGGAAGGAAACACGTCCGTTTTCACATGACGGCAGGAAGGAGAAGTGCCAATTAAAAGGAGGAATGCCCCTTATAAAACCATCAGATCTCATGAGAACTCACTCACCATCACAAGAACAGCATGGAGGTAACTACCCCGTGATTCAATTACCTCCCACCAGGTCCCTTCCATGACTCGTGGGGATTATGGGAACTACAGTTCAAGATGAGATTTGGGTGGGGACACAGCCAAACTATATCAGAAGGGTAAGGGTAAACCATCACTATTTGCCAATGATAGAGAAGGAAAACCAAAGAGAATCAATGAAAAACTGTCATAATTAAAATAAGGTTTCAATAAGGTGACCAAAATAAACATACAAAAATCACACAGCTTTTTATTACAAACAGCTTGAAGAAATAGTCTTAGATGGGAAGACCACTTACCATGAAGACAAAGATTCTCCTGATGTGAATCTAAAAGTTAAACAAAACCTCCAGACAAACTCCAGAGAGCATTCTTTAATATGGGGGTGGGAGAATGCCCAGACTTGACAAATAACACCAAAGTTCACATACATAAGACATTTTTGGAAAAGATGAGAAACGAGGCTTTATTTGCTCCAACAGATATTAAAAGTATGAGAACCACAACCATGAAAACAACAGAAGCTGATGTGAGAAACAACACTAAAATTAAACAGTGCAGACACAGGTCCAGCGACAATGATTTTAGCACTCATACAGGTGGCATTTCGGTCAGTGCATGATGATTCAGTGGGCAAAGCATTTCAGATCCTTGTCTCATATCACACCTCGAAATACATTCCTGGTCAATTAAACACTGAAACGTACTCAGAGAAAAAGAGATGAAAGTGTAAATAATCTTTGTGTGAGAAAGGACTTTCCAAGCATGACCTCAAAGGCTAGAGCATAAGAGTCTTCGTTTTAAAATGTGCAGGCATTTCTGATTTAAAAATGTAAACTATAGCAGGTTACATCAAAAAGGAAAAAAATACAGTTAAATGGCAAATGATGCATGAGGAATAATGATTTACAGTGAATATGTTACAGGTTTGCTGTGCTTAATATGTACAAATATCTTACAAGCCAACAAAATATTTTCAAAACTAAATGCCTTCTTAGATAGAGAACAAGAATGGGCAGTTATCACAGCAGAACATATATGAACAGACTTCAAGCACGGGGGAAGGTATGTTCAGCCACAGTAGGGGCAATAAGAAGGAAATCTATACAGAAGACACCAATTTTATGTTCTCATCAGGTCGGCAACAGGCAGAGAACAAACAGGCCACTGCTGGCAAGACTCCTACATTCTAGAGGGAATGAGGGCTTCCTGTTGAACATGCTGGGAAGAGGAGACTTACCATGTGCTGTCTGCAGGCCGGGCTTTGTTGCTTTCATGCATTAACCCGTTTTAACGCCAACAACAGCAGGATGAGGAAGATTCTCTTATTCATTTCATCAGTGAGGGAAGTCCCACATCCAATAGACAGTGTAGCTGGTGTCCATCCAGGAGCCTGCCCTAGACTCTGCTCCCTCATCCCCACTTGTGGCTCTACCTGCCCCACTGCCTCCCACACTGCTGGTATAAGAAATCTCCCCTGTGCAGAGCATGTCTCAGCAAGCCACTGGGACCAACTCACGCACAGTGATGCATGTGCACGGATGGCTGCCACGGAGCAGAAGCCTTGATCTCTCCATCTCTCAGGAGGAAGTTTGCTAAACTTGTACATTCATGTTACTTGACTGGGAAAATGGCTGTGCCATCACTTTAAGTGGAAAAAGATGTCCACAGAGTATGACCCATTTCTGAAAGGAAAACCACACACACGTACACAGAGGAAGAAAGTGTGCAGAATGGTGTACGCTAACATGATCCCGGCAGGTGAGAGGAAGAAAGTGTGCAGAATGGGGAACACTAACCTGTTCCTGGCAGGTGAGGGGAAGCAAGTATGCAGAACTGTGCACGCTAACATGATCCCAGCAGGCGAGAGGAAGAAAGTGTGCAGAATGGTGCACGCCAACATGATCCCAGCAGGTGACAGGAAGAAAGTGAGCAGAATGGTGCATGCTAAGATGATCCCAGCAGGTGAGAGGAAGAAAGTGTGCAGAACGGTGCACACTAACATGATCCCAGCAGGGGAGAGGAAGAAAGTGTGCAGAACAGTGCACACTAACATGATCCCAGCAGGCGAGAAGAAGAAGGTGAAGTGAGCAGAATGGTGCATGCTAAGATGACCCTGGCAGATGAGGGGAAGGAAGTGTGCAGAATGGTGCATGCTAACGTGATCCCGGCAGGTGAGAGGAAGAAAGTGTGGAGAACGGTGCACGCTTACATGATCCTGGCAGGTGAGAGGAAGAAAGTGAGCAGAATGGTGCATGCTAAGATGATCCCGGCAGGTGAGGGGAAGAAAGTGAGCAGAACGGTGCATGCTAACATGAAGCCAGCAGGTGAGGGAAAGGAGAACAGTGCACACTAACACGTTCCCAGCAGCTGAGAGAAAAGTGGACACCAGGGCCAGGAGACGGGGGCCCTCGAGGGGAATGCAGGGAGGACTCTGGGGCAGGGGCAAATCACTGTCAATGTTCAGCTTCAGTGCTGGGTGCAGGAACACTGGCATGAACCAAGGAGTACAATGAATCAAATTCTGGGCCCCTGTGGCCCAAAAGTAAATCAATTAAATTGGAGGGGCAACTATTTCTCCATGTGGAGTTATAAGTGATATCTATTTTCATCTTTAAAGTTTTCTACATTACCAAAATAGTACCTAATAATCACGTTAGTTTTACAATCAGAAAACGGTGGCAGCAAGCAATGACATTAAACTGAACATTTTTATTCCAATTATTCAAGTTTTTGCTGCACAGTATTTTCAAATGTTTTATTTTCAAAATGACTATTACAAAAAATGTAGTTTCCAGAATGTCATGGCTACACCTCAACCTACTCCACTCTTGCAGTGGGGGCAACAGCTTTAGGAGCAGGGACCGTGTGTGGGGGCTGCACCCTTGCAGTGCGTGGCCTGGACACGGCCCAAGCCCTCCGCCGCCCACAGACAACACTTTCACATTGATAAATATGCATGCCCATCAAATCCTGCTGTAAACCAAAACTAAAATTCTAAGTCCCCCAGCCAACTGAGTGCATCCCCTTGCAGCCACCGGGACCCAAAGAAACCTGAAAAACCAGTTCAGGCCATGAATGGGAAGGAGGGCTCGGGATGCCCCATTATACCTGCCCCGCTCTGGAATTTAGACACAACTGACCAACATTAAAATAAAAACAGAGATCCTAGACTGACAAAACAGACTCTCTGTAGCAATAAGATACCCAATTCAACGGGACTCCGGTATAGCATCACATGACACATAGTAGCCCCGAAGGAATCAAAGTATTTTACCTCAAAATATATTTCCTTGACATATGTTGAAATGGCCCTTGCAAAGCTGTCTCTCATGGGGGAAATGTGCATTCTGCAGAGAATCTGCTTCCCTTATTAGGCTTTTTCTGGAGACTCTGACACCTTTTAAGGGCCTATAAGAGACATGCACATCTATTCTCTCTGAAGCCTGCCATCCGGAGGCTTCATCAACATAACAAAAACCTTGGCTTCCACAACCACCCCCGCCCCCACCTTAACTCAAGCTGAGTTCAACTTTTTAGACAAAGCTTAACTCTTTCAACCCATTGCCAATCAGGAAATTTTTGAATCTACCTGTCAGAGACGTGTGAACCAGAGCAACTCCATCTTGAATATGAGCTGGGTAAAATGAGGCTGAGACCTACTGGGCTGCATTCCCCGATGGTTAGGTAGTCTAAGTCACAGGATGAGATAGGAGGTCAGCACAAGATACAGGTCTTAAAGACCTTGCTGATAAAACAGGCTGCAATAAGGAAGCTGGCTAAATCCCACCAAAACCAAGATGGCCACAAGAGTGACCTCTGGTCATCCTCACTGCTACACTCCCACCAGCACCATGACAGTTTGCAGGTGCCATGGCAACGTCAGGATGCTACCCTATATGGTCTAAAAAGGGGAGACATGAATAATCCACACCCTGATTAGCATATCATCAAGAAATAACCATAAAAATGGGCAACCAGCAGCCCTCAGGGCTGCTTTGTCTATGGGTAGCCCTTTTTTTATTCCTTTACTTTCTTAATAAATTTGCTTTCACTTCATGAACTTGCACTGAATTCTTTCTTGCGTGAGATCCAAGAACCCTCTCTCGGGGTCTGGATTGGGACCCCTTTCCTGTAACATCTTTCTGGTGACCATGGAAAGAACCATAGTGTGGAAACCCTTGACTCAAAGGTTTACTTTGGTTAAGTGATGGGGTCCTGTAACATCTTTCTGGCGACCACAGAAGTGACTATAGTGTGGAAACCCCAGACCCAAAGAGTAACTTTGGGTAAGTGGTAGGGTCTGGTAACGTCTTTCTGGTGAATCATGGAAGGGACGATACTGAGGAGACCCCTCAACCCAAAAGAAGTAGACTGCACCACTGGTTGGCCGACTTTGAATAAGTGGTGGGGTACCTGGGTAAAGGATGGGATTGGGTTAGAGGCCCAACGTAGGGGAGTTAGAGTCTGTCCTAAGACACAGTGGGTTAGAGGCCCCTCTTAAGGAAAGGTAAGGACGCTTGCTCAACCTTGGGTTAGAGGCCCAACTCAGGAGGGTTAGAGTCCCTTCTCAGATTTAGGGGGTTAGAGGCCCCTCTCAGTAAGGTCCCTCTCAGTAAAGTCGCTTCTGGCTAAGAGCAGGTTTGGCACTATGGGATGTTAACTGCTATTCTCTTGGGATTAATCTGCCTTGCACTCTTTGCTGATGGCTGTGAGTGACAGAATTAGCCACGTACAGGATTGTAGGACTTGGGGAGTTTTTTCCTCCTTAAACGGGGAAACTTGGGAGCTGACGGGACTGCTGGAAAAGATCCCTTCATGACTGACAAGCAGCCACCTAAACTTTTCAGTGTTGCTGCAATGGATGGGTCTTTCTCTGACCTCCCTGAGCGCCTCGCCTTCCCCATCCTGCCTCAGGCAATGCTTTTCTCTCTCTGTGCAAACTGGTTGAATAAATTGTAAAAAATAATTGTTTATCTCCTGTAAAGTTTTGATTAATGGAATAAAGGATTTGTGAGGCTAGTCTTAAGCTGTAGCCAACCAGGTCTGGTGTGCTTTCTGTGTCTTTCTGTATTGCTCTGTCATAAAGAGGAGTACCTTAGGATAGAGCACGGACTTAGGACACCTTTAAGCCTGCTTTTCAAGACAGCTCAGCAAACTGGTCAATTACAAACTTTGCTGCAGGTCCCTCAAAAAACTGGATGAGGTTTCCTTCTTGTCTTCTATGTTCTTGGGAGCTTGACCTTGTAACCATGTGGCCATGCTTTCTCTTTTCACAATGGTGGCCCAGGTTCAGGGTTCAATTCCTGGCTTGGAAAATAAGTTCTTTATCTTCTATGTATTTATATGTATTATGTGTGTGATGTTTATGAATGAAAGAGCTTTAACTAATTGGTTTAAAAATAAGTGCTTAAATATTTTGTCAGAAAAGTAAAAAGTGTAATGCCTTTTAGTTCATGTGACTGAAGTAATCTTTGGGAAATAAGGAGTTTTAAAGATTATTGGCAAAATAAAAATATCTTCAAACATGTAAACATTTGGTCTAAATTATGCAGGTGAGATATTAAGTTTGCTAAATGCTTTAAGGTCATAAACTGCTTCTTTGACTTTTTTTTTTTTTTTTTGAGACAGAGTTTTACTCTGTTGCCCAGGCTGGAGGGCAGTGGTGCGATCTCGGCTCATTGCAAGCTCCGCCTCCTGGGTTCATGCCATTCTCCTGCCTCAGCCTCCCGAGTAGGTGGGACTACAGGCACCCGCCACCACGCCTGGCTAATTTTTTTGTATTTTTAGTAGATACAGGGTTTCACTGTGTTAGCCAGGATGGTCTCAATCTCCTGACCTTGTGATCCACCTGCCTTGGCCTCCCAAAGTGCTGGGATTACAAGGGTGAGCCACTGCGCCCAACCTGACTTTTAAAAATTATTCAGTTTCCTACTCTGGAGCATTAGATTCTAGATAAGGCCAGGGACATGTGGAGTTAGCCACGCCCCTAGCTATGCTGGAGTCAGCCCCCTTATCTGCACTTCTGCCTGGTGTGTCCTAGGCTAAATTCCACACCTGGTACACAATTAGAATCCCCAACTTACCAAGGTTTTCACCAAGAGTAAAAGTCACTAACAATTAACATCGTCACATGTAATTAAGACTGCTAAAAAAAACAGTTTTACATGCAAGATGTGTAAGAAAAGTGAAATGTGTCTTTTGGTAAAAGATTATAAGAACACATGGAAATGTGGATTTTTCTTACCTAGATTAAAGAGTTAAAGAATTGTTTTAGGCCGGGCGCGGTGGCTCACGCCCGTAATCCCAGCAGTTTGGGAGGCCGAGGTGGGCGGATCATGAAGTCAGGAGATCAAGACCATCCTGGCTAACACGGTGAAACCCAGTCTCTACTAAAAATGCAAAAAAAAATTAGCCAGGCGTGGTTGTGGGCGCCTGTAGTCCCAGCTACTCAGGAGGCTGAGGCAGGACAAAGGCGTGAACCCAGGAGGCGGAGCTCGCAGTGAGCTGAGATCATGCCACTGCACTCCAGCCTGGGTGACAGAGGGAGACTCTATCTCAAAAAAAAAAAAAAAAAAAAAAAAAAAAAAAAGGATTGTTTTAAATTAGAATCAAGCTGAAGGTTTACGCAAGTTGTGGAAGGCTTGTTATAAGTTAATCTTGTAAAAAAATTCTGGGTGTGAACAAATGGGCTAAAGTTAAAGGGGTATTATTCAGTTTTTCTGTAAACTGAACATGGGAATAAAAGCATAACAGGTTTTTTCTTCGAGCAAAAACCTGCCTATGACCTGCTCTTTAATAAAAATGTGTAAAGGGTTATCAAAGGCTTATGAGAAACTTACCTTATGGCCAAACTGATTAAGTTTGAACACATTTGTCTATAAGATTTCATTAAGAATTAATTGGCTTTGACATCAACAGTGCACTAATGCAAGAGTGACGTTTGGCTTATTTGGTACAAAAATTGCTCAGGAAGCATTATCAAATGTGAAATGGTGTTTGGTTTTCTTTGGGCTGTTATTTGTATAAATGTGTTATTGGTATATGTTCCAAAAGTATGGGAAAATCCTCTAATTCTAATGTGACTTACTGTATGTTATTAATAATTATAATTGTTACATAAAATCATTGCATGCCACAAAGGTAACCAAATTTCATGTTTTTGATTGTGGCTGCCCTAAAATATTTTGTTATCCACAGACAATTGTTATCTTGTTTTAATCCTTTTTAGAAGGTGGTTTATAACCAACTATGGAGCTCTCACAGGGGTTCTTAAACGCAGGTTTTTAATAACTTTGGAAATTGTGATATTAGAATGGAGGAAAAACTTTCAGAACTCTCATAGAGAGCTGAAATGTTCATGAATATCAAGCAAAACAGGAGTTAACTAAATTAACTGAACCAATAAAAAACTGAAGTAATGTTTTTAACTTTACTTAAAATGTTGCTGATCCTTTGTTTCGTTTCTCAGAGTCAAGGAAACTTTTCTTTTGAGCTATGTACAGCTTTTAGCAATTGAGTAAAATATACTCCTGTGAACAAAATTTGGAGCATATTTCTCTGTTTTCTCCAGAATTTGGAAACTATTTGTGAGTATTCTTAATTTAATGGCAATATAGTTATTTGCATAAGTGCAATAAACATCTGATTTCTTTTGTAACAGGAGACAATTGGAAAAACTGGTTATTTTACCAAGGCTTTAACTGGAATGGGATGCTTTGCATTAAGGAATCAAACTTGACTTGTAAAGCCAATAAAAGCCCCTTGGCGAAATGCCTCATACCTTGTCTTCACAGTCCCTGTATGGGGTTCCTGACCTGTGGTAAATGAAGAATGTCACTTTCTGACAGGTCCAGTAGCCCCAAGCTATCTTGAGGCTCAAGAGGAGAGGAATTTACTCAACTCATAGGTATTTGAGGGTACAAACCCATGGCAGGGCCTGGCTCTAAAAAAGTCTTATCTGAGATTCCTTCTATGGAACACAGTTCCATCAAAGCCAATTTAAAAAGAGCTTATGTGAAAAATAATTATTCTTGCTGTACTTTATACAAACAATCAGGCCAAGTATAATAAAATCAGTCTTACCAAGATTTGTTTTTAGTAAAAATGGAAAATGGGAAACTAGAGAGAGAAATTATGTTTCAAGAACTATGGTACACTTCTTAAATTCTAGTTTCATTGTTGTTTTTAAGTTTGTTTCTGCAATTTAGGCTAACCCTGCTTATTCCTGTGAACCAACCAGTGATCTCTGGCTGCTGCTCAGAAGAAACAAGAGGGATGGATAATGTAAACATCTGGATCAGTATTCTAATTCTGGGCACATTAGAATCAGCTAACAGCCCCATGTCAGCTTAGTTCCAACATGCCCAGTTCATGGAAAGCCTTCTAATTTAGTTCACTTGGGATAGCTTTGCTTATTCTGTTATATTGCTGTTGTACTCTTTGTGTAGGAATATAGGACAAGCTTACTGAATGTTTTCTTAAACACTTAATAATCTTTCATATATCACCTTTTGTGAGAACTCAAGAGTTATGAATGGCTCTCACCATTCCAAGGCTTTCTGGCTGAGCTCTTCTCTACCCTGAACAGAAGAGACCTTAATAGGCAGGAGTATCATGGACCCTATTCACCCTGAAGAAGTTACAGAAGATGGATCTTCATCCCTCTGCAACCCTTAGGATTAAAGGTTGTCTTATAAAAGGGAGGGGAGCAATGTCAGAGGCATGTGAACCAGAGCAACTCCATCTTGAATAGGAGCTGGGTAAAATGAGGCTGAGACCTACTGGGCTGCATTCCCAGACACTTAAGGCATTAAGTCACAGGATGAGATGAGGTCGGCACAGGATGCAGGTCATAAAGACCTTGCTGATAAAATGGGTGGCAGTAAGGAAGTCGGCTAAAACCCACCAAAACCAAGATGGCCATGAGAGTAACCTCTCGTTGTCCTCACTGCTACACTCCCACCAGCGCCATGACAGTTTACAAATGCCATGGCAACGTCAGGAAGTTACCCTACAAGGTCTAAAACAGGGAGGCACGAATCCACCCTTTGATTATTATATCACCAAGAAATAACCATAAAAATGGGCAACCAGCAGCCCTTGGGGCTGCTGTATGGAGTAGCCATTCTTCTATTCCTTTACTTTCTTAATAAACTTGCTTTCACTTTACTCTATGGATTCACCCTGAATTCTTTCTTGCATGAGATCCAAGAACCCTCTCTTGGGGTCCAGATGGGGTCCCTTTTCCTGTAACACACCTATACCTAGAAGCCTGTTTTCAGACCTTTCTGGGCTGAACCAATGTGCACTCTCCATGTACTGACTGACCTCTCTGCCTCTAACTTCTGTCCCCTTAAAATGTATAAAATCAGGCTGTAACCCAGCAATCTTAGGCAGCTATTCTCAGGACCTCCCAGGGCTGTGTCACAGGTCATAGTCTTCACATTTGGCTCAGAATAAACCTCTTCAAATATTTCACAGAGCTTGGCTTTTTGTCAACACTGCCAGTAAAGTGTGCCAGCTCCCACAGTTGGCGAATGAGGACCTTTCCAACAGGTGGATATGAAAATGCAAACCACATGGTGACATTGTGGCATCGCAAAGCTCTCCTGCATGAGAACCCGTCGTGTCTGACATGGTGACATCGTGGCATCGCAAAGCTCTCCTGCACGAGAACCCGTTGTGTCTGACATGGTGACATCATGGCCACAGGCATCGCAGAGCTCTCCTGCACGAGAACCTGTCGTGTCTGACATGGTGACATCGTGACATCACAAAGCTCTCCTGCATGAGAACCCGTCATATATGACACCGAAGTCAAATGTGTTTTTTTCTGTAAACCTTGAACATACCCTTGACCTTGAACAACTTCTGTGACCTGCTGGTAGAAAAACAGGTAGTTTCAGACCAAAGGCTGGACGAGACCACAAACCAAGGTCCCAAGTGATAAAAAAGGCAAAACATGAAAACCCCTCCGGAGATGCCCAAAGCTGTTACTTGGGAGACAAGGACAGCTGGGGCCTGCTCTGGAGGGTGGTGAGGCAGGAGTGACCGTGACTCTAACTCAGGCTGGCCACCACCTAGAATCTAGCTGCGGGCACATCAGAGGACTTGGGAGCCTGTTCCTTCTCGCTTAGAAAAGCTACAGGTCTAGGTAAAGGAGCCGTCCACACACACACGGCCTGAGGCATCCTATGAGGGGGACCCCTGGTGGAAATCTGCATGACCCCAGTTGACAGCCCACGCAGGCCCAACTGCTCTTGGGCTGGGACCCCCAGGCAGTGGGGCTGGGGACCCCGGGCCCGTGAGGCCTGTGGGTGGCAGCCTCAGTGGGGAATGAGCCCCTCCGACACTGGCAGGCACCACTGACGTGTTCTCTGGGTTTGTACTCGGAACTGCTCCATCTAATTCGCAAGGGCCTGAGCACTCTCATTCCCATTCTCTCTGAAAGCAGGAAGAGTATCATAGACAAAACACATGTAACCCACGAAGAGTTTGTTTAAACCCAAGGAAGCTTCTAAACCAGAGTAAGATGAATTCAGGTGGGGATGCTCCTGGGTTCGAGTGACAATGGATACCAGCACCTACCTATTGCGTCTCAGCCCTGTGCTGGGGCACTCAGGCACCAGGGAGGTCCCATGGCTTCTGGTCCCGCTCGGCCACCTCCTGCTGTCTGCCTGCGGCAGTGTCCAGCCTATTGGGACCAGTCTCCTCTCTGCAGATGCAGCAAACGGCACAGCTCACCCCACGCGGTTGGCTGAGCGTCCCACGAGATGATGAATCCTGAGTGCTCAGTAAGGTGCTGGCAGGCGGTAGGTGATCATCAAAGAAGTCACTAATTACCCCTCAGATGCCCCTGGAGCCCCAGACGGGTGGGATGTGGTGGGGGGGTGGTGTCCTGACCCTTTTCTAACATGAAAATGGCTTCAGAAGTGATTTCCAGTGCTGGAAATTCAGTTTTTAAAAACATTCTGGACCATGCCCTTCAGACGCTCAAAAGTTCTCTGGGCTACCTGGAAAAATAAGAACTGGTCTTATTTGGTTCGGCACCGTCCTGAGACATGCTGGGTTACATCTGTTTGATGGGCTGTGGTGATACGAGTGTGGCCACGGGGGTCAGGGGGCACCAGAGTGACCCAACTCCCTGCTACTGAAGACGAAGGCCTTCCGTGCCCTGAGCTGATCAGAGGTTAAGAAGCAGGACCCAGATGCAAAGACAGAACTGCTCCGGGAACCTAACACTGGGAAGGGCAGCCAAGCCCATGGCCCTGCAGGGAGCAGGAGTGACCGGGGGAGGCGTGCACTGATGGCCCCGGTCTGCTGCAGTCAGGCTGTGGCCAGCGCCATGGGGACAGGCCACATGTGTGCAAGGACTTGCTGGGTAGACTCTGCAGGGACAAACAGATCATACATGTTACCAATAAAGTGATTTGTATATAACTGGCGGCAGGGGGAGGGGGGCGGTTGGAGACTGAATTGCCCATTCAAATCATTAGACTTTTTAAAAAAACATTTCCTCGATGGAAATTTCCAGTTCCACAAAAGAAAGTAATCAAACAGATGTTCCTCCTTAAGTCTTAAACCACGACATTCAGATGATCTATGTGCAAATTAATAAGGTTATGACATAATTCAATTATGTGACAAAGCCGAGGGAGAGTTGACAAAGAACCAGACTGGCATCATTGACTTCTCAATGAAGTGGAGCTCGGTAAAAAATCTAGATGAATCACAGGTTGTCTGACCAGAAGATCCCTGACAATGGGCTGTTTACTTTAGAGAAAGGAGCTGAACCCTGAAAACTGAATGTGCGAAATTCTAATTATCAAAAAACCCACGGCGCATCAGGTAGACATGATCATCTGCATTTCTTTTCCACGCTGCAAATCACCGCGATCCCAGATTAGTCCAGCCGGCCGGGTGCCTCCCTCCCGTCCGCCTGGGCAGTTGAGGCCAATCAGCAGTTTAGGCGCACAGGTGCGGGCTCAGAAAGCAGCAGCAATCTCCGGCGTGTTCTGGAATCAGAAGTTGAGGTCCACGTCTGATTAGTTCCCTTCGTTTCATTAGACTTGGCTGAATGTGTGCCAGTCCCACTAGAGCTTCGATTTCAGACTTCCTATGACAGGTTTGTTCACAGAAAACTCTGGCCACCAGGATGCCCGCTCCAACACCTTGCTTTCCTGCAGGACAGCGCCCCAGAGGTTTTTGTAGAGCTGCAAACAACACGTACACAGCAAGTGAAGACAAAGAAATAAGAAGGAAAAGATTCCTAGACGGCTGAGTGTGCAAATGCAACTCCTCAAAGTTTTTGTTAAAAACACAGGAAATTCGGCTGGGCACAGTGGCTCACGCCCGTAATCCCAGCATTTTGGGAGGCCGAGGTAGGCAGATCACCTGAGGTCGGGAGTTTTAGATCAGCCTGACCAACATGGAGAAACCCCATCTCTACTAAAAAAAAATTCAAAATTAGCCAGGTGTGGTGGTGCATGCCTGTAATCCCAGCTACTCGGAAGGCTGAGGCAGGAGAATCACTTGAACCTGGGAGGTAGAGGTTTCAGTGAGCCGAGATTGCACCACTGCACTCCAGCCTGGGCAACAAGAGCAAAACTCCGTCTCAAAACAAACAAACAACAACAACAATAACAAAAAAGCACAGGAAATTCTCTGTCACTTTTTAGAGAAATTTTAAAATGGTTTAAATTTATATGAATATTTTCTTTTTTTTTCTAGTAGAAAACAATTAGGACAATTCAATTATAAAGTACTATAAAACACATTTATAATGAAAATCACCCCTCGCCCTCTTCTTTGGAAATTATTGGCTGGGTGAGGTGGCTCGTTCCTGTAATCCCTGCACTCTGGGAGGCTGAGGAAGGCAGATCACTGGAGCTCAGGAGCTTGAGACCAGCCTGGGCAACACGGCGAAACCCCATCTTTACAAAAAAAAAAAAAAAAAAAAAAAAAAAAGCAAAAAATTAACTGGGCATGGAGGAGTTCACCTGTAGTTCTAGCTACTTGGGAGGCTGAGGTGGGAGGATCACTTGAGCCCAGGAGGTTGAGGCTGCAGTGGGCCGAGATTATGCCACTGCACCCCAGCCTGGGTGACAGAGTGAGATCCTATCTCAAAAAAAAAAAAAAAGAACTGATCGTGGCAGTGGACACGCTGTTTCTTAGTAACTGCAGCCACCGCAGGATGCTGCAAGGCTGCATCGACTGCTGCTCTGAAATCTGCTCTCACACCCCAGGCCGCTACAGGCCGCACAGGTGGCACGTGGCCACCAGCAGCAGGATGCCCTCGCCGAGTGGCCCTTACTGGCTGATTTCTGGACCTGGGCCACCACACCCTGCTCCTCTGGTCCTGCCCCGGGCCAGCACTCCCCTACGGGAGGTGCAGACTTCACTGCTCTCAGCCTAAGTGGCCTCACTGGGAAGATGGGGAGAGACGCTCCTGTCTTGGAGGAAGGTTGTACAAATGAAGGGCGAAGGGCAGCTGAGCAGACACTTCACCCGTGCAGGGTGGAAAGGGGCAGCCCAGACCATCTCCAGGGCCTGGGGAGGTGGTCTATTGTGTATCCAGCTTACGCTGACCCATTTTATTGAGAAGAAACCCCTCTGCCTGCACCCGCTAAATGCACTTAGCAACCCCTCCTCCCCACTCTGCTACTCTGGGCTCCACAGACACAGACCCAGGCTGCTGCTCCACAGGGCCTAGGTTCCAGCTTATGTTTCACAGTTTGGAGCAGCGGGCTTGATTTAAGGATGGTCTCAACTCCCCTGCAGCTCTGTTTGTTCGCTTATAGTGAATTTCTCACCTGGCAGCTCCTGGTTAATACACCAGTTCCTTGCAACTGGAAGGAATGCACTTTTTTTTTTTTTTTTGAGATGAGGTCTCACCCTGTTGGCCAGGCTGGAGTGCAGTGGCGCGATCACTGCCCACCACAGCCTCGACCTCCCCAAGCTCAGGGGATCCTCTCACCTCAGTTTTTGTAATTTTTATGGATGGGGTTTCAGTATGTTGCCTAGGCTGGTCTCAAACTCCTGGGCTAAAGGGATCCGCCCGCCTCAGCCTTCCAAAGTGCTAGGATAACAGGTGTGAGCCACCATGCTCAGCCAGGAATGCACGTTTAATAAACCATCCTGCCAGCGACACCTCCAGCTGGCTCTGGTTTTAACTATGGAACCCAGAGCCAGGGGGCCCCTCCATCATGGGCAAGGTCTCTCCTTTCCTTGGTCGTTCCCTGCCTCAGAGACGGGCCTGCCTCTGCAGAGCAAGGCACAGCAGGTAGACGCTCAAGGCCGCTCCGGCTTCTCCTGCACGGGGCAGACAGTCCCGTGTGCTTGGGGGTCCTCCATGGCGGGTCTGGCTCCAGTGTCCCTTCGAATGCCTGTCTGCCTGGTGAGCCCCCACCTCCTGGGGAGACTGCCTCTCCCAGGAAGGTGGGTAGGGCAAGTCCCTCTCCTATGCGCTCCCCCAGGACCCAAGGCTCCCGCCAAGTCTTCTCTCCCTACAGCAGGGCACAGTCTCTTCAAATCCTGGCTCTGCCACTCCCTGGCTGGGAAACCCACTGGGCTTCTCTGGCTCTCAGCTCTCAGCGGCAGTCATCATCTGGGCTGTATGGGCTCTGGGGATGGTCAGTGGTCAGTCCCCGATGCAGGACAGCAGGCCCTCTGCAGAGATGACCATCCCTGCCTCTCCTACTACGGGGAACTCTCACCTCCTGCCCTGCCCACCCGGCTCCTGGCACTACCTGCCTCTTGGCACACCTAGCCCAACCCAGGTGTAGCCTGGGCCGCGCTGAGGCCAGGCGCTGGGCCCTCCCTGGCTAAGCCGGTAAGGGCTCATGTACAGACTTCAGCATTCCCTGAGGACTGAGGGAGGGTCCTGCCCACTAAGGCTCAATCTCCATTTGGGCAGAGACCCAGGTGCTTCAGCAGGTGCTTCAGCAGAAATAACTCAGTTGCGGGGCCAGGGGGCAGGGATGGGGTCAAACCCCTCTGTGACTCACAGCCAGGGGACCTCAGGCATGGGACATGAGCATTGACACGCCGAGTCCCTCTAGCAGAAGACAGACACAGCCCCATAAGCAGTGGGGTGCTGGAAGGCACCCAGTGGACCTGTGAGCATCGCTCCTCGAGGGCATCATCAGGTGGGAGGGAGACACAAGGTCAGTGATGAGGCCAGCAAGGGCAGCACTACAGTGCCTGGGGGCACTGCCTCAGCTGGAGGCCAGAGAAGGCCTCTCCAAGGCAGCAATAGTCAGCTTATACTGAAAGAATGGAAGGCACTCCAGGCAGCCCGAGCAGCAGGCACAAGGCCCTGGGGTGGGCATGGGCCTGGCGCGACAGACGGGGAGGCCAGTAAGGCTAGATCTGGTGGGCAGGAGGGGAGCGTGGGGTGAAGGGCCTTGGAAGGATTCAGTGGCTGTGTGGGGCTGGGGCGTGGCAGGCAGTCGAGGAGGCTGGTGGAGGCTCCCTCAGGGGGGCGGCCTGACCCCATCTGCTATGAAGGAATCATTATGGAACATGGGGGGCAGGAGGAGAGCTGAGGAGCCACAGGGAGGCGGTTGGGGGAAAGCGGGGCAGGGGAGAGTAACCCCGGTGACAACCATGGATGGTCAGAGGGGACAGAGGGGCCTGGGGATTCCAGGACAGGGATGGGGGAAGAGGCCTGCAGGGCCAGGAGCATGGTCAGATGGGGGTAAGACCTGGGACCGGGGAGGCCGGGGGGAGTGGGAGGAGGGCAGAGGTCACAGTGTGTGGACCTCCAACCTCTGCCTGTGCAGGCGGGCAGTGCCACCACCCCATCTCGGGAGGAAAAGGCAGGCAGGGGATGGGCAAGTCCCCTGCAACCACAGAGCCAGCATGGGGAAGCACCAGAGTGAGACAGTCCTGACTTGTCCCGGGCCCTCCCCAAGAAGCTCCTCCATGTGTGACCACTTTCCAGAAGACACCAGACCCCTGACCCACAGGAGCATCTCAGCTCCGCAGAAATGCCCATCAACCCTTGGGGCACTCCCGTGAGGCCCTGTCCTCCCTTTACCTCGCCGTCGGCTCTGCCAATCGGTGAGTCCAGAACAAAGTCAGGAGGAGCGATCACGTCTACCAGGGCAACTGCATCGTCTTTCAGCTGTTGGAAAACAAAGCCCAGACACTTGGCACCTCCCGGGAATTTCCATGGTGACCAAAGCATAACAGCCCCGTGTGTGGTTGCCAGGACCCACTAGCAACGGGTCACCTGAGCGGCACGTGCGGCTCTGCTGCCCATGCGTGATCTCTTCACCGGCCTGGATTCGAGGCCCTTGCTGTGCACTGGAATGTTCTCACCATGCTGCTTTTCACTCAGGACTTCTAGGGCTTGTTTCTTCCCAACAAGGTAGAAAAGGCCCTTAAAAGTGACGACCCTGAAGCTCGTGAATTAGCAACTGCATTCAGAGGCTCGTTTCTAAGCCTTGGCTTATCTGGGCAACTGCTGTTCCAGTAAAGGAAAATATGTTCAGAAAACATGTAATAGAGAAGGCATTTATGAGCACTTGGAAAAGCCATAAGCATATGAAGCCTCCTCGGTTGGCGGTGGTTTTATTACTCTCCCATTCCACTGGACAAATTATTCTTCAATATGACACATGAAATTTATATGAGTGGACTCTCAAGAATTTTCTTAAGATGCAAAACAAAAATTATCCTTAAAATATGATGAAATGCCGTGGCTACACTGCATAGAACCCAGGAATGGGAGACACCGCTAATGATATGGATCAAAGGCAATCAGTCAGTACAGAGTAAGAAAGGCCACAATGGAGGAACTGAGTGCACCTCTGCGCTTCAGCGCCGCGCTCTGCAGGGCGTGGCCACCTGGTCCTGGTCCACGTGCCTCAGCACAGAGGCCGCAGACAAATGCCACTGCTCCCGGAGAGAAGCTCTCGGCAGAGCACAGGCGCTGAGCCCGACAAACGTGTTCCGTAAGGGTCCAGGTGGGAGATGTTACCGGCTTTGCGGGCCACGGTCTCTGGCAACTGCCTACTGTGCCGTGGAAGCACAAAGGCACCCACAGACGACACTCAGGTGAACGGCAGGATTGGACTGAGTTTGCTGGCCCTGGTCTAGTGGATGGCTGGCAACTTCTCCACCTGGCTGACCTTGGCCTCCCCAAGACAGTGGTATGGATGGGCACACACAGAGTGGCACACAACGGTCATCCAGCCTTGGCCATAGCCTCACTGGGAAATCAGTTGTGGCTGTCATTTTTTTGAGACGGGGTCTTGCTCTGTTGTCCAGGCTGGAGTGTGATGGTGCAATTACGGCTCACTGCAGCCTCGAACACCTGGGCTCAAGCCACCCTACCTCAGCCTCTTGAGCAGCTGGGACTACAGGCATGTGCCACCAAGCCTGGCTAATTTTTTAAAATTATTTTTTGTAGAGATGAAGTCTCACTACGTTGCCCAGGCTGGTCTCGAACTCCTGGCCTCCAGTGATCCTCCTGCCTTGGCCTCCCAAAGTGCTGGGATTACAGGAATGAGCCACCACACCCGGACACTTTTTATCAACAACACCTCCCCGCTATGCCCCCCTCTCTGGCGAGGAGACCCCCGTGCTTTCCTTGGTGCACCTGCATACTCTGAAGGCCTCCATGGGGTCAACACTGCCCCAAGGGGGTAAAATTTGGCTCTTGGAGGAGCCAAGGAAAACCCCTCCCTGTGGCCAGTTCGATGTTAAGACGAGTAAATGTGGCCACATACGTGCGCCACAATCAGACACGCCCCTCTCTGGAACCGCAGGCTCAGGGAAGGGCTTTATACAACGAATCCCGAGAGAGGCTCAGAGCCAGTCACAGGGACGTTCCACTGGTCCCAGATCAAGTGTGAAAGCAGTGACAGGGGAGATGAAAGGCCACGTCTGCAGTCACCTGAGACATTGTGCTAAAATGCAGCAGCACTCAGTCCAGTTCCTAGCAGCAAAAGTGGAATGACGTCTCCACGGACACAGTGGCCCTGCCCACCGCAGCAGCACCAGCACCAGCACAAGTGGCTCCTCAAAATCAGTGCAATGAAAGGAAATCGGAGACCCTCACTCACACAGCCGCCTTCCCCCAACCCAGCGGCTGCCGTGCTAAACAGCACAGCACTGCAGCTTCTGTCCCCGGATGGAAGAGAGATGCCGGATCAGAATGTGGGGTTGGGGCCCTCTGATTTCCTGGGTGACATAGGTAAAAGAATATAATAAACAAGGAAACTGCCAGGAAACAAATTTAAATTGGAGGCTGAGTCCCCCGAATGCTCAGAGAATTCTCAAAGTAGCTGCAAAAGGTGTGTGAGAGGGCCTGGGTGTGTGCAGATCTGGAGACGCCCCGACAGGTTTCTTTTGCAAAAATTTCTGATGTAGCCATATTTTCTTGTAATCCTACAGTTTTTACTAAACACTGAACACACGTGAATGTTTGGGTTGCAAAGGCGGTGTGTGTCGGCTCATGGGTGACGCTAAGGCGGTGTGTGTCAGCTCTGGGTGATGCTAAGGGGGTGCGTGTCGGTCTGGGTAAGGGGGTGCGTGTAGGCTCTGGGTGACGCTAAGGGGGTGCGTGTCAGTCTGGGTGATACTAAGGCGGTGCGTGTCGGTCTGGGTGATGCTAAGGGGATGCGTGTCGCTCTGGGCGGTTGTGTAACATGGATGTAGAGAACGCGACAGCACCCACGGCTCACCTGGGAACACAAAGCCAGGACGGCGCTCTCCAACACTTCTCCCGCCTGCTCACCGGAGAAGTATCCTCCTGCAAGCACAGCCTCGGTCACATGGGGGCTGGGTCCAGTCCAAAACCACCCCCAATACCAACATGCCCTGAGTGCACTTTCCAAATCGGCCATATAGGAGGCCTGTTTTGGGTGAACACATCAGTGTCATTGCTGTCCCCAGCCCAGATGTGACCCAAGGAATGTGCTGCTCAGGGGCCGAGTTCTGAGACCCTTTTCCCACTCAGGCATTGATGGTCTCTGGCCCGCGGCAGCGAGGGAGGCAAGGTCCCAGGCTCAGAGGTGACAGGTGGCCGCTGGGCTCATACCTGCTGGGGTTCAGGGAGGCTGGGCGGGTTCCTTCCTCGGGAGAAAGTGAGGAAGGGGCTCCTGGGCAGAGTGAAGCAGGGGTGCATGGCAGGGGGCGCAGGGGCGAGGGGGTGCCTGGGACCACCCAGGGGAGTTGGGGGCGGTGGGCACCTGCAGGGACTCAGAGGCCGCAGGGGGACTTGGTCCTTGGTGTCACCTCCAGCCGCTGTGGTTTCTGGCAGGGCCCTAAGAGGTCCAAGGCTGTGGCCTTGTGCGTTCGGGAGCACATCTGTGGTGGGATCTGCGTTTGCTGTGATTTCCGCTGGAGAGAACTGTGTCTCATCACTTAGGGTTTTTCTCAGGCAGCAGTGGGGCTCCTGCCCTGTGCCCGCCCTCTCTGGCAGACACTTGTGTCCCTTCCTTGGTGCACCTGAGCACTGTCAAGGCCTCCACGGGGTCAGCACCACCCTCCAGGGGGTAAACGCTGGCTCTTGGGGTGGGGAGGATCTTATTCTTCACAAGCCCAGAGACACAGGACATGAATGGATATGCAGTGTATCCTAGTACCAAAGATGCATGGGTGCCAGCCATTGGGAAAAACCACCTAAAAAGCTTCCTGGGGGGCAAAGACGAACAAAAAGTTGACAAACTTTGGTTTAGCCTATTCCCACCAATCCTCCAGGAATCAGCCCCAGCACCCCCTCCTCCAGGAAGCCTTCCAGTATTCCCAAGTCTAGGCACTCCTGGCTCGTGTCTGTCTGTGCCTTATGGGACCTAGTGGGTGGGCTTCTGCTCTCTGCAGAGCCCGGCAGGCTGCCTGGCATGAGGGGGCCTTCTGGAAGTGTTCTCTGAACCGAACCCCAAGTGAAAGAAAAATTGGGTTTCTCGGCACCACCCTGACGCTGCTCTGCCCCATATGCTTCTCATTATGGAACTGGGCTTCTCATCTGTCCACAGCGCCATCCGCCGTGCTCAGTGAGTCCCGTGGAAGGAGGACGATGGTGCAGGAAGCAGCTTCCTAGATACAACACGGGGGCCCTGACTCTGGGGAGGACAGCAAGCCCGCAGTCAGAAGCCTCACCTCGGTAGAGCAGGGCCGCGTGGCGGCTCAGGGACCACAGGGCGTACAGAGCACTGAGCCGCCCCAGCACGGCCCGCAGCGAGGGCGGCACGGAAGGCTGGTGCACGTGCTCGTGGAACCTCTGGACCACCGTGAGCTCCACGAAGGCCAGCGCCAACGGACGGCCGTGGGACACCTGGAACACAGGACGGCACCGTGAGGACCGTGAGGGTCCCAGCCCCGCCCAGATTCCCGGGGGAGGAAGTTCTCAGGAAACACGAACGCGGGTCTGCGTTCCCGTGCATGTCCTAGGACAGTAACATAAGGTGAGGCAGAGCACAGATGCGGCGCAGCACGAGACATGTTTCCAGAACACAATGGAAGAGGCCTATGAAGATGGAGCTGGGACTGCTCTGGCTCCACCGACGCCCTCCAAGGCCTCAGTCTCAGCTCAGCTCCCGTCTGGGACTGGGGTTGGCACCAGCACTGCATACGGAGCCTGGAGCCGGCCTCGGGATGCTCTGCGGCTACAGAGTGGGCGCCCACCAGGAGGCCCCCAAGGGCCCAGGACCTGGCTTCTTCCACACGGGAAGACACAGAGGAGCTGGAGAAGGGGCTTGTCAGGCTCCTCCCTGAGCTCAGAATTGACTTCACTTCTCCAAAGATCTGCCACCCCGTCCTCCAAAGCCTCCAAAGCAGGCTTCTCTCCCTCTCCCCCTGCCGTAAGGCCCCCGCAGGCTCTGCCGCTCCCATCTTTATGTCCATGAGTGCCCCATGTTTAGCTCCCACTTGTACATGTGAACATGCAGCATTTGATTTTCTGTTGCTGCATTAGTCTGCTGAGGATAATGGCGTGCAGCTGCATCCATGTTGCTGCAAAAGACATGACTGTTCGTAGTGATGGCTGCACGGTATCCCATGGTGTCTATGTACCCCATTTTCTTTATCCAGTCCACCGCTGATGGGCACCTGCGTTGATTTCACATTTTTGCTATTGTGAATAGCGCTGCGATGGACATACAGGTACATGTATCTGGCTGGCAGGATGATTGCTTTTCTTTGGGGTGTATACCCAGTAATGGGATCACTGGGTCAAGGGGAAGGGCAACTCTTAGCTCTCTGAGAAATTGCCAAGCTGCCCTCCACGGTGGCTGAACGAATCTGCGTTCCCACCAACCGTGTATCTGTGTCACTTTTCTCTACAGCCTCGCCAGCATCTGTTATTTTTCTTTTTTAATGAATATCAAAAACATTTGCTGATAATCATCAACTTCACTTATTAGCCTTTCTTTCCCTGTCTCCCATTTATCATCTTACCAGATTTTTTAAATTAGGAAAACAACACACGCATTGCTTGACTTGTTAGGATGAGCAGGTGCTACTTTTAAAATTAAAAAAAAAAAAATCCAGCCAAGTGATGAAATATGGTGTATGGGGGACTGACTGCTGCAGGAGGACCCGGCTGCATGCCTGGCCTATGACGCTGCTATGACGCTGCCCCAAATCTTCCCAGAACACAGCAGGGTGAAGCACACGGCAGCAGGGTCTCCAGTCACAAAGCCAGTGTCCTCCAGGGCCCTGCTGGGATCAGGAGCCTCGGGAAAACAGAAACCGGGAGAAGCGCCTTTCCCGCTGTGCTTCATGCCAGGCTGACTGGTCCTGTCCCAAGACCCCCGCTGGGCCCCGCACACTCCTGGGTGGGCCGTCCTGTCGGTGCCAGGAAGGCCCGTCCTGCTCCCTGCTGTCTGAGCATGGAGCATGCCAGCATGGGGCCTTGGGGCTTCCTGCCCTCTTCTGATCTCACATGCGCTATAGCTCTGGGCCTTGGTTTTGGTGAGTGAGGGCTGGTGGCAGGATCTGGACTTGCTCTGGGGCAGTAGGGACTGCCTGACAGACCCCAGCTAGGTAGGACTAGCACCCAAATTTCCCAGAGCCCTGCCGAGTGAGGTGGGGCAGCCCTCAGGCTCCCACCTGAGGCCTCTGGCAGGAGGCTGATAATACAGGCCTGTGGGGGAGCTGCCAGGTGTGGTGCTGCAGCTCCAGGCCTCAGCCCTTCCTCCTTCCACCTTCCATGAAACAAGCGGGTGACGGCATCTGCACCCCCGTAGGCTGCTCCTGTGTCCACGAGAACACGATAATTCCATTGAATCCTGCCCACACCCCAAAACGTGCTCCCACACCACGAGGGCCTCTCCTCTCGCCATGGGTCCTCTGCGAACCCAGAGATGAGGCCAATCCCAGCAGGGCCCAGGCACAGAGAGGCCGTCCTTGAACCGAATCTGAGTGAGCCCTGTGCCCCGCACCACTCTCCCCGTCGCCTGCACAGTTGCTGTGTTAGAGCGGCACTGCTTCAGTGTTTTTCCATGAAAGTGACACAGCTTGATACAGCGATGGCACAGGCCAGACATGCTGCGGGGGCCAGAAAGACAGCCCCTCCTGGAACCTTGCTGCTGTCAAATAATGCATCGCGAGTGCCAGTGAGTTTTGAAACACAGCGTCACTCGGCTCTGCAGCTCTGCGCGTGAGCAAAAGGCGTCATGGCTCCAAGCCTCAGCGTTGTCTCCTGCGTGGTGCTGCTGGGGTCAGGGCGGCTCTCTCACAGGAAGCGCCTGCGATGGCAGCTCTACTGTACTCAACGGCATCTCAGTCCCCAGGATTTGCCTGCATGATACTGCGCTGTTCTTCCAGGAAAGGTCCACGTAAGGCCAGCAGTCACCGGGGGGGACACAGGCTCTGGGGATGGGCTCCCTAAACAGTGTCTGCCATGGCAACCAGCAGAGCTGACCACAGCATTAACCAAGGTGGGCTGGGGCCCAGGAAGCATCCCATGCGGTATGGACTCTGGCGACCCGGGGGGACAGTAATGCCTCAGGTGCAGTCCCTCCCCCACGGACAAAGTGTCCCCACAGCTACGGTTAGGGCTGGCGCACTCCAGCCGAGAGTGCTCACGGCACCCAGACACATCCGGGAGCCCCACTGCCCCCACCAGCTGCCCCCTAGACAGGGCGGGGCTGGGCTCTGCTCTAGGGGGATCTTCTGGACCACCTCAGCTGCCCCTCCAGAGCTGCCAAACTGTCCCCAGCTAGGACTGTGACAGGCACTTCTCAGGCTCGATGCAGCTAAGGTCAGCTGTCCGTAAACCTTCAGCACAGGAGAGAGGAGAGGGTCCCAGTCTGGTACACTCTGGTTGGTGAAGTACATTTTAAGAGGCAATGCATACTTCAGGCAAAAAAACAAACCCCAAACTGTCCAAATTCAGACTGCAGCCATGCAGCCTGGGGAAAGGGTTGGACTCTGTGACAGCTGGCCCGGGTGCAATCCTGGCCCCGGCACGGGCGAGCTGGGGGACCTTGGGCATTTCTCTTGGCCTCAACTTCCTTCACTCCCAAAGTAGACAACGTGAAATGACCCAGGTACAGAATCCAGCGTGTGGCTCAGGGAGAACAAATGTCCTCGTCCTTGTCCGCCTTCTGATGTGCAAATCCCTGAAGGAAACCTCGAGCCCTTGTGGCAGGGGTTGGTCCCAGGCTGGAGGCAGGCTGCGGGGACGCCACCACCCATCTTTTTACTCCCAGGCTGGAAGCAGGCTGCAGGGACGCCACCGCCCATCTTTTTACTCCCAGGCTGGAGGCAGGCTGCGGGGACGCCATCGCCCATCTTTTTACTCCCAGGCTAGAGGTAGGGAGGAGGGACGCCACCACCCATCTTTTGTATCTACTGGCTGTTGAACATGTAAAGGTGTCACTCAGCCAAAAAATGAGAGAAATGCATTTTTAAAGACCTTTCTGTGCATGCCAGGCTTACAGTGGGTAAATGGTGGATAGCAGTTACTGGCAGGAGCCAGAAAATGTTTAAAAGTTAATAGATTTTCTCCACCAGGTCAAAGAGTAAGCACATTTTTAACAAAAATGGTCAGTAACCTTCCCAAAGGACACAGCCATCACCCTCTCCATGAACGGTGCTGCTGCCCAAGCCCAGCCTGATGCCTGTGGAAGTGTGGCTTTGACCTGCAGCTCCTGGCCCTGGCTCCAGGTCAGTGGCTGCTGGGGCTGGTTTCCGACCAGGCTGGCATCTATCTGAAGGAATTCCTTCCTTCCTGGGGGTGTTCTCCGTCGGCGACATGTTACGTGGGCTTCCACAGGCTGCTGTGTGTCTTCCGATTTTGTTTAGAGCGTCTTTTGCAATGCAGAAATGCTGAACCTTTATGCAGCCAAATCCGATGGTTTTTTTAACAGCTTCCGGTTCCCATCTTCCTGAAAAGGCTGGTCTAGGCTGAGGCTTTCTTGGTATGCCGTATTGCAGGGGAAGGGGCTGCGTCTCCCCTGGGCCCCCTTAGCATTCAGCCCAGGGCCCCAAGGGCTCTCAGCTATCACAAATGTCCCCTGCTCTTAAAAGCTCCGCGACCCGGGGCAGGTCTGGAACACGAAGCCCTGCCCTGGCAACTGTTTTCCCTCCAAGGCCTTGGGGCTGGTGTCTGTGGGTGTCTGTCAGCTCCACAGCTCAGCCCAGGGTCACCGTCTCAGCCGGATCAGAACCCAGGACCCCTCCTGGCCTCTGCCGCAGCCCTCCGTGAAATTCTGCTACCAAGTTCTCGAAGGAAAAGCTACAGGTGAGGAGGGGTTTCTCAGCAGCTGAGCCACACACTCGGGGTGTTGTGGGGTCACACATGCCAGGTCCCCAGCATAGATCGGGGCTGGAAGGGGGTGCTAAGGACCTACCGGGCAGTTCTAAGAGACACAGGTGTTGTTAGGAAGGGGGTCCTTTTGTGCCCCCCATCTCTGGGGTTCTTGTTTCATAACTCTTTGGAGAATCTCTATTCCATTAAAAAAATGTTTTCTTTCTTTTCTGAGACAGGGTCTTGCTCTGTTGCCCGTGCTGGAGTGCAGTGATGTGATCACGGCCTACTGCAGCCTCAACCTCCTGGGCTCAAGCGATCTTCCTGCCTCAGCCTCCTAAAGTGCTGGCATTACAGACATGAGCCAGTGCAGCAGCCTATTCCACCTTAACGCAAGGATGTGGCCTGCAGAGGAGGGAGCAGTGGAAGCTGACAGGCATCCACTGGTTTCTGAATGACCCAACCTGCTGTGTATCACCCAAGGTGGGTAAACAAGGCGGCCTGTTCTGGAAGGGTCACTTCACGCTTTGGTCACCATGGCCCTAAACTACAAGTTTTACAGACCCTGGCCACCTGCTGACTTCATTTCTTTTCAGTTATAAATTCAATATGGGTTCCTTTTTTTTTTTTTTTTTTGAGATGGAGTCTTGCTCTGTCACCCAAGCTGGAGTGCAGTGGTGCGATCTCGGCTCTCTGCAACCTCCACCTTCCAGGTTCAAGCGACTCTCCTGCCTCAGCCTGCCAAGTAGCTGGGACTACAGGCGCATGACACCATGCCTGGCCAATTTTTTGTATTTTTAGGATACACCAGGTTTCACTGTATTAGCCAGGATGGTCTTGATCTCCTGACCTTGTAATCCACCCGTCTCAGCCTCCCAAAGTGCTGGGATTACAGGTGTGAGCCACTGCACCTGGCCCAATCTGGGTTTCTTTGAGCTTGACAGGAGCCCATCCTTCCTGCCTTCTCTCCTCATCCCAGGGCAGGTGTGTCTAGCAGGTTCCTAGAGGAGCTGGCCTGAGGGGCGGGGCTGCCCCCCAGCAGCAGGCTGTGAGGTGCTGGGCCTTCCCAGAGACAGGCAGATGTGGACCTGGGTCCCCATAGCAGCTTCATTACTGAAGGTGACCCATAACCTCATGAACCGACGCTAGGGAGAAGGGGTGACAGCAGCTCTCTCCGTATCCACGGCCTCCCTGCACAACACTCATGGCCTGAGTCTCCCCACAGCTATGGTTAGGGCTGGCGCACTCCAGCCAAGAGTGCTCATGGCACCCACAGACACATCCGGGAGCCCTACTGCCCCCACCGGCTGCCCCCTAGACAGGGTGGGGGCTGGGCTCTGCTCTAGGGCAGATGGCTGGGACAGGGCTGGAAGGTTCCTGGCATGACAAGGTGTTTTATAACAGGCTATTTTTTCCCTGTGGCTTCCTGGAACATGAGAGACAGCCCTGTCCAAGTGTGAGAACCAAAGCGCTTTCCAAGGCCAACGATGACCCACTCACCATTGCCACCCCAGCCCCTCGGGAAGGCGAGAGCAACTTGTGGAAAACCAAGCAGGGCGCTGGCATCACTCCCACGAGTCAGGAGGGAGTGCTCTGAGTGCCCGCAATGGTGTCTCCGCCACTCTGTGCATCCAAGGCTCTCACAACCCAGAGCTTCACCGCTCTGGTTTACGGGCTGGGAACCGTCAGGCACGGTAAATGTAACATCCATGACCTCCCCAGCCCAGCAAGACAGGTGCTGCCATCCCTGTGTTACAGAGGAGCTGAGCAAGCAGCAAAGTCATCAAGTCATCTGCCCAAGGTCACGGGAGCTCGGGGTCTGGGGCCTGAATTGCCAGGATGTTCAAACTCCCAGGGACACAACGGCCAGGGAATTAAGAGCAAATAATACAAAAGGGAATTTTGAAAACAAATACTTACCTGGCATTTGTTCCTTGCTTCAAAGTCACTGCTTCCTGATCTTTTCTCTTGGTTTAATTTTTGATAAGTCTCTCGGAGCAGGTAGCAAACCAGCCACTTGTATGCTGCCAGGGCGACTTCGGAATGACAAACAGAAGGAGAAAAAGTAACAATAGAGAACACAGCATTTGTCACAACTCACCCCCAGGGACAAGGCACTGCCAGCATCCTGCAGGTACCAGGTTGTCTTCATTGACAACCAAGTGTATGGGGTGGGTCTGATTTTATAGGTAGGGAAACTGAAGCACAGGGAGGGCACCTGCCCAGGGCCCCCCTGGCTGGAGGCACTTCC
Source organism: Homo sapiens (assembly GCF_000001405.40). Lineage (NCBI taxonomy): Eukaryota > Metazoa > Chordata > Mammalia > Primates > Hominidae > Homo > Homo sapiens. The sequence continues at coordinate 8,381,823 of NC_000004.12, forward strand.
TGGCTCAGCCCAGGGCTGTCCTGAGTTCTACACTGTTCCAGCAGCCTGGAGGCCACAGGAACACGGTGCCGCCGCTAGAGTGGGCCCCCGAGTGGGACGGCTGCACGTTCTCGCACGCACCAGGCTCGGTCTGTGTGAAGCGTGGTGCTGCCTCCACAGCATCAGCCAGGACTGCATGGGCAGCAGGACAACTGGCCGGCGGTGGCGCCCAGTGGCGAGAGGAAGGGGTGCTTCCGTTCGCCTCCCCCTGCCTGGCCCTTGGACCTCACCGCATGCTGGAGCTGTGGAACTGGGGACTGACATGGTGGGGGAGGGGGGAACCTAAGGCCTCACCCCCTGCGTGGCCCCTTCCACAAAGCTCAAAAGGGCAGGAGGGAGCAGATGTTGCAGACAGGGAGGCCCCGGGGTGGGGTGTCAGGCAGGACAGCTGGAGACCCCCCTTCGTCCTCCCCTTCCCCTGGCAGTGGTGCCCACATCTGCGGGGCCCCCCACAGCACAGCCAGAGCTGGCCTCCCACAGTACTCCGTATGGACCAGGCATGGTCCTGAGACCCCACCAGGCTGTACTGCTACTACCCCACTGATGAGGACACGGGCCCAGGGACCCAGGTACATGGCGAGCATGTGAGGGAGGGGTGCAGACCACCCACATGTGGAGGCCACGCTCACACCCACCCCCTGCCCAGGCACAGAGGGCCTGGCGCCCAGACACGAGGCACCTCCAGGCTGCAGGGGCCTTCTGCCTGGCAGCCGGTCTTGCTCAGAGATCCCAGGCAGGAGAATGGGGATCAGCCACACTGAGTCTGAGCCCAAAGGCTGAACTCAGTGGGGCTTGGGATTTCCTTCTATGTCACACAGCCCAGGTCACTGGGAAGAAAATACCCAACGTTGCTGGGCGCAGTGGCTCACACCTGTAATCCCAGCACTTTGGGAGGCAGAGGCGGGCGGATCACGAGGTCAGGAGATCGAGACCATCCTGGCTAACACGGTGAAACCCCGTCTCTACTAAAAATACAAAAAATTAGCCGGGCGCAGTGGCAGGCGCCTGTAGTCCCAGCTACTCGGGAGGCTGAGGCAGGAGAATGGCGTGAACCCGGGAGGCGGAGTTGCAGTGAGCCGAGATCGCGCCACTGCACTCCAGCCTGGGCGACAGAGCGAGACTCCGTCTCAAAAAAAAAAAAAAAAGAAAAGAAAATACCCAACGTTGCAGTTCCTGCCACAGCACACCCGACTGCTTTCGGCTGTTACATCTGTTCACCCTCACGGCATAACTGAGAAGCCCGTCACAAACCAGAGCAGGCCGTTTCCCAGGCTCACACGTCAGGCGGCTTGCCGGAGGTCTCAGCTCCCCAGAGGGAGTGGGATGGAAAGACGGGTGCTGCTGACCCCGCAGGCAGGGCACAGGCAGGGTTGGGCGGAGGCTTCCTCCATGCAGGCATCTTCAGGGAGCCAAGGCTCCCCTCGCCAAGTCCTGCCAGGCATGGGGCGCTGAATGGTGGCCCCAACTGACCCCCACAGCTGTGAATGTGACCTTTGTTGGGAAGAGGGTCTTTGAAGATGTCATGAAGTTGAGGTATTCAGGTGAGGTCATCAGGGACTCCTGGACTAGGATGGATTCTAAATCCAATGACACGTGTCCTTACAAGATGCAGAGACAGCAAAGTCACAGAGGAGGCAAAGGCTGGCATGATGCACCCACAGCCAAGAACTCCTGGAGCTGCCAGGAGCCTGGGCGGGAAAAGCCCCCCCACCACGAGAGGGAGGCGGGTAGCCCTGCCCCATCCTGACTTGGGGTTTCTGCCTCTGCACCAAGAGAGTCACTGTCTGCTGTCTTCAGTGCCCAGGCCGTGGCTCTCTGCTGCTGGCAGGCTGCCCAGGGGTCATCCTTGAGCCTCACATGCTACCCTTCAGGACTTTACTGGAAAACTCAGGTCCATTTTGCAACCAATGCTGAGGGGAGGCCCTTGTGACCACCGCCTGTTCCTAAAGGCTCTGCAACATCCCAAGCTCTCCCCAGCAGGGCAGATGGTCACGAACAGCAAGGAAAGGTAGACGCCGTACAGTTGTGCTTCCCACGACTTATTTACACAGCAACAAAACCAAGGAAACGGTCCGGCCAGAAACCACTTGTGCAAATTCCTTCTGACCACACCAGAGGCCCCCGTGTCCCACCACGCATCAGCCATGGCTGGGCTTCCCTCCCAGCCTGTCCTGGCCATTCCCAAACACTGCCCCAGGAGGTGTCCCTCTGCGGTGGACACTTCACGGCAGTTACCCGAGTTTTCCAATCTGTCTCTGCAACCAGAATTAATCCATGAGGCTTCACGTCGATGGCCAGTTAGACTGTGCTGTGGGCTTCAAGTGAGAGGGACGCTTGAGAAATGAGTTATGTTTGCACTGTGTTTTTTCCTTACACTCTACTTTTGGTTCTTGGTTTTTCGTGAAAAAATAAATCATGTCAGTCTGATGTGTTCATGTGCAGGGGAGAAGATCCCCAAAAAGCACATGAAAGCAAACAATGAAAGGTGGGTGTTGTGTGTGTCATTTTCAGAGTTAATGTGGAAGTGAAAAAGTATCGCTGAAACAAACTAGGCAGGAAAACGGGCACTGACGGGCAGTGAATTCTCTTGCTCGGAATGCGGCTGCTGGCGGCCTGAGGACACACCCAGCGTCAACAACCTCTGTCCTCAAGACTCTCCCAGAATCCTGGGTCACCACGGCCTTTCCATGTGCCTCACACCAGAAGGACTCTCGAAGGTGCCCCCAGCCGCCCTGTGCACCCAATGACTGCCCCTCGATCTGCCCCCTCCCCAGCTGGGGCTCTGTCCTTGACCCCATGGTGAGCTCTTCGCATGCACTGCCTGCCTTTCGGGTCTCGGTTTCCTCTCCCGTCTCTGGGTCCAGTCCCCTCTGCGTCAGCATCAGAGCACTCCTAACTCGGATTCTGACCCAGGCAAGCCCTGGAAAGCAAGGCCTGGACAGCGGCCCCAACTCCTCAGCCAGATCACAGGCCCGGGTCTGACCATGCCCGCCGCTCTGGTGCTCCTGAATGGCCGGTGCTCCCCAAAAGCACAACGCACGGACCCTCTGAGACACCCTCAGGTGCCAGTTTTGTGGGAGACATTCCCTGACCCACCAAGGCAGACCTCACCTGCATCTGTTGTTTCCAAGGAAGTGTTCAGGACTGTGGCCCCCCACACGCAGCAGCCCCCCACCGAGGGCACCATGGCCTGGCCCCTGCCAGGTGGCATGGGGTGACCGCATTCCCTCCCCACTGTCTCGCAGAAGGAAAACAGGCTCAGAGAGATTAAAGCCTAGCTCAAGGTCACAGCGGGGGGCAGTGCTGACCCAATAGCCTGTGCTCCCACCCTCTGGGAGCACTGTCTGCACCACGAACCCCACTGCTCACCTCATATGACCCCACTGCCCACCTCACATGACCTCACCATGCACTCCACGTGACCTCACCGCTCCCCCACGTGACTCCACCGCTCACCTGTGACCTCACTGCTCACCTCACATGACCTCACTGTGCACTCCACGTGACCTCACCACTCACCCCATGTGACCCCACTGCTCACACATGACCCTATGTCACCTCTGGCCCACATCCCATGACCTTGCAGTCCACAAATACACACGTGTCCGAGTAGTGAACACTGCAACTGCTTACTATGAATGCATACGAGCCAGCTAAACAACAGGGCCCACTGCAGGAAGCAACAGCACAGGCCCCCAAGGCACAGGGCTGTGACACTCAGCTCAGTGCAAAAATGCCTGTGCAAAAATCAGAGGAACTCAACAGAAAACCCAGCCTCCCCTACCCAAGTCAGAATCGAACCCCTGAAGGACCCGCCATTGGCTTGGCAAATCCTCCACCCTTCCTCACAGGCAAGCGCAACCCCGGAAGGGGCCTGTGTCTCTCCAGTCCTGCAGAGCCTGAGGGCCCCACATCACTTAAACAGCTTTTACCAAAGATCCACATGACGCAGGCTGCAGTCAGCCCTGAGACCTGGGATCTGTGACCAAATGCCCTTGAGACGATGGGGCTGGCAGAACCCACAAGCTTCCCTGCGGCGTGAGGGATAATGGCGGTCTCTCTCCCATACCACTTTGAACAAGTGAAAGCCATTTGCCTTTGTTACTCCGGAAAACGTTTTCACTTTGTTGCATCTTGTAAATATTAGAGCAGTTGCAGAAAAGCAGATGACTTTGGTGTCTTTCCTGATGATGGAGAGACTGTAAAATTGCTTTTGCTTTCAGTCTCAGGGGAAGGGGAGGGAAGAGCAGAGCGTGATGGGCACATGGAGAAGCTGGCTGTCCCATTTATGTTTTGATTTTATTAATATAAGGAGTGATGGTTTTAGGAAAAAGGTATTGGTTGGGTTGAAGTTACCACAATGATTAGGTCATTTTCTAGTTCTTTCTGTGGCAACATTTGGGAAGCTTAGAAAGTGACTTGCGGCCGGGCGTGGTGGCTCATGCCTGTGATCCCAGCACTTCGGGAGGCCAAGGTGGGCGGATCACGAGGTCAGGATATCGAGACCATCCTGCCTAACACGGTGAAACTCCGTCTCTACTAAAAATACAAAAAATTAGCCGGGTGTGGTTGTGGGCTCCTGTAGTCCCAGCTACTCCGGAGGCTGAGGCAGGAGAATGGCGAGAACCTGGGAGGTGGAGCTTGCAGTGAGCCGAGATCATACCACTGCACTCCAGCCTGGGCGACAGAGCGAGACTCCGTCTCAAAAAAAAAAAAAAAAAGAAAGTGACTTGCAAACATCAGAAATAGGTCATCAAACGTGTCCCCGTTTCCCACTGGCACCCAAAAAGGCAGGCTAAGATCTGCACGGTTAGTTACCGTCAGAAGCTGTAACCCAGCGCAGTGACCACGAGAAAGCAAGCAGTGATGCAGACGCTTCCTGATGACGATGCTGACGGTGCGGGCAGGGGAAGGCGCTGGGAAGCCGGACCGGCCCAGGCTCCACACCGGCTTCGGCCACGGCTGTTGTCCTGTTCTTTGCCGTGTGAACAAGGAAGTAGCCTGTAGGGCTGGAGACGGACAAGGACACACGCTCGGGGGCTGCTATCACATCCACGGCGTCGGTCCTGATGGCTGGAACGCGTCCTCCATGTGTGCCTGTCCCCTGCATGAGGGAGGCCAGTGCTCCCTCCTCCCGAGGATCCAGGGGCCTCCCAGAACCCCAGGGAAGCCTCACATTCTGGTCTCCTGAATGCAAAGCCAAGAGCATCCTCCATCTCCAAGTCCCCGCTCTATCTGCCCAGTTGAACGTGTGGCACCTCGAGGGCGGTTCCTGTCCAAACTCTGTGGCTGCTGAGCTGAGCACTGATGTGGCGCCAAGTGCTGCACTAAGTGCTTTACGTGCATGAACTCAGTCCACGGTACAAACACCTTATGAAGGGGGTACCATCCCCGTCCCCGTGCTGCAGATGAGGAAACCGAGGCAGGAAGGCTGAGGGACTTGGTGTAGGTTCCACGGCCAGCAGGAGGAGGGACCGGGATCAACCCCGGCAGCCTGGCGGGAGCTGACGTCTCTCTCACTCAGGAAGGTGGGCTACTCTTCCACGTCTCGGGTGTCACGGGAGCAGTCAGTTTCTACCTGGCCCGCCGGGACAGGGCGTCGGGACCCCTCTCGGCCCTTCTCTTCTGCACAAATAGGTGCTTTGGTGGCAAAGTGAAGACATTCACTAAATACTGCTGAGTGAGGCGATGGCGAGATGGAGGCGTTGCTGCGGCTTTGAGCTGTTCTCTGTGATACGCGGCTTTACAGACGGGGGCTGTGGTGGGAGGAAGGCATTTGACAGGGACACGGGTGGCACGGAGGTGGGGGCAGCTCCAGCCCTGCTCTTCTGTCAAATCGCACCCAGACCACTGGGCAAGAAGCATCCAGGAGCAGTAACGAGAGATCCCGAGCTTTGCGGTCCCACAGGCTTGGGTTTGAATCCTCGCTCCGCCCCTCCCTGCGCTCAGGCAGCTGGCACCAAGGGAGCCTTCAGGAGTGCCCTGTAGGACACGCAGAGCTCGGCTGGGTGCTTCTGTGTGGGGGCGCAGGGCAGACCCCCTCACCTGTCCCAGCCGCCTCTCACCTCCATTTCCACAGAGCAGCCAGAGTGGCCTTTTCCCATGAGGAACATTTTTAAAAATATGAATCATCAAAACAAACAGCACACCCCTTTCCACCAGGCCTCTTGCGCTCACCTCCCGTCATTCACAGCAGGGGAACGAGATGCATGCTCACATCGAGATGAGCTCGGCATGGGCTGGGCCCTGCTGCCTCCGCCTCCTGACACACCCGTCCATCGGGGGTCCCCATGGCTGCCCCCGCCTTTCACTGACCTCAATTCAAAGGCCAAGGCCCCTGCAAGGTGGTCACCAGCCACGCTCCACCTCACCAGCCAGGATCACTGCTTTGCAGAATTCCTGCTGCCCTAAGACTGAGGCCTTGGGATGTTTCTGTGTCTGCTGGTCTAGACTGTAAAGTCCCATGAGGGCAGGCACAGGTTCTCCATCATGCTGGCCGCCAGCCCCAGAACTGCAGAGTGAGCACATAACGAGCACGTGCAGAATTAACCCAGGAACGCGAGAGCAGCTGCTCTCCGGAGAGGGATCCCCTGTCAGGATCCAGCGCAGTCTACAGGGAAGCTGCTTTGCTTTCGATGCTGCCAGCACGGCCAGGCGCCTCATTCCCAGCTCTCGCTCCCACCTCTCTGAGCCACAGACCCCGTGTGGGTGAGGCGGAGCCTGCAGCAGCTCCCATGACACACCTGCAGGAGGCTGTCCGTGGCCAGCTCTGTGCGGGGCCCTGGGAGGACGCCCCACCCCGACCACCGCACCCACAGGAGATGAGCCTGTGCCACAGGGGCCGAGTGAAGGAGGTGCGGGAGGTGCGCCAGGGCGGGAAGGGGCATCTGCTGTTTGGGGAGCCAGCAGGGCCTGGGAGTGGGGAAGACTGACAGGTGAGGTGGCTGGGAGGGCCCAGGGACAGCAGCAGCCCAGGCACCAGGGCAGGGGGCAGAGGCTGCTTAGTGGACAGAGACCAGGCCAGGTGGCCTCTCACGCCCTTTATCCTATGGGAGGGAAAGGCAAGAGGCAAGGTATAAGGTGGCAAGTGGGCATCCTTCAATTCATCTGTGGAGTCAGCGCCTAACTCGGCGTCAGGCACAAAGAGATAGTCCATGAGCCAGCCCAGGACAAGCTGCATGCGGGGCCTCCCACCACCACTGCTGCCCCGGCTGGAACTGCCAAGGGTCCCCTCACCGAGGCACGGTGCGTTTCCTGGTGGGAATGACAGGAAATCAGGAGGCCAGGGGAGCCCTCCACCTGTGTGTTTACCTGCAGAGTCCAAGCAGTCGGCAACACTGGAGACCTCAAACTTCTGGTCAAGGATGCCGGGATAGGCGTCCAGAAAGTCCACTGACTTCAGCGGACTGCGGAAGCAAGCTCCATCTAGGACACACATTCCAGTGACTTTGGTGGAAGACAGGAACCCAAACCATTGGGAACCCCAAGCTGGGGGCACCCCAAAGCACAGAGAGTGTCCAGAGGACCCGACGGCCACAGACCCACAGGCGAGGGTCTGGGTCTCAAGGACCCTCCCCACCCCAGCCTTTGCCCATGCCTTGGGGAGTTGGTCGGCACTATCTAATAACATTTCTTTCCTTCTGCAAACCTAGGATGCATTCACAGAACAGCTGAATCAGTGAGGCCAGGAGAACCCACCCCTGCCCCAGTTGGGTTCCAGCGCCCCCACCAGTGTGCAGCAGAGCCTCACCGTGGACCTGGTGTGCCAGGAGACCCAGCAAATAGTTGCTTGTCTGCTGCAGCAGGATGTTGTTGTCACCTTCGTATGTGCAGTTGGGATCGTTGTCATCTCTAAGGACACCCAACCGGTTCACTGCAACAAAGCCACAATAGTACCATCATTTAAGACGCATATTTGAGAAGCAGCCTGTCACTATGTGAGAATTTAAAAAGCCTTAAGAGGCTGGGTGCGGTGGCTCACACCTGTAATGGCAGCACTTTGGGGGGCCGAGGCGGGTGGATCACTTGAAGCCAGGTGTTCAAGACCAGCCTGACCAACATGGTGAAACCCACCTCTACTAAAAATACAAAAATAGCCAGGTGTGGTGGTGTGTGCCTGTAATCTCAGCTACTCGGGAGGCTGAGGCAGGAGAATCGCTTGAGCCTGGGAGGCGGAGGTTGCAGTGAGCCGAGATTGCGCAACTGCACTCCAGCCCGGGTGACAGAGCAAGACCCTGTCTCAACAACAACAACAACAAAAAAAGCCATGAGTTTGAGACCAGCCTGGGCAACATAGTGAGACCCTATCTCTATAAAAAATGAAAAAAAAAATTAGCTGGGCATAGTGGCACGCACCTTTAGTCCCAGCTACCCAGGAGGCTGAGGTGGGAGGATTGCTTAAGAGCCCAGGCATTTGAGGCAAAAGTAAGCCATGGTCATGCCACTGTACTCCAGCCTCCGGGACAGGGCAAGACTCTGACCAAAAAAAAAAAAGCCCTGAACTCAGCTTGACCAGACACAAAGAACTGCCACCTGTGCTTCATATCCCACCTCCAGCTCCTCACTGCTGTCAGCAAGCCCTGCAGAGCCTCCCCTGGCATGGGGTTGCTGATAGGAGGGAGCCATCTCAGCGAGCTGATGCCCCCAGGGCTACCCTTCTTCCGTCCATAACTGAATGAACTCTTCTTTTAACACAGGAAATTTCAAGATAACTGTTTTTTGTCTTTCCTATCAGTTAGCTGGATGCCTTCACATATGTTGTCAGGCTTGCTTTCCAGACCCTCACACACTTGAGCCTGCCTACTGTGATGGAAAGTGTTCTCTGAATGTGAGGCTGGGATGGGCCTAGCAGGAAGGGAGTGGAGCTGACTTCTCACACTCACGTACTGTGACTGATGGATCCTGAGAGCATGAAAGGAGTCCTATTGCAGCCATACTGCCAACACGCTTGTGATTAGCCTTGTGATCACCTAGAACACCTGATTTTCTCCTGACTTACTGTCAAATCATGCCACGAGCTTCCTGCCACGTAACAGGTTGGCCACTGAACAAGAGCTGGGAGAGGCCTCAGCAGAAACATTTGCAATTGATTTTCTAAACCTAGATGGAGCCTCGGTCATATTGGTCTCAATCCCAGCATATGTATATGTATGTGTATATGTATATGTATGTGTATATGTATATGTATATGTATATGTATATGTATATGTATATGATTAATCTTGATTCCATCATCTTTGTTGTCTGCAGTACTGCAAGATTCAATTTCCTTATTCAACTATTTATAGAATCCCGATGAGTTACAAAGACAAAAACTACTAAGGGCATTGCGCAGAGGACAAAGCATGCAAATGAGTAACTTGTGTACAGCCATGGCTACCCGCATGTCAGTAAGTGACAAAGACAGATTGTGGTGGGAGTGAGGGGCCACGTTGCTAACAGCCCATGCTGGAACAGGTGCGAGTTAGAACTGCAGTGGTGGGCGGATGATCGCTGAAAGTGTGTGTGTAGTTCTAGATAGAGCATCACAAAAACTCTCACAAACTTGGCAAGGACCAAGTGCTCCTGGAGGGCAAGAGAGTTTTGCTGATGCTGTGGCTGTTTTGAGTGTGTACATGGCCTTCTTTGAGCAACCAGTTTTTGCCAGTTAATTATTTAAGATTAGCACACGGGAAGTTTTGCAGGTAAGCTGTAAATAATGCTGATGATAATTCTAATAATAACAGCATTAGCAAATAAAAAAGTCATTGGGCACGCACTACATGCCAGATACCATGCTTACACTTCATACGTGGTAATTCACTTAATTCTGGCAAGAACCTATGTTGTGGGTACACTATTATCACCCCCACTTTAAAAATAAGAAAACTGAGCACAGTGAGGTTAAGCAACCTGCCCACAGTTACCAGGCTGTTAGATGGAGCCAGGACTCAATCCCAGGCAAGCTGGTGGCCTCCGCTCTTAACCATATAACAGCTGCCTCAGTCATCATCAATGCCGATATAACTAACTCTTTATCTAAGTGTAAGAATTTTCTATTCAAACAAAACATGGTGCTAGTTTACTACCAAGCTGTTAACCAAATAGTTAAAATTCAAATGAGCAGATCAGCTGCTCTCTGCCTATATTTTGGCCAAGAAGCATCAGGCATCTGAAAGCAGTGGGATCTATCTAGGGCAGGGGTTGGCAAACTTGTTCTGCAATGGACCAGAGAGTAAATATTTTCAGCTCTGTAAGCCACATGGTCTCTGTCACAGCTGCGATTACTCATCTCTGCCCTTGCAGTGCGAAAACAGCTGCAGGAAATGTGCAAATGAACGGGGGTGGCTGGCTGTGTTCCAATAAAACTTTATTTGCAAAAACAGGTGGCAGGCTGGATTTGGTCCTCAGGCCGCAGTCTGCCGACCCCTGGTCTAGAGTCAAACAGCAGGGCTAAGGACAGGAAACCACCATGCGCTTCTCCAAAACCTACTGGCCAGATAGCCGTGTCCTCCACACGCCTCCCGGCATTCCTGAATTCCTTGCTGGGTGGTCCACGAGGCCAGGGGCTTGCTGGCCGATGCCAGGGCGTGGATCTCACGTCCAAGCTCTGCCTTTGGGTGAGGGAATCCAACAAGAACAGGTGAAAAGAGACTTTAGACACCAAAAAGTCATAAGTCAGCAATAGCATCAAACCACCATATCACCTCTAGTCTAATACAAGACATCCCGAAAATGACAGAAGAGGAAACCTAATTGTAATTAGAAATAAAAAAGGGTCTTTATCCAAGTATGGATACACTGTGGTACGCTCATACCATTTCACAACAATGAAAACACAGCTCTACACAGCAAATAGCTCTCAGGGCCCTAACACGGGTCCCAGAAGCAAACTGCAGAAGAATGTGCGTCATGGCCCACTTTATATAAAGTTCACAAACGTCAAAGTGAATGACACACCATGGAAGGTTGCAATTGTTTGCAGCGAAACCATGAAGAAAGGCCAGGGAACCAGACTCAGCACCGCAGACAGTGCTCGCTCCCAGGACAGGGAAGGGCCGGGACCAGTCCATTCCCAGAAGGCTGCAAGCGCCTCGGTAACTGATGGTCTGCTCTGTGTGGGGGCTCACCGTGCCTCCCTCAGGCCTAACATGTTTTATTGAGACTCCTTTGCTGTCCATGGCCAAACTACCCTGAATGAGCCTGATCTCGTGAAGCTAAGCAGGGTCGGGCGTGGTTAGTATTTGGATGGGAGACCGCCTGGGAATAGCAGGTGCTGCAGGCTTTTTTTTAAGGGGAAAAAAAAAAGAAAGAAGACTCCTTTGCTTCTGCTTGATATCTAATGATGAAAACTTAAGAGGCTGGGCCAGGCACAGTGGCTCACGCCTATAATGCCAGCACTTTGAGAGGCCGAGGCGGGCAGATCAGTTGAGCTCAGGAGTCTGAGAACAGCCTGGGCAACATGGTGACACCCTGTCTCTACTGAAAAATAAAAAAAATTAGCCAGGTGTGGTGGCGGGCACCTGTAGTCCCAGCTAGTCTGGGAGGCTGAGGCAAGAGAATTGCTTGAACCCAGGAGGCAGAAATTGCAGTGAGCCAAGATCGCACCACTGCACTCCAGCCTGGGCAACAGAGCGAGACTCCGTCTCAAAAACAAACAAACAAACAAACAAACAAAAACTTAAGAGACTGATTCAGAGTAAAAGAAGAATTTTTAATTTTAAAAAAGAAAGACAATTAAAAAGGAAAAACAATTAAGAGGAAGACACACACACGCACACACACACACACACACACGCACACACACACACACACACACACGCATGCTAAGTCCAGTGACCCATTTTATGAGTGTTTTCAACTTCACATAAGGGGCTGAGCTGAGGCCCTCCTCTGCCTGGGTTAAACCACTGAGTTTCAGAAAGAATCAGCCTGGTCACCCTTTACAACATTATTCACAGGAGAACAATGCAAGTGTCAGCTGGCAAAAGCTCCACTGACTCACGCTCCAGGGAAAACACAGGCTTAACCCCTTTAGTGGTCAGAAGCGCTCCCTCCTCAGGCCTCCAGGCCTGGGGTTTGCTCTGCCATCAATCCTGCAGGTCATCCCTTCGCCATCATCTGCCGTGAATGTGGACACCGATAATATTTCAAGATATGCTAATTAGATACAGGCTTTTTCTGATGTTGTACATAACAGCAATCTGTGGCGTTTCTCCTCTGCTTTCAAACACGGTTATTTCTTTTGATTCACATTTCACTCTTGCTCAGGAGGCAGCAGGAGGGACAATGGAAAATCAGTTCATAATCATCTACAAAGAAATCCGTTCCCGATGTCTCTTTATGCCGAGGCTGATCTCGGGATTTGCACGCTCGTTTCTGGCACAAATCCTCTGACTGTCAACTCAAATCCAGTCAGTGGGATTCAGACCTTTGTGCAGCTGTTTACAAAAGGCTCAGAACCATGAAATCCACTGAGGGGCGGGTAACGTGGATTTTGCAAAACCGTCATGTTCTCAAAAGGAGACCAACAGCTGAACTCACAGACTGGAACCGGGAGTCGTGTCAGCACATCCTTGAGAGGCAGGGGTGTGGACGCGTGCCCAGCCCGTTCAATCGCGGCAGAGGCCAAGAGCTCCGAGTGGGTGGGAACAACTGGAGGAATGCTCTGTCCTCGCAAATCAAAGGACTGATTTTGCTTTGAAATGAAGGTTGAATCTATGCTGCTCCAACCGTGTGAGATTTAAACGATGCTGCTGAGGAAGCAGACACCACCTCACCTGTCTGGCGCTGCGGTCTCCCGATGCAAGTCCTCGCTGGAGCTCCACCAGGTCCAGGAAGAGCGACTTGGAGAAATGGTCTAAGGCGTAGACAGCTGCCAGATATGGAAGCAAGCGCCATTGCTAGAACAGACAAGACACCTGCGTGAACACATCGTGGTTCCCATGAAGGGCAGCCCATCCCAGGGACCATGAAAGCCAGTGCAGGGAGAGGCCGTCAGGGCCACACACCCACTAGCGCTGAAGGTCTTCACATGTCTTCCCGGCACATCAGAAAGCCTTCACCCTGACACGCTCTCAACTCAGCCAGTTCGGCTTTCACCCATAGCCCTTGACAGACAAGCTCAAACGCAATTCGCTAAATGGCCGCTATTCACAGCTGTCCCATCAAAGTCACTACAGAACAAAGTGCCAGTCTATCTGTGAATTAAGAAGGCAGCACTGCTAGGGGCCAACTCCCCGGCACACGGACTGACTGGCTGACAGCATGAGCCTGTGAGGATGAGGCCGTCACCCTGGGACAGATGGGAAAGCTGAGGCCCACACAGAGCTGGCAGCCCCTCGAAAGGCTGAGTGCATGTCTTTTTCACTTTGTCTGAAACAGGATAGGGTCCACCTATTGTTGGATGGGGGGGTGGGTGGGTGGGTGGATGGATGCATGGATGGTGGGTGGTGGGTAGGTGGATGTGTGGGTGGGTGGATGGATGAATCCGTAGATGGGTAGATGGATGGGTGGGTGGATGCGTGGACAGGTGGGGGGATGCGTGGACAGGTGGGGGGATGCATGGATGGGTGGGTGGGTGGCTGGGTACATGGCAGGACAAGCCTGAGAGGATCCTGAGGAAACCGCCATCACCACCATGGTCTAACGTGTCAAGAGTGCTGAGCAGACATGGCGCCAGCTGCCTCCATGCCCTAACTTTGTTAATCCTCACACTGATCCTAGGAAGAAGTTTTATCATCAGTTCTAACTTACAAATGATAAAGCAAGAGCACAGAAAGGCTAAGGACCTTGCCTGGGGGCACACAGCCAGCTGGGGGTGGACCTTGGTGGTAAGGCCAGGCATGGTGGCCCCAGTGCGCTCTCTTGACCGCCGAGCTGCCCTTGGCACCCAGAGTGCTGTGACCACACACGGGAGGGGATGGGTGCCACACAGGCATGAATGGCAACACTTACTAAACAGGCTCATAGCCCTGGTCAAAGGATGTGGACAGAAACAACTGCAATTCTGTTACAATTTCCTGGAAGTTTCACCCAAATCTACCTTTATTCATGCACAGCTTGGCCTGGGACCTGGGCCTGAGTTAGCCTGTGCACTTTAACTGGATTTCTTATTTGATCCTCAGTTCTCTCACCTGTAAAGTGGGACTAAGCCCAACCCTCTTAGCTGTGAAGACCAAACCCAGAGCACAGGGCACGTTCGCTGTGACAGTTCATCCCCCTTCCATGTAACAATGTCTGTGCTTTTCCACGCTGCTGCCTGGGCTGCATCTGTGCATGTCAACAGCTGCCCCATCTCTGGGGACGTGTAGGGCCAACGCTCTGTGCCCACGCCACTGTTCTAAATGCCATCACAGTGAACAGGGCTGCACGCTCAGCTGCTGCTTCTTCCAGATCACCTGCCAGGAATCATTTCTTAGGGATGGGATGAAAGTGTCAAAGAGTGTGCACAGGGCGTGCAAGGCCACTACCCGCCAAGCTGTGGCGGCCTCACCTGAACGTGCGGCCGTGCACACACCCACCTCCCAGAGCCGCCCCATCCTTGCTTCTTTCTGGCCGGGCACAGTGACTCATGCCCATAATCCCAGCACTTTGGGAGGCTGAGGCAGGTGGATCACTGGAGGTCAGGAGTTCGAGACCGGCCTGGCCAAAACAGCAGAACCCTGTCTCTACTAACAATACAAAAATTAGCCGGGCATGGTGGTGCATGCCCATAATCCCAGCTACTCGGGAGGCTGAGACACGAGAATCACTTGAACCTGGGAGGCGGAGGTTGCAGTGAGCCAAGATCATGCCCACTGCACTCCAGCCTTGGTGACAGAGCAAGGCTCCGTCTGGGAAAAAAAAAAAAAAAAAAAAAAGACTTGCTTCTTTCCATCTTCCTTTTTTGGCTACTTCGTATCTACTCTTTTTAAATTAAAAACCATTTGCTGGAAGCCTTGCGGCCTGAGATGCCGCACTCCCGCTAACTAATCATCCTGTTAATTGCCTTAAGAGCTTTGATCAACTCCCAGTAACCAAACGGCAACTATGTAAAAGAAGTGAATTTGCATATAAAATAGAGAGACAGTGAAAGGATGCTTGAAAACCTCATACCTGCATTGGATACTCAAGCACTGGTATTTCCTCCTCCTCTGTGGGTCCAAACTGACGCCGAGTGGCTGAGAAGCGAAGAGCGATGGCCACGGCCAGCTTTAGGTTAAGGATGGCCAGGCTCACGATGGAGACCCGGCCCGAGGACAGGCTCCCCAGGGACGCTCCAAAGCGCTGCCTGACGTCCTACGGGAGGGACACAGATGATAAGCTCAAGCCCGGCTGCGCGGCCACCTTGGGCAGAGTGGCTCAGAGGCGAAGGTGCCCTCGTTTGTTCATCCAAAGTAGACCTGTGCCCACCTGCCCAGGCCCCATCCCCAGGGCGCCCAAGACACAGGACGGTGCGGCAGGCGGGTAGAGATGTCACTGATGAACCGTGGATGGAATGGGGGTGCCAGGGAGGGGACACCCAGCTGCCTGGAGAAGGTACAGTCCTAGCAGAGGGAATGGTATGACAGCGCTGGGTGAGGGTGCTCCCACTGTGGGGACTTGCAAACCATCTGCCTGGAGATTCCAAGGCCCACCTTTAACCTTGGCAAGAATCAGATGTGGCCTGTACTGCCAGAGGGCAGGGGCGGAGTCCATTACAGGCAGCCTTTCCAGGGGGTTTCACGGACACCTCTTGATCCTTGTGTGCCTGTGAACAGGCAGTTCCTTTACGTGCGTCTAGCTGGAATCTTCCGTCCACTATCTCCTCGCACGCATCAGCGGCGTCAGCAGAGGCTGTTGCTAAGGCCTGTCCAGGCTGCGGTGGGCACATCTAATCTACAGCCCTTGCCACGTGATCTGACCGTCCTTCCTGCCCTGCCCCGTGCTGCCCCATCGGGCCACTCCTCTGACCATCTAGGTCCTTCTTCCAAGGCAGCATGGTAATTGTGTGTCTGAGCGTATTAATCACACTCTCACATAGGAATCACAGTCTCGTTGTGTTTAAAAATGTATTTAAGCCGGGTGCGGCGGCTCACGCCTGTAATCCCAATGCTTTGGGAGGCTGAGGTGGGCAGATCACCTGAGGTCAGGAGTTCAAGACCAGCCTGGCCAACATGGTGAAACACCGTCTCTACTAAAAGTACGCAAATTAGCCAGGCCTGGCGGCGGGTGCCTGTAGTCCCAGCTACTCAGGAGGCTGATGCAGGAGAATCACTTGAACCCGGGAGGCAGAGGAGAGGTTGCAGTGAGCTGAGATCGTGCTGTTGCACTGCAGCCTGGGTGACAGAGCAACACTCCACCTCAAAAAATATATATAAATATATATTTAAAGTGATTTTCCTTTAAGGGTATAAAATATGATTCCACTGTCTTCATGCATTCACTGTCATGTTTGAGAAATCTGAAGTTCAAGTGTTTTTTATTCCACTGGAGTCAGATCTGGAAGATTCTAGAATTTTCTCTTAGAAATTCCTCAATTTCTCTACCGTGTGTCTGGGTACGTGCATAGGTGCTTCCTTACTTTTCCTCTTTGGTCCTCCAAGAGTCCCTTCAACCAAAAGCCTTCTTCCCCTCTCATTTAGAGACATTTCTCTCCTTTATTTCTCTAAACTTCATTTCTTTCTTTCCTTCTCTTTTGAGACAGGGTCTCGCTCTGTTGCCCACGCTGGAGTGCAGTGATGCAATCATAGCTCACTGCAGCCTGACTTCCTGGGCTCTAGTGATCCTCCCACCTCCCACCAAGTAACGGACCACAGGCACACGCTACCATGCCCGGCTAATTTTTGCATTTTTAGTAGAGACGGGGTTTTGCCATATTGCCCAGGCTGGTCTGGAACTCCTGGGCTCAAGCGATCTGCCCACTTTGGCCTCCCACAGTGCTAGGGTTACGGGCGTGAGCCACTGCACCCAGCCTTCATTTTCTTTAATCCTCTCCTTCTGCCTTCTAGAGGACAAGCTTCCAATCCCTAATTCATCCTCCTGAGATAGTTATCCCAAATGCTGTGCCTGTTCTTCCAATCATTTATTTTTAATTGATGTTGGATTAACATCTCCGTTTGTGAGCAGCTCCTGGTCTCGTGTTGCTGTTCCCACTCTGCGCACCCTGTGTGTCTCTGGGCATCCCCATCATGCTCCTTTTCCATCCGTGCTTCCTGATGTCAGATGCTGCATGCTGCTGGGGACTGTTATTCCAAGGGTGCATGCTCGGGGTGGCCCACCTGCTGTGAGCTCATGATTCCTGAGGGTCATCAGCTATGACCTGGGCCATCGCTCCCCAGGACCACGGTCTCTCTTCTGCTCTCCGTGAACTTAAGCCAGGCGTGAGTTCTGGACACCGGGGAACTCTGTTTGTCGTCCCCCTTTGTGGACAGTTCGCCAGGAGACCCGTCTCCTTCAAATCCTCAGGGAAGCATCACTGGAAGCGAGCAGTCCTCTAATCGCAGCCCCCGATGGGGAGTGGGCATTGTAAGGCCCGGACTCACCCCCTGGACACCAGCACCTGGTGCTGTGGCTGCCCCAAGAGTCCCCTTCTAGCGGGAGCACCAGAACCCGAGCCAGGAGAAGTATGCCCCAGCGACACCTGGCCTACGTGGAGGGGTCTCCTTTCCAGGTGCAGGGAGGAGCACAGAGCCAGGCCCTGCAGAGGAAGGCACCTGGGAAGCACGGCACACGAACGGCCCCCCATGCCTGTACCTTAAAGGGGCTGACATAGGTGCCCTCGGGGGTGACGTCTCCCATCCGGTTCAGAAGGCTCTGGCGAGGAACTCTGACCTTGTGGAACATGGCGAAACTGTGGGGAAGCAGCAGGGCTTCTGTTAAACAGGGGTCCTGCCCTGAGGCTCTTCTCTTCTCCAAGGGCAGCCTAAAAGCTGATGCAATCCCCGAGGACAAAGAAAATGGCAGAGGGCAAGTAGACAGGAACATTCAACCAACTTTCTATTCAAAAAAGTAGTCTAGTCAGGAACAGTGGCTCACGCCCAGAATCCCAACTCTTTGGAAGACTGAGGCAGGAGGATTGCTTGAGCCCAGGAGTTTGAGACCAGCCTGGGCAACACAGTGAGACCCTGTTTCTAAAAAAGAAAAAAATGTAGGTTAAAAAATAGGCTGGGTGTGGTGGCTTACGCCTGTAATCCCAGCACTTTGGGAGGCCGAGGTGGGTGGATCACCTCAGGTCAGGAGTTCGAAACCAGCCTGACCAATATGGTGAAACCCCGTCTCTACTAAAAATACAAAAAAAAATTAGCCAGGAGTGGTGGCATGTGCCTGTAGTCCCAGCTACTCAGGAGGCTGAGACAGGAGAATTGTTTGAACCCGGGCGGCGGAAGTTGCAGTGAGCCAAGATCACGCCACTGCACTCCAGCCTTGGTGACAGAGCAAGACTCCACCTCAATAATAATAATAATAATAATAATAATAATAATAAAAGCATTGTGTATATGGTAAGTTGTACTCCAAGTACAGAACTCCAGATATTCAACAGAAAAGACGGGAACTGTGTTTCCAAAGATTGGAATCTCTGATTCTCATATTTCAATCTTAAACCAGAACCCACAGTGTAATAATATTGGCAAAATGAGGTTTAAAACTCTTCAGTCAAACAAAATAACTGGTGTGATGGCATTGGTGCTCCCTCGGCAAGGAAATTCACTTCTTTTGAACAGCTGAGCATAGGATTACACACACATTGTTATGGATCATGATGTATTAATAACCAAAGATACCTGTTATGGTTGTCTGGTCAGGAAAACCTATTACACAACAGTCTAGGGAATAAGGCTATGCTAGGTTAAGAATATTACATAAACTGTGCAAAAACCCCCCAAAACAAACTTCAAAATATCAATAGTTCCTATAGCAACTTGTCTGATTCCTAAGTTCACTTGCAATGCCTTAGGGCAGCAGTCCGCAACCTTTTTGGCACCAGGGACCGGTTTTATGGAAGACAATTTTTCCACGAATGAGGGGGAGGTGGGAGTGGTTTCGGGATGATTCAAGCACATTATATTTATTGTGCACTTTATTTCTATTATTATTACATGGTAACACATAATGAAATGATTATACAATTAGCCATAATGCAAAATTGCAAAATCAGTGGGAGCCTGAGCTTGTTTTCCTGCAACTAGATGGTCCCATCTGGGGGTGATGGGAGGCAGTGACAGATCATCAGGTATTAGATTCTCATAAGGAGCGCTCGCCTTAGATCCCTCACATGCGCAGTTCACAGTAGGATTCACGCTCCTATAAGAATCTAATGCCGCCACCGATCTGACAGGAGGCGGAGCTCAGGCAGTCATGTGAGCAATGGGGAGTGGCTATAAACACAGAGGAAGCTTTGCTGGCTCACCCGATGCTCACCTCCTGCTGGGTGGCCTAGTTCCTAACAGGCCACAGACTAGTACCACGGGGTTGGGGACCCCTGCCTACAGAATAGTCTTTTACTAAACCACAGAAGACTCATCTATAAAGAATAATCTCACATGCTGGAAGGGAACCAGAGGCACCCGTTTCCTGCGTGGGCTCTTCCTTGAGTCCTGCTCAGGATGCCCCCACACCCCCATTGTCACCCGGTCCTGGGCTGCCAGCTCTGCTGTGCTGGCCCGATTCACTTTCTCCCCTCCATCCCCACCTAGGACCCAGCACCTCCATCCCTACTCAGCTCTCCTGGGCTGATTTCCTGCAGCAACCATATTGGCTCTTTCCTAACTCTGCCTCTTCAGCCCATCCTCCCTGTGGGAGCTGGGCCGTTTCCCAAAGGCCTTCGGAATGGCGGAGGCCAATGTGGAGGATCCCCCCAAGCTGACCTCCATCTGCCCCTCTAATTGCATCGCCACCTTGCCATGAGGTGGTCCCACCTGCCTGTGGTGCCCCATCTGCCCCTCTAACAGCATCACCGCCTTGCCATGAGGTGGTCCTGCCTGCCTGTGGTGCCCCGTCCACCAGGTTCTCTCCTGGCCTCATGCCCTCCATGCAGTCACTGTTGACACCAGGCAGCCCTCGGCCCACCTGGGAATTCTATGCCCCACCCTGGGAAGGGTATGAGGCGGACCCCAGGGTGGGATCCCTCAACCATCAACGTTCCTGGTTCCTGGGTGAGCTAGCTGCCTCTCAGCAGTCTCCCGGGGCTCACCCCCCTCCATGAGGGGGCCACCGTGCATGGGGCCTGCCAGACTTAAGGGACGGGCACGTAAGTGGCATGGTATGAACAAGTCAGGTGGGGCAGACGACATCCTCTGAGGCACAAGGGCCAGGCCATGATCCTGACTCCCAGGACAGCCTGAGGGAAAGACACAGCGACAGTTTCCACACTACCAGGAGGAGCAAGGCCCTGGGGCCGGGTGGGGACGGGGCTGGAGCTCCTTAGGGAAACCTGGGTGACCTGGTGAGGGAAGAGCTCTCGGCTGCTTTGCCAGGCCCCTGCCCACCTGCAGGAAGTGAAGGGCAGCGGGGGGGCCAGCTCCTCCAAAGCCCTAGGCCCAGCTGCCCAGTTTGGTAGCAGCTTCCCCCATGCCACAGCCGCACACTCAGAACACCCCACCTCGTGAGAAAAACCTTGCCTCGGTGCCAATGGCCCCAGCGTGCTCCAGCCTGTTACTTGAAAGCCAAGGAATGCCTTTTCCAGTATGATCCGGTCACAGTCAGCGCCCTTTTTAAGGAGTGGAAATTATTCCCCCATTCTCACCACACAGAATATATTTATACTTGCAAAAACATTCCCGTGAGTTTCAAAGGAAAGCAAACTTCCACGAATTCTCAGGGGATCCCTTCTGTTCCACAAAAGCTATTACAGTGGTGGTCACATGTGGCCAACTCAAATACAAGCCAGATCCAGTGTCTCCAGCGGGAGACGTGTGCGTGTGTCACAGGTGTGTGTGTGCACAGCACAGGAGTTGTGTGTGTGTGTCACTGGACATGCACGTGGCACGGGAGGCCTGAGTGTGGCACAGAAACCCTCACTCCAATCCCAGAAGCGCCCAGACCTCAGCACACACCCCGCGCCCTGGACATCCTGCTTCTTATTGCAGCAGCTTCCTTCCTCCTTTGGGGCCTGGAAGGGCCCCCCAAGCCCAGCCCAGCCAAGCCGCCAGAGCAGGCCGTTGAGTTCGGCAGCCATCCTCCCAGCCACCGCCTCAGCTCAGGGCAAACGCACGAAGAAAGACCCTTAAGGTGCAGCCCACCTTAAGAGTCTGGCTGAAACTATCACTTGAGAAGATCTTTATGATTTTGCTTTTAGAGCTATTTGGCTAAAATTAATCCACACAATTTACGTTTACCTTGGATTTGTAGGCAGTCATCCCACATACTCAGGAGTTCTTGTAAAGTGACAAAATCTAACCTACAAATTGTAACCACTTTTTTCAAGATAAATGATTTCAACATTGGTAACAAAAATCACTAAATTATAATGCTGATCTTGGAAAAGACAGACATCCAGGCAGAAACTGGCTGGGAAACCCGGAGGGAACACTGGTATCACTGCGCCCCCTGCTGGGTGCCCTGCCCAGACCCTCCAGCCCTGGATGGGAAATGTGCATTTCTGGAAAGGGGCGGAGAGCAGGCCGCCTGCATCACCCCGGCTGGCTCCCATCCCAGCCCAACCTAGGCCTTCAAAGGCTCAGGGATCAAAGATGGACGAATCCCACTGCATCCCTGTCACCCTGCAGAGAGACACGGTGGAAAGGCTCTGGGGGCTCAGTGACCTGGCTTGGTGGAGCAGCTCTGAACCAGCGTCAAAGGGCGGTCGTTATTGTGTTAGTGGCGATCCTATAGGAGACCGTATTTCTGAGTCTTACAAGAGGCTTTACCATATCAGTGTGATGTATTAATCATTAATGGTTTGATCTAATGCTCCTTTGAATATTATCCCAGTAAGAGGTGTGGATTCAATCTCTAGAAATACGTTTATTAGGGGGGAACCAAGTGCAGGGTTTCTCTGCAATGTCCCAAAATAATGTCAAAGCCTCTCATTCATGAAACTGAATGAGCAGTGAAGAAGAGCCTTGCTCACACCCGAGGCCACCCACTGGATGTGACAATTCACCACCGCCATATGCCCGGGTGGAGATGCCTGTCGGGCCTTACGTGCACACATAGGACACTTCAGTAGATGGGTAACAGTGCCTGTGGCTGCAGAGCCCTGAAAGGGATCAGCCGGGTCTAATAAAAGGATGCAGATTCTCCAGAACAACACAGTGCTTCCTACACCCCATTTCCTGCACAGCGCTTCAGAGCTTCTCACCCTGAGGCCAGAGCCATCCTTCTCAAACAGACCAAGCCGCATTACATCCTCCAGATGGCTGGGGCTTCCCGCTGCCCTGAGGGCGAAGGGCCTGAACAGCGACCCTCCATACCTGCTACACGGGCACCGTCCATGCCAAGCGCCTCCCAGGCACCCTGCGAAAGTAGTCATTCAAGAGAACTGACAGCCGCAGGTCGGGGTGGCGCTCTCCTCCCTGCCAGCTCCAACATTAACTAGCAGGTTCCTTGTATTATTTTAGTATAAGCCAGTGAGAACCCAGAACTCTGCAGGACAGGTGGAGTTAGGAGGGCTGTGCATATGTGTCTTGTTTTGCTTTTTTTTTTTTTTTTTGCCTGAAATCACAAGAATTTGCTTTTTAACAATGTCCTTTTACTTTCTTCTCAAGTTGACACTGTATAAAAATCAATCAAGATTTTCCTCTTTAGTACAGTCTGGGGCCCTGCCTGTTTTAAAGGGCCAAGCAGAGATTTAAGACACTCCCTGCCCATCACCCTGACTTCTCAGAAGAGACAGGCAGAAGGAGGTTTCTCCATCGCTGAGCGCTCAGATGCCCACTGGCCCATCTTCTCCCTCTGGAGACAACCTGGTCATGATAACCAGTTATTTCCAACTCCTGTAAGGCAGGCTCCTCTCCTCTCCACCAGCCTCGCTATGAAACACTATATGAAACACGCATATCTAGAAACACTCCTGAGACATCTTTCAGGCTATCAGGCTCAGGCATGGTCATACCTTGTCCCACTACCCCCAAGTTATAAATCATCTCGTGGGCACAGAGGGGTCTACACCCTGCTGGATCAGGCTCTCGGGGGAGACAGCGTGTGGAGTCCAGCATTCGCAGTGAGGGAGGCACCAAATGGGCCAGTGGCCAGGAAGTTCAAGCCCGGCCTGCTCAGGCAGGGCCTGGCAGGGCCCTGGCACAGGGACCTCTCTTGTCACCTACTTTACAGATGAGGAAATGCCAAGAAAGCTGGTCAAGGTGACACAAAGGGCCGGCTGCACATCTGTCTCATTCCAAAAGTCATGCTGCTAATGACCTGGAGCTCCAAAATCCAATCCCTCAAAGACCCTCAAGGCCCTTGCGGCCTGGCCTCCCTACCCCGCCTGCATCCCAGCACAGGCCTGGGCCTGACACTTCCCACTGCTTCCTCCACCTGAAACGCTGCACATTCCAAAATCACTGGCCACTTCTCCCCGGCCACCCAGGCCTCCATGTGGCCATCAAGCATTCATTAGTCTTTCTAGGCCCCTCCCCTCTGCACGCCCCATCCAACCCTTCAGCCAGGCCTTGGCCACACCAACCCGGTGTCACATGTGTGCTGCTAAATAGATATATGTGGGCTGATTAAACAAATAAGCCAGCGGAATTCTCTTTCTAAGTGCTGTGACACTGGGATTACCCGGAAAGGAGCAAGCCTACTCTGGAGGCAGAAACTGCAGATATGGGTCCCTCGAGATCAGCATGGATGTGTGCAGAGGCCGAGCCGGGGGAGGCTCAGGATGCTGAGGAGGACCTCACACAGAGGAGGCAGCCCCCCAGGCAGGGGCCCCACCAGTTGTACACAGAGGTCTGGGTCTGATCTGAGAGTGTGGAGCCGCCTGCCAAGGTGAAGCTGGTTTGCTGAGGTCTCTGATCAAGTTGGCCTCCCAAAGTGGAGTTCAAGCAGGACGTGGCCAGTGCATGCACGGGGGCTAGGCGTAGGTCCCCACCGCATTTGAGTCTAAGAGGGCAGGGCATGGCATCCATGGGGCCAGTGAGATCTCAGACATGAGCGACAACGCAGCCTGGGCCTTGGCAGGAAGCTCAGGGCTCAGCAGCCTCTGTCACTCACCCATTATCCAGACCGTTCTGCCCGAGTTTTTTTCCTATGTCGCCAACCATCACTCCAGGCATGGGAAGAAGGGTCTTCGGGTCCCGGATCTATACAAAGCCACAGAAAGCAGCAAACAGCAACTGTTACAATCACACAAAAATCAAAACAAATGTGTTCAGAAACCCACAGGGTGGGCCATGGGCTCAACGCTGGGCGGCTGTGGGTTAAACCATCCTCCAGAAATGATACATCCAAGTCCTAACCCCAGGACCTGGGAATGGAAGCTTATTTGGAAATAGGGTCCTGCAGATATAATGAATTTAAGAGCATCAAGATAAGGTCATCCCAAATCACCCAGGTGGGCCCTAAATCCCACGGCAAGTGTCCTATGAGAATCAGAAGAGGAGTGGGTGTGGGGAAGAGGGGGCCATGTGGAGACGGAGGCACAGAGTACAGCGCTGGGGCTGTAGGGATCAGCCCCACAGGGTCAGTGGGTTTCTCCCCGTGTGTGGAGACAAGAGAGCATAGAGATAAAGACACAAGACAAAGAGATAAAAGAAAAGACGGCTGGGTCCGGGGGACCACTACCACCAAGACACGGAGACCGGTAGTGGCCCCGAAGGCCAGGCTGCACTGATACTTATTGGATACAAGACAAAGGCAGGATAAGGAGAGTGAGCCATCTCCAATGATAGGTAAGACCACATGGGTCACATGTCCACTGGACAGGGGGCCCTTCCCTGCCTGGCAGCTGAGGCAGAGAGAGAGAGAGGAGACAGAGAGAAAGACAGCTTACGCCATTATTTCTGCTTATTAGAGACTTTTAGTACTTTCACTAATTTGCTACTGCTATCTAGAAGGCAGAGCCAGGTGTACAGGATGGAACATGAAGGTGGACTAGGAGCGTGACCACTGAAGCACGGCATCACAGGGAGACGGTTAGTCCTCCGGATAACTGCGGGCAAGCCTGACAAATGTCAGGCCCTCTACAAGAGGTGGAGGAGTAGAGTCTTCTCTAAACTCCCCCAGGGAAAGGGAGACTCCCTTTCCCAGTCTGCTAAGTAGCAGGTGTTTTTCCTTGACACTTATGCTACCGCTAGACCACGGTCTGCTTGGCAACGGGCGTCTTCCCAGATGCTGGCATCACTGCTAGACCAAGGAGCCCTCTGGTGGCCCTGTCTGGGCATAACAGAAGGCTCGTACTCTTGTCTTCTGGTCACTCCTCACTATGTCCCCTCAGCTCCTATCTCTGTATGGCCTGGTTTTTCCTAGGTTATGATTATAGAGCGAGGATTATTATAATATTGGGATAAAGAGTAATTGCTACAAACTAATGATTATTGATATTCATATATAATCATATCTAAGATCTATATCTGGTATTCTTATTTTATATTTTATTACACTGGAACAGCTCGTGTCCTCAGTCTCTTGCCTCGGCACCTGGGTGGCTTGCCGCCCACATGGGGCCACAGGCCTGGGGCCACCAGGAGCTGAAAGAGATAGGAAGGATCCTCCCCTAGAGCCTTTAAAGGGAATGCCGCCCTAAAGATTCCTCAATTTCAGACCCCGGCCTCCAGAGTTGGGAGAATACGTTATGCTGTTTCGAGCGCCCTGCTTTGTGGTGCTTTGCTGTGGCAGCCATGAGAGACTAACACGGGGGCCGGTGCTGCCGGGAGGACGTCGGGAATTTCATATTCACGTTTTAGACACAGGACTCCCTGCTAGATTTTAGTAAAGTGACAAAATGGCTGTGCAAATAGGTGTAGTGGGAGAAACGGCTATGAATATTCTGGTCAATCACCGCTCCCCAAGATACAGGTCCAGCCAGCTAATGGCTGCGCACTGTGGGAACTCGACGGAAGGACGTGGAGCTTCATCCTTGGGCACTGTTACAGCAGGGATTCCCAACCATGAGACGTGCCACCTTCCCCTTCCCCACCAGGGGACACGGGTGGTGTCTGGAGAGATTCTGGTTGTGTTAACTGCAGGAAGCTATGGCACAGAATGGCCAGACGCCAGAAGTGCTCAGCCCAGCCCTGGGCATACAGGGCGCCCCAGTGAGTACTACCCAGCCCAAACTGTCAACAGTGCCAAAGTGGAAAAGCTGCTTTAGAGACACATGGAGGTGGTGCTACGGGGAATTTAGCTATGTGCATGACCTGCTAGCTGGCTTCTGTTTATGTCTGTCAATTCACCATCTAACTTCACTGAACTTTAAAATAAAGAAACACTCAAAAAGGGCTAAAACCCAAATGTAAACATCCTCTCCTTTTCTAAAATCTTTCAGCAAGGCCCAGTAAAGATTCAGACACTGTCTCACAAAAAAAAAAAAAAGAAAAAAAGAAAGAAACCTGCAAAAGATGCCTGCCCCTCCGCCCACCAGCTCAGGTCTGGGGCGCAGATCACAATCCTGTCCAAATAACCCCAAGACCACTGTTTCCATCCCTCCTTATCAGGCAGGAGGCCGTGGCTCTGGGAGGTGGACTCAGGTGCCCTGAGCACTTGGTGCAGTGGCGAGAGGGGCGACACAATCCTGCGGAGTGTTTTTAGCACAACATAAACAAGTCTAAAACACTGCGGCTCTATGTCCCCAAAATCAGACACGCCGAAAGCTGCTGAATTCTAGTCCAGGCAACTCCCGCAAGAAGTCCACTCCAGGTAGAAATCTATAATCACAGAAACAAGGCACACTGGCCTCAGGTAACTATGATGCTGTGATAAATACATATTTGGCCTTGTCCCTGCTTCCCAGCACACGACTCCTAAAACCCTGGACTCTCTGCAGTGGTGACAGTCTTTTGTGTGCTCATGAGATGGTTGCAGACCCCTAAATAGCTTCAGGATGAAGACCAAGGTACAATTAGGGGATTGATCAGAGGCACAGGCCACAACCTGGACTTGCCATTGGCATCCAAAGGGTTGGGGAGCTTCTTGTGGGACTGAGCCCTCACTGGGGGGGGGGGGTGGGGGGGGGGTGGGGGCGGTCTGAGGCTCACCCCAGGTGAACAGCATCAGTATGGAGTTAAATTAGAGGACGCCCAGCTGCTTTCTGCTGCAGAGCTGCCTGCTGGTGGGGAGAAACCCACACACATCTAATGTCAGAAGCGTTGTGATGGCTGCATGACAGTAGGAAAAACACTTTGGTTTTGTCCTGTAACCTTACAATGAAAAAAATCTCTCTGGTCTGCAACAGCTCAAACGTCAGGTCAACTGAAAAATAAGAACATGAGCAACAAAAGAAAAAAACGTAAAACTGGACTTCATCGAAATTGAAAAACTTTGTGCATCAAATCAACCAGATGGTCTCAGAGGCCTGCAGCTCCTGTGGCCAGGAGCCTTGGCCAGGCCCTCTCAGCTGTGTCACTGGGGGACATTGGGCTGGATGTTTCTTTCTAAGGCAAGGGTGGGGCTGTCTGTGCACTGTGGGCAGGGCTGTCTGCACCGTGGGAGGGGCTGCGGGATACACTGTGGGTGGGGCTGCCTATGCACCCTGGAAGGGGCTGTGGGATATACCATAGGCGGGGCTGTCTGCACTGTGGGCAGGACTGTCTGCACTGTGGGTGGAGCTGTCTGTGCACTGCGGGTGGGCCTGTAGGATACACTGTGGGGAGGGCTGTGGGATACACTTTGGGCGGGCCTGTCTGTGCACTGTGGGCAGGGCTATCTGTACTGTGGGTGGGGCTGTCTGTGCACTGTGGGCAGGGCTGTCTGTGCACTGTGGGCAGGACTGTCTGCACTGTGGGCAGAGCTGTCTGTGTGCTGCGGGTAGGGCTGTAGGATACACCGTGGGCGGGGCTGTGGGATACACTTTGGGCAGGCCTGTCTGTGCACCGTGGGCAGGGCTATCTGTACTGTGGGTGGAGCTGTCTGTGCACTGTGGGCAGGACTGTCTGCACTGTGGGCAGAGCTGTCTGTGCGCTGCTGGTGGGGCTGTAGGATACACTGTGGGCGGGGCTGTAGGAATACACTGTGGGCGGAGCTGTCTGTGCACTGTGGGCGCGGCTGTCTGTGCACTGTGGGCAGGGTTGTGGGATGCACTGTGGACGGGGCTATCTGCATTGTGGGCAGGGCTGTGGAATGCACTGTGGGCGGGGCTGTTTGCACTGTGGGCGGGGCTATGGGATGCACTGGGGTCCTGGGCAGTGTCCCTGGTCCACTCACCAGATGCCAGAAGCATGCCCCACCCTTGTTATGACAAAAATGACTCCAGACATTACCAGTGCTTCCTGGGGGTAAACACTGCCCCCACTGAGGGCCACCCCAGCGTCCTACCTGCACGATAAAGGGATGCAGCCCATGGCACTGGTCCCCTGGCACACACAGCTTAGCAAACACCACCGCGTGAGTGGCTGTCTTGCCCATGTTGCCAACCCAAAACTTGGCAGCTTCGAAATCAGGGGAATGTATGATGAATTCCTGCACAAGGGAAAATTTAGGTTAGTTATAATTAGCAACTAAAGCACATGCAGAATTGGTGTTTTCCTTTTAGACAGATTCCATTTTCTACGTTCAAAATCTCTGAGGCAAGAGTTGAAACTAATCGCACATTTTAGTTCTTGTATGGCACAGGCAGGCCTATTTTTTAAACACAGCCTATTCCTGGGCCTTATGACTTAAAGAACCTTCAGATGCAAAATACTCCGCAGGCTGGCAAACGCTTCCAGGGAGTTTTCATTATCATATAGTCTTCAGTCCCTAACCACGCCCCTTAGGTAGAAACACTGTGGATACACTGTGGGCGGAGCTGTCTGTGCACTGTGGGCGGGGCTGTCTGTGCCCTGTGGGCAGGGCTGTGGGAATGCCGTGCAGTCCACTCAGTTCTTTAGGACCTCTAATTCACAACACACTGCTGCCCCCTTGCTGTCTCTCCCATCCACAGCTCCGTGATTGACAGTTATATCCCAAATGCCCCGAGCACAAGGCAGCCGCTCAGAACATCAGAAGGAAGGAAGGAAGGAACGCATGCGTGAACTAGCAGATGGGCTGTGGCATCACAGCGTTCGGTGTTTGGCTAGAAGGGGTGTGGACAGATCCCCAAGGAACACTGAGGGTGCTGCATGGGTCAGAAGCGAAGAGCACGTGGGAACAGGCAGGAGCTGGGCCGCTGGGGCTGGGCCTGCCCCAGGGGCGTCTGCTGGGAGCCCTTCGAGTAAGGCTGGGAGGGAGGATGCGGACCAGCAGTGCTGCATAATGTGGCCGGGATCCGCAAGGGGACAAAGATGAGCGCCTTCAGGCAGACAGCCCGCAGGTGGCCCACAGAGCTGCCCTGGGCCGCCTCGGGAGACACTGATCCTCCACGCGGAGCTTGCCAGTCACTGCTAGGGGCTGTCGTGGCTAAGTTTTGGTTCTGGTTCCAGCCCCTGCAGGGTGGGAGGCTACAAAATAACGTGCCGGGGAGGGCTTCCTCCTGTCTAACCAGTGGGATTCTGTAAACAGAGTAGTGAACAATCATCCTATAGATCCTGAAGTTTCACTGAGGAGAAGTAGGAGGTGGGGTGGCTGCCAGCCATGCCTTCTGTTCTCTTCTCTCAGGGGACCACCAGCTCTTCGCCTGCGAGGGTAAGGAGGGCTCCCAGTCTCAGCCAGGCCCTCCCCATTCATTCTTCAGCACGCGGCAGTTCTGATACCTCCACCTGTCACTCATTCTCCGCAGTGCAGGTGTGCACTGCAACACCGGCCCAAGCCGGCTCCTCGGGGCCTGCACTGCTCCACACAGATCTTTCCCACTGTCTCGACTGTCTGGCTGCCTCCCTGCGCCCCGGCATACCAGCTTTGCTCTCTGGAGGGCCTCCATGGTGCCCAGCACATCTCACTTCTTTCTGTTGGTGTCTGTGTCTCCCCCCAGCCCACAACTTCAGGACAGCAGAGACCTGTCTGCTGTGCTCGCCACTTCCAGCCCAGTCTTGGAAAGCTGTGCCTCACACACAACAGGTACCCAGCAATGCCTGCTGTCCAAATAAATGCTCAGCCAGCAGCCCAGCCTGGATCCTGGGCACCCCAACTCTACGGATCTGATGCCACACTCTGACCTCCACTTAGGGATCAAATGCCAAAAAGAAGGAGGTGGAAATGGGAAGTGGTCCTCTGATGCCCCACCCCAAGGCTACCTGGGTGCTGTTGTCCATCTGCCTGTCAGAAAGGGCCCCACCTCCTGGCACTGCAGGCCACAGGCAAAGAGGACAGCAGGAGGAGAAGCAGCCATGGGGCCAGAAAGACCTGGGTTCAGATAAAGATATCTTATGGCTTAAAAGAAAATTCTGAAAAGAACCTCATGCCCTACTTTCTCCTAGCCCCACTCTGAGAAGGAGCCTTGGCCCCACTCCCAAGGCCCCACAGCAGGGGCACCCTGTGCGAGGACCACCTCTTATCCCTGCTGGGCTACGGGTCCGCTTGAGTTCATTCCTGGGCTCTTCCATGCAGTACCCCAGGCACAGTCCACACAGCCCAGGCTGTGGAATGAATGGATGGATGAAAGAATGAATGGATGGATGGAAGAATGAATGGATGGATGGAAGAATGAATGGATGGATGGAAGAATGAATGGATGGATGAGAGAATGAATGGATGGATGGAAGGATGAATGGATGGATGGAAGAATGAATGGACAGATGGAAGAATGAATGGATGGATGAAAGAATGATGGATGGATGACTGGTTGAGCACATCCGCAGGTGCAGAGCTTCACTTCCTGCCACACAACAGTCCTCCCTGACCACTGCCAATGGGGGAGGGTGGAAGGCGGGTGAGGAAAGACTGGCAGGGAGACCTAGGCCTCAGGGACAAGCGGAGGCCAAGGAGAGTCATGTGGTGGCAGGGAGGCAGGGCCAGGGAACAGAACAGGGTGGGTGAGGACCCTCCCCATCCTCCCTCGCTGCCCTGCGCCCCTCCACAGCACTGATAGCCCTAGGGCATCCATCTGTGGCCCATCTCCCTCCACCCCTGTGCCCCTCCACAGCACTGAGAGCCCCAGGGCATCCATCTGTGGCCCATCTCCCTCCAACCCGCACCCCTCCACAGCACTGACAGCCCCAGGGCATCCATCTGTGGCCTGTCTCACTGCACCCCTGCACCCCTCCACAGCACTGACAGCCCCAGGGCATCCATCTGTGGCCTATCTCCCTCCACCCCGCACCCCTCCTCAGCACTGACAGCCCCAGGGCATCCATCTGTGGCCCATCTCACTGCACCCCTGCGCCCCTCCACAGCACTGACAGCCCCACGGCATCCATCTGTGGCCCATCTCCCTCCACCCCTGCACCCCTCCATAGTACTGACAGCCCCAGGGCATCCATCTGTGGCCCATCTCCCTCCACCCCGCACCCCTCCACAGCACTGACAGCCCCAGGGCATCCGTGTCCCGTCTCACTGCACCCCTGCGCCCCTCCACAGCACCGACAGCCCCAGGGCATCCATCTGTGGCCCATCTCCCTCCACCCCTGTGCCCCTCCACAGCACTGACAGCCCCAGGGCATCCATCTGTGGCCCGTCTCACTGAACCCCTGCGCCCCTCCACAGCACTGACAGCCCCAGGGCATCCATCTGTGGCCCATCTCCCTCCACCCCGCAACCCTCCATGCACCCCTCCATGCACTGACAGCCCCAGGGCATCCATCTGTGTCCCGTCTCACTGCACCTCTGCGCCCCTCCACAGCACTGACAGCCCCAAGGCATCCATCTGTGGCCCATCTCCCTCCACCCCTCCACCCCTCCACAGCACTGACAGCCCCAGGGCATCCATCTGTGGCCCGTCTCACTGCACCCCGTGCCCCTCCACAGCACTGACAGCCCCAGGGCATCCATCTGTGGCCCGTCTCACTGCACCACACCAGAACTCCCAGGCAGCAGCCACAATGCAGGTACCAGAGAGGTCAAGAGGATGGCAAGGACCCGAGGAGTCAGACTGCGGTGGCGGAAATGGACAAGGCAGGCTCTTCGCAGAGGGACAGCCACAAAGGGCAGAGGGCAGGGAGCATGTTGTCTCCATGGGGCCCACCGTAGAAACCACGGGCCATGAGAACGGTTTATGAATCCACTACGCATAGGCAGCCAGGTAAACAAGGCAATAAATTTTACAGAATGAGGGCTTCTTCACTGCACTCAAATTACACACAAATCCAAACCACGATCAATTCCCCATAAAGTTCATGGTGGGCACAGGCTTTGTCCTCCAATGCCTGATCTCCTGGGCCCCACTTTTCAGTGTGATGAATCTCAGTGGGTATTTCTACACAAGTGTATGTGGACAGGCCTCTTGCTTTAATGTTTTTTTTTTCTTATTCTGGGCAACGGCATTTGCACTCATGACGTCTCATATGCTCCAAACTCAGGGACCCGGGGGAAGGTAATACCTACCTCAGTGGCAGGATCGTAGTGGGCAGTTGTGCGAATGGCCTTGGTATTACTGCCGTGGCTTAATTCGGTCAGAGCAAAACATCCAAAAATCTAAATGTCAAAGCACAAAATGATGGAAAGCAAGAAAAGTTCTTTGTGCACATTCCCAGAAGGACCTCACTGCCATCTTTCCTTTAAAGATGAAACCACATATCAAAGCCCCAAATTTCCATCTACCCAACTAGTGACTTGACTGAGTCATGCTGCCACACTCAGCTGGCAACCACAGCAGCCTAAACCAAGCTGACCGCAGCTGCTCCACGTCAGCAAGGTGGCAGGAACTGCTCATCAGGAAAAGACAGTGGAAGGCCTCAGTGACAATTCACCTGGTGCTAGGAAGTCAATGTGCCTGTGTTTGCTAAAGAACAGTGCTAGCTATTTGGTGAGAAGCCTGAGAACACTAGGAAACAAGAAGAGCATAAGCCCCCTGGGCACCCCCTTCTACAATCTTCTCTTTTCACAAATCTCTACAGAGATCAAGCAAGAGAACCAGGCTCACAATTTACCATGAACCAGAACTTACCTCCATCCTGAAGATCTTTTGAATATATGTGAGATGTCTTTCAGAACCAGAACTGTAAACTGCTGATCCAAAAACCTGAAAGTATAACATCGTCCTATCAACAGGGGGCAGGTAAGAAGAGTACTGCTCTTCCGGAACATCACAACAGACAACGGCACTCAACACCATGCCCACGCTGGTTCCCTGCCACACTGCACTTTCCCCAAGGTGGAGAACAAGTGCTGAGAGGTTAGCCAGCAGCCTGGATGCCCAAGGCCAGGGTCTCCTGACACACAGCTGCCCCGGGTCCCTGAGTTCATGTGAGTGGTAAGACCTACATCTCTGTGCCGAGCACCTTGTATAAGGCACACAGAAATCACCTGGGAATTAAGATGCCTGCAAGGAGTCCTGGGGGTCTGAGGACAGCAGGGAGAGCTGTAAGGAGAGCAGAGCCCACCAGCCCATCAAACAATGCAGGCAAGGCTAAGGGCAAAGCCATTTTGCCCAAGCTCAGCTCTGCTGGTATGTTACAAAGGAAGGAAAAACACAGGTTTCTCCCTTTGGCCTACTTTTTAAATTTTTTTATTTTTTTTTTAATCATTTGTCTCTTTTTTTGTATGAGGTAAAAAAAAAAAAAGTCCCAACAGCTCCTCTTCTGATGGGACTTGAAGCTTCACCACATTGTATTTTATTCAAGGACTTATGGGTGCAAATTTACAAATACATGATGGTGGATGGGCTTGAAAATAAAAAAATGAAAAGGGGGACTGAAATTTTTTTAAAAACATTAAAAAAAAGATAATTTTTAAAATTTGCAAATATAGCTGGACAAACTGGTGTTTCTCTGCCTCTTGGTTGGCCCTGGGACAGGCATCCCTCAAGGCTCAGCGCAGCATGAAAGCCGTTTCCCTCTCCCCTAGGCCGCATGCTCACCAAGCTATGGAGGAGGTACTTGGCAGCCAGAGAAGAGTCATACATGCCCAGGCACTGAATCAAGGCGGGGACCTTCAGAGGGCTCTTGAACATGTCTTCGACACTGAGGAAGTCATACTCGAAGATCCGCTTGCATCGAAGGAAGTTCAGCTCGCGATACTTCTCCAAGGACAGATCGGCTCCAGGGGAACGAGCGAAAAGAGGGTCATTCTCAAGAGCTGAGAAGATGGTTTTCTGGAAATGCAGGAGATGGGTAAGGCTTATTTGGAGTAAAAGATGGACTCTCCATGTGCCCTTATATAGTTGACCTCCAGGCCACAGGCTTCATGGGACACAGTCTGACCCGGAGACACCCAGACAGAGATATGACTATCATTCCCAATGGACTAGAGGACTGGAGGCTTAAGAAACATCAACAATCCGTGTTCATTTCCAGACTCCTCATCAATTCCCTGAGGCCTGTCCTGGGGTGCAGAGAGGAGAGAGGCCGCGCTGCCTGGGATGAGCCTCGCCCGGCAGAGGAGGAGCTGTGAGAGCCAGAAATCCCATTCTGCTAACGAACTAAGACCCCACTGGGAAAAAAGACAAGCTGCGCACAACCGCACGCCTCACCTTAAAGCGGAGCATGCCCTCCCCTTCCGTGAACAGCGCCAGCTCCTTCCAGCTGAAGGACGCTCTTGCTCGGTAGGCATCGAGGGGCCCCCTGGGGAATTCTGGGAGCAGAGCTGTGTCGCCTCCTTCCACAGTGGATGCCATCGCGTGATAAGAGCCTGCACAAAACATGCAACCTGAATCCATGCTCTCCCATCTATGGGTTCAAACTACCCCCACCAACAGGAGAGCCCGCAACACCTTACAAATCAGAGAAAAGTAAACTTGAAATCCAAAAGGATGGCAAAAGAGAATCACTCTGTGAATGGCTAGCATCATTTTCCCAGAAGAAAAGGCGAGAAGAATTCCCTCGTCCACTCCTGAACACAGATGCCAAGGACACAGAAGAGAGCCAGGCACAGCCTGGGGGTCACCAGGCACACAGGGCAGAGGGTTTGTCAGAGTCTTGTTTTCTGTCACACAGCCTTGCCTGAGAGTACCCTGCCCTCTTGGGAGCACCCCGGACATCCAGACTCATCCCCAAGGCTCACTAAACCCAGGGTCAGGAAGCATTCCCTCTGGAATCCAGCCAGTGCCAGCTGGTCCACTCTGGCCACACACAATGGTACCTCACGTCTCCACCCACCGCCGGTCCACCTGGACACAGGGCCTCCAGCACAGAACCTCTGATCACAGGCTTCTGCACTGGCTTCTCCTCGACATATAGACACCTGGCTTCCCGCTAACACAGCAGGCCTCCCAAAACTCAGCTCTCTTGACCAAATAACCATTCTGGAATTTTCTGGATAGACTGGGTCCTTTTCCAAGTGGCTTGGCTGATGAAGGCATTGAAGGGAATGGCTGGTGAACCCAAGTCTGTCTGAGTCCTGGGCGTGGGCCGCCCACCTTCACTGTTTAAGGCCTAGAGGAAAGAGGAACTTTTGAGTCCTTTGAGCTGAAACAGCCTGCGGTGCTGGAGCCTGAGTCTGGCCGCTCAGGATGCTGACTCCCCTCTGTGCAGGGAGGTGGGAGCCGCAGGTCTGAGCACCTGTTGGTGGGCGGCGGCAGGAATCCTGCCTTCTATAGTCTTATCTTATTTCACCCTCCAACAGCTGTGAGCCAAGTACTACTGCCCCCCATGAAAGATGGAGAAACGGAAGCTCAGAGAGGCTGTGTTTCCCAAACCCCCTCCGCTGAGAAGTGGGGAGAAGGGCTCCAAGCCCAGCAATGTCTAACCTCAGAGTCATGCCTTTCAAGTACCACCTTAAGACACTGGAAAAGAAACACAAAGTAAACTTAAATTATTTCCTTCCTTCTTAAAGCAGAAGGAAGAAAATAATAAAAGATAGAGCAACTGTGAATGAAACAGAGAACAGAAAAATAGAGAAAAATCAATAAACGATCAAGTTGGTTCCTTGCAAAGACTGACACAATTGGCAAACTTTCAGCTAGACTGGCCAAATAAAAAGGAGAAAACACAAATTCCTCATCAGGAATCAAAGACGGGACATCACCACTGACCCTAAAGAAATAAAAAGGATTATAAGGGAATATTGTGAACCATGGTATGCCAACAAATGATATGAAGTGGTCATATTCCTGGGAAGACACAGCTAACAAAACTGCCTTATGAAAAACTGAAAATCTGAACAGATCTATAATGACTGAAGAGATTGAATTAGCAATCAATAAACTGTCCACGAAGAAAAACCAGGGGTTCCATTGTGAATTCTGCCAAACATTTAAAGAAGATCAATTATTCAAGCTCTTCCCAAAAACAGAAGAGAAGATAATACTTCCCAACTCATTCTATGAGGCCAGTATTACTTTGACACCAAAACCAGACAAAGACATCACAAGAGAACTAGAAATAAACATCTCTTGTAATACAGATGCAAAAATCCTGAATGAAATTTTATAAACTGAATCCAGCAACATATAAAAAAGATTATATGTGCCAGGCATGGTGGCACATGGCTGTAATCCCAGCTACTCAGGAGGCTGAGGCAGGAGAATCGCTTGAACCTGGGAGACAGAAGTTGCAGTGAACCAAGATTGCACCACTGCATTCCAGCCTGGGTGACAGAGCGAGACTCCATCTCAAAAAAAAAAAAAAAAAAAAATTCTTAAGACTCAATAATAAAATGACAAAAAACCAATTAAAAAATGGGCAAAGGGTTCAAATAGACATTTCTCCAAAGACAGACAAATGGCCAAAAAATACAGGAAAGGCCAGGCACGCTCACACCTGTAATCCCTTTGGGAGGCCGAGACGGGCGGATCACCTGAGGTCAGGAGTTTGAGACCAGCCTGGCCAACACGGTGAAACCCCATCGCTACTGAAAATACAAAAATTAGCTGGGCATGGTGGCGCATGCTTGTAATCCCAGATGCTCAGGAGGCTGAGGCAGGAGAATCGGTTGAACCGGGAGGCAGAGGCTGCAGTGAGCTGAGATTGTGCCATTGCACTCTAGCCTGGGCAACAAGAATGAAACTCGGTCTCAAAGAAAACAAAACAAACAAACAACAACAACAACAAAAACACAGAAAAATATGGTCAACATCATTAGCCACCAGGAAAATGCAAACCAAAAACCCAATGAGAGACCACTTCACATCCACTAGGATGGCAATGAGCAAAAAGATACTAAAATACTAAATGCCGGCTATAGTGGCACGTGCCTGTGGTCCCAGCTACTCTGGGGAGGCTAAGGCAGGAGGACAGCTTGAGCCCAGGAGTTTGAGACCAGCCTGGGTGATACAGCAAGACCTTATCTCTTAAAGAACCAGATAAATAGGCCAGGCGCAGTGGCTCATGCCTGTAATCCCAGCACTTTGGGAGGCCCAGACAGGTGGATCATGAGGTCAGGAATTCAAGACCAGCCTGGCCAACATGGTGAAACCTCATCTCTACTAAAAATACAAAAAAATTAGCCGGGCATGGTGGCAGGTGCCTATAGTCCCAGCTACTTGGGAGGCTGAGGCAGAGAATTACTTAAACCCGGGAGGCAGAGATTGCAGTAGCCTAGATTGCGCCACTGCACTCCAGCCTGGGTGACAGAGTGAAACTCTGTCTCAAAAAAAAAAAGAAAAAAAGAAAAAAGAAACAGAAAAATAATCACAAGTATTGAGAGGATGTGGAGAAATCAGACTCTCATGCCCTTCCAGTGAAAATGTAAAGTGACCCAGCCATTCTGGAGAACAGTGTGGCAGTTCCACAAGTGATTAAACATGGAGTGACCACATGACTCAGCAATTCCACTCTGAGGTATGTACGCAAGAGAACCGAAAACATCACGTCCTCAATGTGTGCAAGGCTCCCCGATTCACACCTCCAGACTCGTGAGCTCATTTGGCAGTCAACGGCAATTCCCCACCTCTCATGTTCTGGAGATGCCCATACTGAGTGTTCAACACTGAATTCAGCCTCTCAGCCCTGACCCAGCTTCGCCTCCTGCACCCCAGTTCCACACTGCCAGTCACCCAAGGATTACTGGAATTACAAACCCCAGTGTCATGTTGGAATTCCCCTCTCCATGCGCCATAACCTCAGTACATTACCAAGTCCACAGTGCATCTCTAACACCTTACGGAATCTTCTCATTTCTCTCCAGCCTGATAAAACCCTCATAACAACCTCCAGTTACTGAGCTGGTGCTGTGTGCAGGTGACTGTGTTAAGCAGCTACATAGACCTCAACTGTGCCCACCAAGCCCAAGTACTATCAGTAGTCTCCTTTTCCAGGTGAGGAAACTGGAGCTTCTTAGAGACATTGACCATGGTCATACAACTATTATCAAGCACAGCTGGCTCCAAATCCCCAGATCCTAACAAGTACCTATGGGCCCATGCCACTTGAAGTCACCAACCTTACTGCATTATGGTACAACTGTTAGAGATAAGGATTGTGAAGCCAGACTGTCTGGGTTCAAATCTCAATGTTACAGCTTTCTAGCTGGGTGACCTTCCTAAGATCTGTGCACCTTGGGGGTGATAATACAGTGATGCTGAGAGACAGGACTAGCTGGATTTCCAAGGCTGACTAAGAATTCCTAAGCCTAGCTGGGGAAGGTGACCACACCCACCTTTAAACATGGGGCTTGTAACTCAGCTCACACCAGACCAATCAGGTAGTAAAGAGAGCTCACTAAAATACCAATTAGGCTAAAAACAGGAGGTAAAGAAATAATTAAATCACCTATCCCCTGAGAGCACAGGGGGAGGCACAATGATCAGGATATAAACCCAGGCATTCGAGCCAGATCAGGCAACGCCCTTTGGGTACCCCCCCGTTGAATGGGAGCTCTGTTTTCACTCTATTAAATCTTGCAACTGCACACTCTTCTGGTCCATGTTTGTTCCAGCTCGAGCTGAGCTATCACTTGCTGTCCACCACTGCTGATCATCGCCATCGCAGACCCACCACTGACTTCCACCCCTCCGGATCCAGCAGGGTGTCCACTGAGCTTCTGATCCAGTGAGGCACCCATTGCTGCTCCCAATCGGGCTAGAGGCTCACCATTGTTCCTGCATGGCTAAGTGCCTGGGTTCGTCCTAATTGAGCTGAACACTAGTCCCTGGGTTCCACAGTTCTCTTCCATGACCCACGGCTTCTAATAGAGCTATAACACTCACCGCATGGCCCAAGGTTCCATTCCTTGGAATCCGTGAGGCCAAGAACCCCAGGTCAGAGAGCAAGAGGTTTGCTGCCATTTTGGAAGCGGCCCACCACCATCTTGGGAGCTCTGGGAGCAAACACTCATCGGTAACATTTGCTGGGCTCGTATGGGGATTCTCCAAAGCGGTGAGTAATATTGAACCACTTTCACTTGCTATTCTGTCCTACCCTTCCTTAGAATTGGAGGAAAATACTGGGCACCTGTTGGCTGGTTAAAAATGATTAATGTGGCCACCGGACTTAAGACTCAGGTGTGAGGCTTTCTGGGAAAAGGCTTTCTAACAATCCCCAACCCTTTTGGGTTGGGAGCATTGGTCTGCCTGGAACCAGCTTCCACTTTTACAGTTTTCTTGGGGAAGCAGAGGGCTGACTAGAGGCAGAAAGCTGTCGTCCCAAATTCCCGGCATTGGCCGGTCAAGATCATGGCGCAGCCAGAAGTCTCTACTCAACAGTTGCCCATGCGTGCACCCCTATCTCTCCTTCTGGCCCATACCTCCTGGGTCCTAACCATGACTTTCTTGAAAGTGTAGCCCCAAAATTCTCCTTACCTCTGAATCTACTTCCTCTGATCCCTGCCTCCTAGGTACTAATGCTTCAGACTCACTTCCTCTCCCAAGTATTAGAGCAAGTTGTATCTCCAAAGGGATCTAAGGAAGCTCTACGCTGTGTCCTTAAGCACCTAGGGTATGAACCCAGGGAGTCTTGTCCCTGGTGTCCCTCCCAATTTAGATATACAGCTCTCGACATGGGAAGTTATGTGGGACCTACCACCCTTGCCAGGGCCCCAAGTTTGTAAATGGCTAGGAGGATTGCTCTCCCATTGTGTAAGATGCTCTCCTCCCCCAATTTCTA
The DNA here is from genome assembly GCF_000001405.40 of Homo sapiens. Taxonomy (NCBI): domain Eukaryota; kingdom Metazoa; phylum Chordata; class Mammalia; order Primates; family Hominidae; genus Homo; species Homo sapiens. Next base: position 8,421,887 of record NC_000004.12, read on the forward strand.
CCCAGCTTACCTCCCCCACTGCAATACAATCTCTAAGCCTAGACTCCTTGGCCAGGGCCTTAGAATTGATGACCCAGTACTTTAACAACTGGAACTGTGTCTACGACAACAGAATAGATCAGGAAGAAAGCGAATTGAGTAAATTAAAGGGAGGCGCATATTCCTATAGAGGCAAATGGGGGCAACGAGCGAACATTCTTCCGCTGTGTTCCCAAAATCCATCTATCAAGAGAGAGAATGAGAGGGAAAGAGAAACAGAGAGAGAAAGGAAAGAGAGAGAGAAGAGAGAGAAAGAAAGAGAGAGGGGGGAAGAAAGGCAGAAAGTCAAAGAGAAAGAGAGAGACAGTCAAAGAGAGAAAGAAAGAGAGAGATATATAAGTAGTTAAGAAAAAAACAGTGTACCCTATTCCTTTAAAAGCCAGGGTAAATTTAAAACCTATAATTGATAATTGAAGGTCTTCTCTATGACCCTATAACACTCCAATACCACTTTGTTGTCAGTTAAACAGTGTAATGCAAACATTAGGAAAAAAACTTCAAAAGTCCACCTTAGGCCCAGAGCAAAACATAGAAACTCTAATGAACTTGGCAACCTCGGTTTTTTTCACAATAGAGATCAGGAGGAGCAGGCAGAACAGGACAAACGGGCCCTCAGGCAAGCAGAAGTTCACTTCTTGCCCCCATTTGCCACTATAGGAATATGCACCTCCCTTTAATTTACTCAATTCGCTTTCATCCTGATCTATTGTGTTGTTGTAGGCATAGCTCCAGTTGTTAAAGTACTGGGTCATCAGTTCTAAGGCCCTGGCCAAGGAGCCAAGGCTTGGAGATTGTATCGCAGCAGGGGAGGTAAGCTGGGTAGAAATTGGGGGAGGAGAGCATCTTACTTTGGAGGCTCTGGAAAAGGGAAACGCTGGGCAAATCAAATGCCTGATAGGGCTTGCTTCCAGTGTGGTCTACAAGGACACTTTAAAAAAGATTGTCTGAATAGAAATAAGCTGCCCCTCATCCATGCCCCTCATGTCAAGGGAATCACTGGAAGGCCCACTGCCCCAGGGGATGAAGGTCCTTTCAGTCAGAAGCCACTAACCAGATAAGCCAGCAGCAGGACTGAGGGTGCCCGGGGCAAGCGCCAGCCCATGCCCCAGGTATGCTTGACCATTGGGGGCCAGAAGGTTAACTGTCTCCTGAACACTGGCATGGCCTTCTCAGTCTTAGTCTCTGGTCCTGGACAACCGTCCTCCAGATCTGTCACTACCCGAGGGGTCCTAGGATAGGCAGTCACTAGATACTTCTCCCAGCCACTAAGTTGTGACTGGGGAACTTCATTCTTTTCACTTGCCTTTCTAATTATGCCTGAAACCCCCACACCCTTGTTAGGGAGATACATTCTAGCAAAAGCAGGGGCCATTATACACCTGAACATGGGAGAAGGAACACCGTTTGCTGTCCCCTACTTGAGGAAGGAATTAATCCTGAAGTCTGGGCAACAGAAGGACAATATGGATGAGGGAAGAATGCCCGTCCCGTTCAAGTTAAACTAAAGGATTCCGCCTCCTTTCCCCACCAAAGGCAGTACCCTCTTAGACCCGAGGCCCAACAAGGACTCCAAAAGATTGTTAAGGACCTAAAAGCCCAAGGCCTAGTAAAACCATGCAATAGCCCCTGCAATACTCCAATTTTAGGAGTACAGAAACCCAATGGACAGTGGAGGTTAGTGCAAGATCTCAGGATTATCAATGAGGCTGTTGTTCCTCTATACCCAGCTGTACCTAATCTTATACTCACTCTGCTTTCCCAAATACCAGAGGAAGCAGAGTGGTTTACAGTCCTGGACCTTAAGGATGCCTTTTACTGCATCCCTGTACATCCTGACTCTCAATTCTTGCTTGCCTTTGAAGATCCTTTGAATCTAATGTCTCAACACACCTGGACTGTTTTACCCCAAGGGTTCATGGACAGCCCCCATCTATTTGGCCAGGCATTAGCCCGAGACTTGAGCCAGTTCTCATACTTGGGCACTCTTGTCCTTCGGTATGCGGATGATTTACTTTTAGCCACCCATTCAGAAACCTTGTGCCATCAAGCCACCCAAGTGCTCTTAAACTTCATGGCCACCTGTGGCTACAAGGTTTCCAGACCAAAGGCTCAGCTCTGCTCACAGCAGGTTAAATACTTAGGGCTAAAATTATCCAGACACACCAGGGCCCTCAGTGAGGAATGCATCCAGCCTATACTGGCTTATCCTTATCCCAAAACCATAAAGCAATTAAGAGGGTTCCTTGGCATAACAGGCTTCTGCCGAATATGGATTCCCAGGTACAGTGAAATAGCCAGGCCATTATACACACTAATTAAGGAAACTCAGAAAGTGAATACCCATTTAGTAAGAAGGACACCTGAAGCAGAAGTGGCTTTCCAGGCCCTAAAGAAGGCCCTAATCCAAGCCCTAGTGTTAAGCTTGCCAAAGGGGCAAGACTTTTCTTTATGTGTCACAGAAAAAACAGGAATAGCTCTAGGATTCCTTACACAGGTCCGAGGGACCAGGTTGCAACCCATGGCATACCTGAGTAAGGAAACTGATGTAGTGGCAAAGGGTTGGCCTCATTGTTTATGGGTAATGGCAGCAGTAGCAGTCTTAGTATCTGAAGCAGTTAAAATGATACAGGGAAGAGATCTTACTGTGTGGATGTCTCATGATGTGGACGGCATACTCACTGCTAAAGGAGACTTACGGCTGTCAGACAACCGTTTGCTTAAATATCAGGCTCTATTACTTGAAGGGCCAGTGCTGCGACTGCGCACTCGTGCAACTCTTAATCCAGCCACATTTCTTCCAGACAATGAAGAAAAGATAAAACATAACTGTCAACAGGTGATTGCTCAAACCTACGCCGCTCGAGGGGACCTTCTAGAGGTTTCCTTGACTGATCCCGACCTCAACTTGTATACTGACGGAAGTTCCTTTGTAGAAAAACGACTTCGAAAAGCAGGGTATGCAGTGGTCAGTGATAATGGAATACTTGAAAGTAATCCCCTCACTCCAGGAACTAGCGCTCAGCTGGCAGAACTAATAGCCCTCACTCAGGCACTAAAATTAGGAGAAGGAAAAAGGGTAAATATATACACAGACTCTAAGAATGCTTACCTAGTCCTCCATGCCCATGCAGCAATATGGAGAGAAAGGGAATTCCTAACTTCCGAGGGAACACCTATCAAATCTCAGGAAGCCATTAGGAGATTACAATTGGCTGTACAGAAACCTAAAGAGGTGGCAGTCTTACACTGCCGGGGTGATCAGAAAGGAAAGGAAAGAGAAATAGAAGGGAACCGCGAAGCAGATACTGAAGCCAAAAGAGCCGCAAGGTGGGACCCTCCATTAGAAATGCTTATAGAAGGACCCCTAGTATGGGGTAATCCCCTGTAGGAAACCAAGCCCCAGTACTCAAAAGAAATAGGATGGGGAACCTCACGAGGACATAGTTTCTTCCCCTCAGGATGGCTAGCCACCGAAGAAGGAAAAATACTTTTGCCTGCAGCTAACCAATTGAAATTACTTAAAACCCTTCATCAGACCTTTCACTTAGGCATTGATAGCACCTATCAGACGGCCAAATCATTATTAACTGGATCAGGACTTTTCAAAACTATCAAGCAGATAGTCAGGGCCTATGAAGTGTGGCAAAGAAATAATCCCCTGCCTTATCGCCAAGCTCCTTCAGGAGAACAAAGAACAGGCCATTACCCAGGAGAAGACTGGCAACTAGATTTTACCCACATGCCCAAATCTCAGGGATTTCAGTATCTACTAGTCTGGATAGATACTTTCACTGGTTGGGAGGAGGCCTTTCCTTGTAGGACAGAAAAGGCCGAAGACGTAATAAAGGCACTAATTCATGAAATAATTCCCAGATTCGGACTTCCCTGAGACTTACAGAGTGACAATGGCCCCGCTTTCAAGGCTGCAGTAACCCAGCGAGTATCGCAGACGTTACTTAGGCATACAATATCACTTACACTGCGCCTGGAGGCCACAATCCTCAGGGAAGGTCGAGAAAATGAACGAAACACTCAAACAACATCTAAAAAAGCTAACTCAGGAAACCCACCTCGCATGGCCTGCTCTGTTGCCCATAGCCTTATTAAGAATACAAAACTCCCCCCAAAAAGCAGGACTTAGCCCATACGAAATGCTGTATGGACAGCCCTTCCTAACCAATGACCTTGTGCTTGACCGAGAGACGGCCAATTTAGTTGCAGACATCACCTCCTTAGCCAAATATCAACAAGTTCTTAAAACATTACAGGGAACCTGTACCCGAGAGGAGGGAAAGGAATTCCACCCTGGTAACATGGTATTAGTCAAGTCCCTTCCCTCTAAGTCCCCACCCCTAGATACATACTGGGAAGGACCCTACCCAGTCATTTTATCTACCCTGAGTGCAGTTAAAGTGTCTGGAGTGGAGTCTTAGACACATCAAACCCTGGATACCGCCAAAGGAACCCAAAAATTCAGGAGACAACGCTAGCTATTCCTGTGAACCTCTAGAGGATCTGCACCTGCTCTTCAAGCGACAACTGCGAGGAAAGTAACTGGAATCGTAGAGCTCCATGGCCCCCCCCGTCATATTTTTCTCTTTACTGTTGTCTTACCCCCCTTTCACTATCACCTCACCCCCTCCATGCCGCTATACTACCAGTAGCTCCCCTTACCAAGAGCTTCTATGGAGAATGCGGCTTCCCAGAAATATTGATGCCCCATTGTATAGGAGTTTTTCTAAAGGAAACCCCACTTTCACCATCCACACCCATATGCCCCTGCACTTCGGGCCACACATTTCAATCCCTGTATCTTTAACCTCCTTGTTAAGTTTGTCTCTTCCAGAATCAAAGCTGTGAAACTACAAATGTTCTTCAAATGGAGCCCCAGATGCAGTCCATGACTAAGATCTACCGTGGACCCCTGGACTGGCCTGCTAGCCCATGCTCCGATGTTGATGACATCGAAGGCACCACTCCCGAGGAAATCTCAACTGCATGACCTCTACTACGCCCCAATTCAGCAGGAAGCAGTTACAGCGGTCATCGGCCAACCTCCCCAACAGCACTTGGGTTTTCCTGTTGAGAGGGGGTACTAAGAGACAGGACTAGCTGGACTTCCTAGGCCGACTAAGAATTCCTAAGCCTAGCTGGGGAAGGTGACCACACCCACCTTTAAACATGGGGCTTGTAACTCAGCTCACACCAGACCAATCAGGTAGTAAAGAGAGCTCACTAAAATACCAATGAGGCTAAAAACAGGTGGTAAAGAAATAATCAGATCATCTGTCGCCTGAGAGCACAGGGGGAGGGACAATGATCAGGATATAAACCCAGGCATTCAAGCCGAATCGGGCAACCCTCTTTGGGTCCCCTCCCGTTGCATGGGAGCTCTGTTTTCACGATATTAAATCTTGCAACTGCACACTTTTCTGGTCCATGTTTGTTCCGGTTTGAGCTGAGCTTTTGCTTGCCATCCACCACTGCTGATGGCTGCTGTCGCAGACGCCCCGCTGACTTCCACCCCCCTCCAGATCCAGCAGGGTGTCCACTGCGCTTCTGATCCAGCGAGGCACCGGTTGCTGCTCCCGGGCTAGAGACTCGCCATTGTTCCCGCACAGCTAAGTGCCTGGGTTCATCCTAATTGAGGTGAACACTAGTCGCTGGGTTCCACAGTTCTCTTCCGTGACCCACAGCTTCTAATAGAGCTATAACACTCACCGCATGGCCCAAGGTTCCATTCCTTGGAATCCATGAGGCCAAGAACCCCAGGTCAGAGAGCAAGAGCCTTGCTGCCATTGGGACCGGCCTGCCACCACCCTGGGAGCAAAGACCGGCCAGTAACAATGCCTTGCTAGGGCCCAGTGTCTAGACAAGGTCTACTGTCTGGGCTGCTGCATTCCAAATACGGCGACACCTGGCTAGTGCCCAGGGTCTACTGTCTAGGCTGCTGCATTCCAAATATGGTGATGTCTGCCTAGTGCCCAGGGTCTACTGTCTGAGGCTACTGTCATCCAAATACAGTGACGCCTGCCTAGTGCCCAGGGTCTACCGTCTAGGCTTCTGTCATTCACATGAGACGCTTGGAGCAGTTTCTGGCAAGGAAGTGGGGCTTCAAGATCACTATTCTGGCAACAGCTGCCTCCAGTCTTCTCTGCGATGTGAATCACTTCCCTTTCGTGAACAGCTGCCTAGTTCAATGTGTAAAGTCCTCCGAATGCCCAGCACGTGGGCCACCGGCCCTCCTGGCCCCTGCTCTGGGTAACCCTGGCCCCCCCGCCCGCGAATCCTCACAGCCCCCACACCCCCGGGCCTGGCACTTTCAGTGCCCCCGCTCCCGCCCCGTCGCGTCCGCGCCCCTGGCGCTAACGCAGCCTCCACCTTCGGGCTCCCCGGTCCTCGCTGCTCTGCACCGTCCAACTCACCCAGCAGGCGCTCAGGGGATGCCTGTCGGCCCGCGACCGACTCGGAGTACTGGGACTAGCTGCCCGCACAGCGCAGCTGTCTCTGGCCTGGCCCCACTGCTCCCCCGCCACGCCTCTCGGCCTCCGTCCGTCCCATGGGCGGGGCGGAGCCGCGGGCGCCCTGACGTCATCGAACCGCGCCACCCTCGTTGCCCTGGAAACGCGGACGCCGCTGCCACCCGGGCGGGCTGGAAGCCACGAAGCTTCGCCAGGCGCTCCCGGGCACTCTTGCCTTCTCTGCTTTTAGGCAAGGCCTGGCTGACCGACTCTGGCGAGTCGCTGCCCTCTCGGAGCGCCGTAGTTCTGAGATGCAGTTCACACCGCGGCCCTTCTTGGGGCCCACTCCAAGGCTACTGGATCAGGACCCCCAGTCTGGGGCCGGGCATTTTCAAATTAATCAGCAGGCTCTAGGTGGTGGCTCATGCCTGTAATCCCAGCGCTTTCGGAGGCCGAGGCAGGAGGATCGCTTGAGGCCAGGAGTTTGAGACCAGCCTGGGCAACATAGTAAGACCCGGCATGCCCAAGAGCTTGCTGAAGTTTGAGAACCGTGGTTCTGCAGAGTTTCTCAGAGAGCCCCTAGTGGAAGTGGGCCCTCATTGACCAGAGCAGCAACCAGCTCAATCACCCACCCTTTACTTGTTTTTCTTTGTCTCACACTTTCCACTTCCTCACTCGTGCACTCCGAGATCAGCTCCATTTTCAATTACCTGCACCCAAAGCCTCGTCTCAAGGTCTGTTTGGGGAGATCCAAACTAAGACACACACACTTCTTATGAAATTTACAGAGACAGTGTTGTACCTGAGCGAGTTAGAGAAAACGCCACTCTTTGAGACGAATTAAGAGTGCATTTATTTAGCCAGCGGCCAAGAGACAGCTAACGCTTAAAGTTCTCTCGGCCCCGAAGAAGGGACTAGATTTTCTTTTATACTTTGGTTTAGAAAGGGGAGGGGAGTCTAGTTAAAACAATTTTACAGAAATAAAGTAGGCAAAAAAGTTAAAAGGATAAATGGTTACAGGAAAGTAAACAGTTCCAGGTGCAGGGGCTTTAAGACTATTACAAGGTGATAGACGCGGGGCTTTGGGCGTTATCAATCAGACGAATTCCTGGGAATTGCGGATATTGCTCGCCACAGTATCTTATCAGTTAATTGTATTCTTGGATGTGCTGGGAGTCAGCTTGCACAAGTTAAGTCCTTGAGGAAGGGGCTGCCAGTGAAAGAGCGAAGATGGAGTCTGTCTGGCTCTCTTAGCGAAGGGAGAGTTAATTCAGGTGGAAACAAGGCTAGGTGATTAAAGGAAAAGGGAGAGTCTAAAAACAGGGTTAGTAAAAACAAGGTTGGGCATTACAACAGAATCAACTAGACTTAGCAATTTGCCATGTAAAGAACAAGGAAGAGCCAGGCGTTGTGCGCCATGGTTCTCTCATCTGCAGTCCCAACTACTCGTGAGGCTGAGGCGGGAGAATCACTTGAGCCCAGGAGTTTGAGTCTAGCCTGGGCAACATAGTGAGACTCTGCATTAAAAAAAAAAAAGTGAAAAAAGCACAAGGAAAACTAAATCCAAAGGTTTGCATTTATAGGGAACTAAAAGATGGGCAGTGCAGCTCAGTTATGGGGAGGAGAAAGAGAAGTACAATTTTAAATGTGTATCAAGTTTAAGATGTTGGTAGGACATCTGGGTGGGGATACTCAGGTCATGTTTGGAAATTCTGTCTACTTCTGTTCTACTCTGAAATACCTTCTCCTTGATTCCATGGCAACATTTTTCTTCACAGTTATTACTGTTATTTAAACAGACATATAATTATGGGTATCAGTGGGAGCGTCCGATTGCAAAAGCAGAAGGAAGGGACTGAAAGATCATTTCGGGCCTGGCAGGTACCCTGCTAAGCAGTCGGAAGTGATCCTTAGTCTAGACTAGCCTTCCCAGCCAGGGGTCTATTGTGTTTTTGCAAAGGTCCCTGAATCCCCAGGAGCAACAAGGATTGCCTGAAGACAAAGCAATCATGGTCTAATAAAAAATACACACCACTGTTTTTCAAATGTTTGGAGATACTGTTGAGAGTAATAAAATAACCATTTATTGCAGAACTCACACCTCCTTTAGGTCACAATTTCTGCCAAAATTACAACTACTAATCAATTGGGTTCACATGTGTTACTGACATTAGAAAAACATCTTTCGGCTGGGTGTGGTGGCTCACACCTATAATCTTAGCACTTTGGGAGGTCGAGGTGGGCAGATCACTTGAGGTCAGGAGTTTGAGACCAGCCTGGCCAACATGGTGAAACCCCATCTCTACTAAAAATACAAAAATTAGCTGGGCATGGTGGCGGGCGCCTGTAATCCCAGCTACTTGGGAGGCTGAGGCAAGAGAATCGCCTGAACGCAGGAGGTAGAGGTTGCAGTGAGCCAAGGTAGCACCATTGCACTCCAGCCTGGGTGACAAGAGTGAAACTCCATCTCAAAAAATAAAAATAAAAATATCTTCCCACTGGGAAATGATTTGGGTCCATTGCAGGAGTGAGAGGGAGAGGGAAGCCATTTCTAGGTAGACATTGGAAGGCAGGCTAAAGGGGAAGAGCTCAGGGCATCTGGTGGCCAGTACAGGTAAAAGACAAGGGCCTGAGATAAGGCCATCTTGGTGGAGCTGGAGGGTGGAGAGGGAGCTGAGTGGCTTTTTATTGTTGGTTCTATTTAAGTTAGGGCATCATCACAAAATGACATGGAGAAAACAAAGCACAGGTTTCCAGCCTTGGCCAGGTCCTCAGGCTCCCCTCCCTTCTCTGCCTGTCCCTTTTCACCCTCCTCTTTTCACACTTGTCTTCCTCTACCCTCTGGCTTGTCAGGGCTGGCCTGTAGCAAGTTTTGGCCCCCTGACTTCACTCTCTCCATTTAGTTTCCCAGATTGGCATCTGCAGGTCAGACTGTAGTTCTCAGCTTTGACCGTGGCTTCACCTCGGGGCCACCTTCTGGCATTTGCCTGCTCACGCTGTAGCACTCTCCATCCACCGTGCTCCCCTCCTGGGCCTGAGGACACTGCTGACCTGCATCTGACAGGGAACACGGGCCTCTCTGTGAGTCAGGGTGGTGGGGAGGTAGGAAGAGAGGAAGGGGTCGTGCTACACTCTGTTGTATTTGGGACCTGGGTGGATGGAGATGCCACTGGGACTGACACCAAGGGAGCAAATTTGGGGAAAAAAATAAGGGAATTTGGCTTTATACATGTTTGTTAGCTATTTCTGGGTGAAACCACCAGGAGCTGCACGTGGACCCCTAGTGTGAACAGTAGGGGTGGGGTGAGTGTCATCAGTAACTCAGTGGACAATGACCCACGGGAGCACTGCCATAGGGCCTCACCCACCCCCTCTCTTGTTTATCTTGACTTCTGTCCCACTTCTGCTCCCTTCGGCACACCGATTCCCTGCTCAGTTTTAGACCTTGGTGCTATTGACTGTCATTGGCCATTGTTGTTATGTGCACACATTGTTAAAGCTAAAGTTGCCTCCCACCCTCCGGTCATTTGTCTCCATTTATCCCTTCTGTCTTTCCCACCACCACCTCCTTGGCTGGTTCTGCATTCCCAGAAGAGTGGCTGGAAGAAGTCACCAGGTCCTTGGGAAGGGAATGGGTTCTGATGATTCGGCACCAAGAATGATCCATCACAGCTCAGCCACAGTCGTCACCACCACCCAGCAGCCACCTCACTTCCCCTAGTCACATCACATTAAGTGGTAGGCAGCTGAAAACGGTGTTGGGAAAGAGTTGTGGAACATAAATGTGGTTTTGTACAAGATGCACAAACAAATGGCTGTCCCTATGGCAAATGTTACTGGCTTGAGCCAATGAATTTTTTTTTTCGAGATGGAGTCTCGCTCTGTTGCCCAGACTGGAGTGCAGTGGTGCCATCTCGGCTCACTGCAAGCTCTGCCTCCCGGGTTCAAGCCATTCTCCTGCCTTAGCCTCCCGAGTAGCTGGGACTACAGGCGCCCACCACCACGCCCGGCTAATTTTTTGTATTTTTAGTAGAGACAGGTTTTCACTGTGTTAGCCAGGATAGTCTCGATCTCCTGACCTTGTGATCCACCCACCTCGGCCTCCCAATGTGCTGGGATTACAGGCGTGAGCCACCGCGCCCGGCCTGATTTTTTTTTTTAATTATAAACCCAACATATTGAATTTAACGGGTTTCTATGCTGTTAAGGTCTTGGCATCAGATGAGTTTCTGGCTGAGGCCCTGGAAGGTAATGGGGGCTGCTGTGAAGTGGCTGGAGCCATCATTCTGATCAGCACAACAGGGCTGCCACTCAGGGCGCTCAGAGCAGCCAGGGACTTCCGGTTGGAGCCTCCACTGCTGCTTCTCGAGTTCCACCCAGCTTCCAGCACTTAGACGCTGACAACTCAGAATGGAGGGGCTTTAAGGGTCCCAGGTGAGTGTCTCTAGTGCTGCATTGTTCAACAGTAGCCCCTAGCCTCATGTGGCTACTTAAATGTGCAGCAGTTAAATACATTCAATTTCCCATAAATCTAATTTAAATCAGTTCCCTAGTTGCACTAGCTGCACTCAAGTGTGGGTCAGTAGCCAAAAGTAACTACGGTATTGGACAGTGCAGACATAGAACATTGCCATTATCACAGAAAGTCCTACAGGACAGTGCTATGTAGACACTATTTCCAGCCCCAGGCAGTGGGTCAGATCCTTGACCTAAGCCTGGATATCTCCAGCTTTCTCCCTGCTCCCTGGACCCAGCAGCCTCTGGCTGGGGCCTGCTTCCCCAAAGGGAAACAGTCTGAGATAGTTCTGCCATCTGCACCATTCTCCTGACACGCTCCCTAATCTCAGTGACTGTTTCATTCAGCAGTTATTCACTATGAGATTATACTGGATTAGGGTTGGCCCTAATCCAATATGAATGTTGCCCTTATTAGAAGAAGAAAAGAGATCTGGAGAAACAAGAACACCACGTAACCACGGAGGCAGAGATTGAAGTGCTGGAGGCACAGGTCAAGGAATGCCAATGATTGCTGGCAACCACTACAAACTAGGAGAGATGAATGGATTCTCAGAGCCTTTAGAACTATGAGAGAATAAATGCGTGTTGTTTTAAGCCACCAAACTTACGGTAATTTGTTATGGAAGCCCTGGAAAACTAAGATAGCATAAAAATCAATTACTGTATGTGATCAAACACTGAATGGGCTAGGGTGAGCCAGTGTGTCTGGGAGGATACGTCTCATTTGCCTTTTACTTAATTCTACCAACATTTGGTCTGTGCTTTTATCTCTAATAAATCACATGATTTGAGTTAGTTTTCACTTTTCTTACTCCGACAGAGATCCTTTAGGGAATGGCAAAATCCCAATGGAGGGATTAATGTACAAAAGTAATTAAGAATATTGGAGGTTTTTGGATTTTACTAGAGATTCTGCAGACCAGCTGCTGATAATGTTGGGCTAAATTGGCAGTATCCAACCTTCTCTGTTCCTCCTGGGGACATGTAGTAAGGAAGGAGACCACTACTACTGCTGCCCTCCTACCCCCAAACTTGCCTAGTTCATAAGACAGGAGGAAAGAGAGAAAGCAAAAAGTTAGAAAGAAACAAAAGTAAGATAAATAGCCAGACAACCTTGGCACCACCACGTGGCCCTAGGAGTTAAAATAATAATAATAATAATAATAACATCAACCCCTGACCTAAACTACTTGTGTTATCTTTAAATTCCAGACATTGTATGAAAAAGCATTGCAAAACTTTCTGTTCTGTTAGCTGATCCATGTAGCCCCCAGTCACGTTTCCCACACTTGCTCGATTTATCACGACCCTTTCACATGGACCCCTTAAAGTTGTAAGCCTTTAAACAGGCCAAGAATTTCTTTTTCGGGGGGCTCCGCTCTTAAGCCACAAGTCTGCCAGTGCTTCCGGCCGAATAAACCTCTTTCTTCTTTAATCCGGTGTCTGAGGAGTTTTGTCTGCAGCTCGTCCTGCTACATTTCTTGGTTCCCTGACTGAGAAGCGAGGTGATTAAGGGACGTTCAAGCCAGCCCCTTAGGCAGCTTATGCCTGCCCTGTAGAGCATCCCTGTGGGGGGCTCCAGCCAGCTTGCGCGATGCAGATCCTGAGAGTGCTCCCGGGTAGGCATTTGCCCCCGTGGAATGCCTCGTCAGAGTGGTGCATGGCAAGCCCCCGTGGAGGATCAACGCAGTGGCTGAACACTGGGAAGGAACTAGCACTTTAAGTCTGGACATTTGAAACTTGGTAAGACTGGTCTTTGGAACTTGCACACTCCATTTGAGTGGAAGCGTGGCCTGATCACCCATGGCGTGCCTGTACCGGCACTTTGGTTTTTGTTTTTGACTTGACTTGAAATGCTTGATACTTTGGTTTTTGTTTTTGACTTGACTTGAATTACTTGATAAACAGGCGTGCCTTTATTGGCACTTTGGCTTTGGTTCTGATTTTGACTTGGCTTAAATTCCTTGACAAACAGGTGTGCCTTTAATGACACTTTGGTTTTAGTTTTGATTTTCCTTTAGTGTGAATTAGACGAGTGAGTAACCTTTTACCCTTTCCTTCTTGTAGTGTGAATGTTGTTTTGTCTCAAGAGAAAAATAGGTCAAACACAAAGTAAGCCCACTCCGCTAGAAACTGTGTTAAAAAAAAATTTCAAGAAGAAAAATAAAAGGAAAGTCATCTAATCATCAAAACTTACTCTATTAAAATGCATGTTACAGAACCTTAAGAAAGGTTTTGCAGGGGATTACAGAGGTTAAGCCCCCAGAGGTTAAGAACTCTATGTGAATTAGAATTGCCCTCTTTTGCTGGGCGCGGTGGCTCACGCCTATAATCCCAGCACTTTGGGAGGCCGAGGCGGGCAGATCACGAGGTCAGGAGATTGAGACCATCCTGACTAATAGGGTGAAACCCCATCTCTACTAAAAATACAAAAACAAAAAATTAGCCAGGCGTGCTGGCGGGCACCTGTAGTCCCAGCTACTCAAGAGGCTGAGGCAGGAGAATTGCATGAACCTGGCAGGCGGAGCTTGCAGTGAGTGGAGATTGTGCCACTGCACTCCAGCCTGGGCAACAGAGCGAGACTCCGTCTCAAAAAAAAGAAAAAAAAAAAAGAATTGCCCTCTTTTGGTGTTGGATGGCCCACCGAAGGAACTACAGACAGGGAACAATTGGCCATGTATTTAAGGTGGTGACAGGGGTTGGAGGACAGCCAGTGGACCTAGATCAATTCCTTTATATTGATTCATGGTTAAATATAATATAGACAAAAACCAGCATAAATTTAGCCCTGTTTAACAGCTTATTGCAAAAAAGCCAAAAGTGAAAGTAAGAACAGCTGCACCAGCAGACACAGAGTTGAAAAGGGGAGTCCCAGAAAGAGCAAGAGAAGCCAGTTTTGCAGGAGCCGCCAGAGATAACAGAAATTCTTTCTCCATATGGCCCAGCCTACCCCCCTTTACCGAGGCCAACAGCCCCCTGAGAAACGAGATTAAGGAGCTAACATGCCCCAGGTCTCACCTTGAAGGGGAAGATCGGAGCCTCAAGAGGCCAAGGAAGGAAGTCAAGATAGTCAAGTGGGCCCTCTCAGATCTGGTCTTGCTGGAGCTATGCAAATGCCTCTCAGGGAGACACGAGGACCTGTCTATTATAATGACCAAGCCCACATCCAGGGGGTGGGGCAACAGACTTTCATCTATCAGCCCTTTTTAACCATTGATCTACTAAACTGGAAACACCCTGAACCCGCCACCTTGTTCCCAGCAGCTAGAGCCCTGTCGAGCATTAACTGTGTAGAGGTGTTGGACTCAAGTTTACTCTAGCAGACCTGACCTCCGAGACCAGCCTTGGGCATCAGTAGACTGGGAGCTATACATGGACGGGAGCAGCTTCATCAACCCACAAGGAGAGAGATGTGCAGGATATGCAGTGATAACCCTGGACACTGTCGTTAAGCTGAGCTCATTGCTTTAATTCAGGCCTTAGAACTCAGTGAAGGTAAGACTAAACATTTACACTGACTCTCAGTATGCCTGTTTAACCCTCCAACTGCATGGAGAATTATATTTAAAAAAGGGCCTGTTAAGATCTAGGAAAAAGGGGAAAAAAGACCCAGAGAATGCAACTCAGCTTCAGCATTTGCAGCAGTACTAAGAGGCACTTCTGCAGAGGCTAAGAGGTAGTAGAAAAAAAGCAATTAATATAAAAAAGATTTCAGAAGTGCTTCAAGGAGCTGACAAGAGCCTAAGTCAGTTTTATAAGAGACTCTGTAAAGCATTCTGGCTTTACATCCTATTTAACCCTGAGGCTGGTGGCTCACGCCTATAATCCCAGCCCTTTGGAAGGCCGAGGTGGGCAGATCAAGAGGTCAGGAGATCGAGACCATCCTGGCTAACATGGTGAAACCCTGTCTCTACTAAAAAAAAAAAAACACAAAAAAATTAGCTGGGCGTGGTGGCGGGTAGCTGTAGTCCCAGCTACTCGGGAGGCTGAGGCAGGAGAATTGTGTGAACCTGGGAGGTGGAGTTTGCAGTGAGCCGAGATCACACCACTGCACTCCAGCCTTGGCAACAGAGCGAGACTCCATCTCAAAAAAAAAAAAAAAATCAGCATATATATATATTCGAAAAAATATATATAAATATATATATACAAATATATGTAAATATATAGAAATATATACACGTAAATATATATATTTACATATATATGTAAAAAAATATATGTAAATATATATATAAATATATATATAGTGAATACTTCGTTTGTAAAGCAAGCCCAGGGTAACATCAAGCAGAAGCTACAGGCATGAATATCACCCAGTCTATAAAAGTGGCCACCAAGGCGTATGTTAGCTGTGACCAAGGAACAAAACAGGAAAGAGCAAAAGCAACAAGTGCGGCAGCTAGGCACGCCAAGGGTTAAATTCCTCTCCCCGGCTCAGCTCTATCTAGAAAAAAAGAGGAGGCTAGAGACCGGTGCCAAGAGAAGAGCAAAACAAAAAGAAAGACTCACAGTAAGTGTAAAAAAGAGAATCAGAAGAAAATGGGAGAGACAGCAGTGCGCGGGGGCAGGGCCTGTGCCACTGCCTGGCCCCGCCAGGTGGCCATAGAAGCAGGAGAACTCAGGAAGGAAAAAGAAAAACAAAGACTTAAGGAAAAAGGCCAATCTGTTAGCAACAGCTCTTATAAAAAGAGAGATTAGCAATGCGAGAGGACGTGGACACGGATGTAGACGTGGAAGAAGTCAAGTTAGGCAAGGATTCGAGAGCCGGCCAAGGCTAGAGAGACATTAATGTGTGAGATGAAAAAAGAAAGGACACTAGAAGGGTGAATGTTCAGAAGGCAATAAAAGAAATGGCCAAGGCTGCAAGACAAAGAGGCCATTGGCCAAGGGCTGCCGCACCTTGGAGGAACCAAATACTGATCTGATCAGGCTGGCAGGAGCTAAAGAATGTAAAGACTAGGGCAGACTAGGCACCTTCTTATTAGGCTCCCAGGAGCCCATTGTCACATTAGAAGTTAAAAGCAGCAGGATTCTGCCATATCTGGATTCCAATTTCTCACTGATGGCTAAGCCACTAGATAGAGTTACAAAGGGGGGAAAGAAAAAGAACCCCTCCTCTAAGAAACTTAAACAGGAAAAAGAGCCATACCTTGTGAAAACTTGCTTATAGACTTTACAGAACTGCCTCATGCTGGAGGCTATCGGTACATGCTAGTGCTTGTTTGCACCTTTCCAGGGTAAGTTAAAGTTTTCCCCACCAGGACAGAAAAAGTACAAGAAGTGACTAAAGTATTGTTAAAAGACATTATCCCCAGGTTTAGACTGCCTCTAACTTTAAAGTCAGACAATAGGCCAGCATTTGTAGCTGAAATAGGGCAGGATTTAACAAGACTGTTAAAAATAAAATGGAAGTTACACACAGCCTATTGGCTGCAAAGTTCAAGAAAAAGTGGAGTGCATGAACTGGACACTCGAGCAGCTACTGAAAAAAATATTGCCAGGAAATTCATTTAAGATAAAATCAGGCTTTTGCCTATGGTCCTCCTTCAAGTCAGCTGCACCCTCACCAAACAAACTAGGTATTTACCCTATAAGATTTTGTTCGGTCGGCCACCCCCAAATCACAGGTCAAATTAAAGGTGACCTCCAAGAACTAAAGGAATTAACCTTAAGAAAGCAAATGCAGATTTTAGAAATAGCCATACAAAGTGTTTATAATTAAATACATAAAAATGCCTATAAGCCTGACACCCCTTTAAATCTAGTGACTCTGTTTAAGTTAAAAAGTAAAATCTAATTTTTCTAGGACCCATATAGGATGGGCCTTATACTGTAATCTTTTCCACTCCCACTGCTGTTAAAAGTTGCAGGTGTTGTGTCTTAGATCCATCACAGTCAGCTAACACTGGCAGCTCAGGACAAGTAGACCAGCCAGCAGGACACAGATCTTCCTACCCGGCTGATTCGGAGACGAGACCAAGCTGTTGCTGAGGACGACAGCCCTGCTCTGGTCACTCCGGAGGCTGACCAGTCTACACACGGCTGAAGCTTGAAGAAACAACAAGCCCGGCTCTAGTCACGCACTGGCAGCTGAATAGTCTACGCATGGCCGAAGCTTGAGGACTTGTCAAGCAAGTAAACGTAGTTAAAAATCTTAAGACTAATAGTTTTCCTGTAATACTGTTTTCCTATTGTTCTGTCACTGTATTCAATCTTTTTCCCAGGTAAGGACCTCTTTTGTCCTTGCTGGATACAAATATGCTGTATATTGTTTTGTTATTGTTACCCCCCATAACCATGCTAGAAGAAACACCTATATAAGGTGTCCCCATTGTACACATACTACTTAGTCAGGAAACCCAGACCCGTCCAGCCCAGCAACAATTCCGAGTCTTTAAGTCATTCTTTAAACACATAAACCAGAAGTTACAAGAGCCTCCTCCTTTAGCAAAACAAACAAACAACCTATTTGCTCAGCTGGCTGAAAACATTGCCAGCAGCCTAGACGTTTCTTCATGTTATGTTTATAAAAAGGCTAACATGAGAGACCAATGGCCTTGAGAAGCAAAAGATTTAATGCCTCAAGATTACTTTAACTCTTTCCCCAAGCAGATGCCAAGTTCAAGCATTTGGCTCTTAAAAACTCCTATTATTAAGAAATACTGTGTTGCTTGCTAGGAAAAAAGCTTTTAAGACCCAGTAAAAAAACTAACCTGCTTAGGACATGACAAAGTTGGCACATGTGCCTGTACTGGTTTAACACAGGTTTGATCCTAGGTCTTTATTTAAAAGATAGTTTCCAGCTATAAGAGAATTTAAAACCCTCACTGCAAGTGTATTACATAAAACACTATCACTCTGTCTCCCAAAGAGACTCAAAGTAAAAATAAAAGCGAGAACTCCCACTAATTTGTGAAAATTCTCAAAGGAAGGGATAAGGAGACCACTACTACTCCTGCTGCCCTCCTCCCTGCCACCTTGCCTAGTTCATAAGACAGGAGGAAAAGAGAGAAAGCAAAAAGTTAGAAAGAAACAAAAGTCAGATAAATAGCCAGACAACCTTGGCACCACCACGTGGCCCTAGGAGTTAAAAAAAATAATAATAATAACATCAACCCCCGACCTAAACTACTTGTGTTATCTGTAAATTCCAGACATTGTATGAAAAAAGCATTGCAAAACTTTCTGTTCTGTTAGCTGATTCATGTAGCCCCCAGTCACGTTTCCCATGCTTGCTCAATTTATCACGACCCTTTCACGTGGACCCTTAAAGTCGTAAGCCTTTAAACAGGCCAAGAATTTCTTTTTTGGGGAGCTCAGCTCTTAAGACGCAAGTCTGCCGATGCTCCCGGCCGAATAAACCTCTTTCTTCTTTAATCCGGTGTCTGAGGAGTTTTGTCTGTGGCTTGTCCTGCTACAGTAGGTGACAGATGACTTTCATCCCTCATGGGACAACGTTACATCATTCTTATGAAACAGCCATGGCTGCACTCAGACTTAGGAAGGCACTGGCTGTAATGCCAGCACTAAAAGCAAACCAGAACCCAAGTGGAGAAAAGTTAGCTTTCATAAGAGGACTCATCTTTTACGTTCACAAACTTAGGCTCCCTGACTTTTATCGGTAATCAGTACTGAGGACAATGCGTTCCACACCCGCTGGCTGGCTGATGTTTGATTCTGTAACTATACCACGCCCAGAATTCTCTCAAAAGGGAATAAAACACAGGTCAAATTCCTCACCCACACACTCCACAGTTCAACCCCTGCCAGGGAAACCAAAAGCAGGAAAGGATCTCCAGCGGCGCCATTCTCATTTCCGGTCCCAGCACCCCGCCTCCATGACGTCAACGCGCCGCGCCACCGGGCTGCGTCATCTCGGCGCGCCGCTGCCAGGGCTGTACACCTGCTGGCTGCCATGGCTGAGGTGGGCCGTACCGGGATCAGCTACCCAGGCGCGCTTCTCCCACAGGGCTTCTGGGCTGCGGTCGAAGTGTGGCTGGAGAGGCCGCAGGTGGCAAACAAACGGCTTTGCGGCGCCCGCCTGGAGGCCCGCTGGAGCGCCGCCCTGCCCTGCGCGGAGGCCCGCGGCCCCGGGACTAGCGCAGGCTCGGAGCAGAAGGAGCGGGGTCCGGGACCCGGCCAGGGTTCCCCCGGAGGGGGCCCGGGTCCCAGGTCGCTATCAGGACCCGAGCAGGGCACGGCATGTTGCGAACTTGAGGAGGCCCAGGGCCAGTGCCAGCAAGAGGAGGCACAGAGGGAAGCCGCCTCAGTGCCCCTGAGGGACTCCGGGCACCCCGGCCATGCTGAAGGAAGGGAGGGCGACTTCCCCGCCGCAGATCTGGATTCGCTTTGGGAGGATTTCTCCCAAAGTCTCGCCCGTGGCAATTCGGAGTTGCTGGCCTTCCTCACCAGCTCCGGGGCGGGATCGCAGCCAGAGGCGCAGCGTGAGCTCGACGTGGTTCTCAGAACCGTCATCCCGAAAACTAGCCCACATTGCCCCCTTACAACTCCCAGGAGGGAAATAGTCGTGCAAGGTAAGAGTGTTTTGATAGTGGACGGATATGATTAGATAAAAAAGCATTCATAGAACCTCGGGTCAATGAAAAAGTCCTAAGGGTACTAGTTCCTCTGCGATGTCCTAGGGAGGTTGTTAGGTGTTTCATAGTTTTTTGAGTGGGCGCATAGAAATGTGTGTCCTTAGTACAGAAGATGGGATAATTGATTGGGGTGGTGTCTGGAAGGCTTCAAAGAGACAGTGAAGGACTAGCTGGATATTGCGTAATACCTAGGAGTTTAGCAGGTAAAGCTGTAGGTGTAAAAGTGTTGGGGACCAGCCTCAACACCACCCGTAGGGTACTCAAAGTCCGGTGGCGACGAAGGAATGAGACGAGACAGGTTAAGAGTGCATAAAGATTGGGGGCCAGGGGGCCAATTGCAAAATGGAGGCTGCCAAAGCCTGGGAGCTCTGGTCTCCACACTATTGAGTACAATCACTTAGATCTAAGAAGCGGACGTTCGGGGCGAAAGGGTGAAAGGGAGACAGTGCATCATACATGTCATCTATAGCAGTGGCGGTTTAAATGAATCTCCTTTGTGCTCAAACAGCGTTATCTTTAACTTGTCGGAGAATAACCAGTGGGAGCGTGCTTAACTAGGAGCCTGCATGTCTGACCACATTGTAGTGATTCAAAGGAGTGTCTTTCTCCTTGAACACAGTGTTTATAGGTAAGACAGTAGGTCTCGCCCAGAGCATGGGAACATCATGACAATAAGAAGGCTTTCCTCCTCAGAGGCCTCTTGTGGCTTTCCACAACTTATTGTCTCATATTTTTATGGCCAGTTTATACAGGCATGCCATAAGCCTTTTCCCCAACATAAAGAGAGCTATTTATGCTGAGACAAATAACTGTGAAAGAGCATAGAGACTGGATGGATGGGAACCTACTAGTCCTCAGCGTTCGTTAAATCTCTGGCATTTATTTTTACTGCCCGTGACCTTGACACTTCAGCCTCAGCCACTCTTACCTGAAACTTTATTCAGCAGCATGTGTTTCGTATTGCCACTGTAACAAATTACTGCAAATTCATTGGTCAGTACAAAAAATTGATTGTCTCAGTTCTGTAGGTTAGGAATCCCCATTGGCTCTGCTGGTTTCTCCGCTGTGGGTCTCTCTCACGAGGCCAAAATCAAACAGCCTGCCGGCTGGGCTCTTATTTGGAGGTTCTGGGAAGGAATCTGTTCTCAGGCTCATTCAGTTCGTTGGTAGAATCCAATTTTTTATGTAGGACTGGGGTCCTTGTTCCCTTGCTGGCTGTCAGTTGCTGGAGGCTTCTTTCTGGTTCTTTCATGCAGCTTCCTACATCTCAGAGCCAGCAATGGGGTTGAATTCTTCTCATACTTGGAATCTCTCTGCCTTCCTCTCCTGCTGCTTCTCTCCTCCGCCTCCAGCCAGAGAAAATTCTCTGCTCTTCGTGGCCCATGGAGTTAGGCCGGGCTCACCTGGATAATCCAGAGTACTCTTCCTCTTGAGGTCTGTAACCATAATCATGTTTGCAAGTGCCCCTTTTGCCATATAATACAGTATATTCACGAGTCCTGGGTATTACGGCATGGACACTTTTGGGAGGCTCTTCTGCCTACCTCAGGCAGCAATTGCTGGGAGGTACATAGTCCCCTCTGATGGCTCCCAATACTGTCTGCCTCTGTGCCTTTGTAAGACTCTAGGTGTCCTCTCCTCCAGGGGGCCTCTCTGCCAGTCCAGTCTAGTTTAGGAGTTCTTCCAGCTCTTATCAACTGTGTTCTAATCTTAACCATTTTACGTTGTCCATCCACTGGACTGAGGATTGGAGAGGCAGTGCCCGTGAGGCCTTCATGTGTAGACTTCGCTGAACAGAGGGGTAGGACAGAATTTTTTCCTTTCTTCCTCTCAGGGAGGCAGTTTTCCCTCTCAACAAGGAGTACGTTTTCAGGATTGCTTTCTATATTCAGTTCCCGCCAGGAAGGCTCACCAGAGGACTTGTATCCTCCATGGAATATAGACAGCCTGGCTTTGAATTTTGGTCTTGCCAATTACAAGCTGTATGGCTGTGGGCAGGTTATAGAGCCTCTCTGTGCCTCAGTGTCTTCATTTGTAAAATAGGATAATAATAAAATATCTTGGAGTTGCTGGAAGAGTTAAATGGAATTAATACATTGTAAAGTGCTTAGAATAGTTCCTGGCACATGGTAAGTGCCTAATAAATGCTAGCTGCTGTTTGTGTGAAGTGGAGATGCTCTTGCAACTTTTGTATATTTCTTGGCCCTATTCTGGGTAAGATCACGAAGGTCTTAAGAGTAATGTGACTGTTCGAGACCAGCCTGGCCAACATGGTGAAACCCCGTCTCTACTAAAAATACAAAAAATTAGCCAGGCGTAGTGGCAGGTGCCTGTAATCCCAGCTACTCAGGAGACTGAGGCAGAAGAATGACGTGAACCCGGTGAGTGGAGGTTGCAGTGAACCAAGATTGTGCCACTGCATTCCAGCCTGGGCAGCAGACGGGGACTCAGTCTAAAAAAAAAAAAAAGGAATGTGACTAAGAAATCTTAACTGTTAGTAGCAGGTGACAGGATGACATAGTGGTTAAGAACTTGACTTCTTTAGTTAAAGAACAGAATTCAGTTTGAGGCTATGTGGATTTGAGACAGATTACTTAATCTGTTGAACGCCTGGTTTTCTCATCTAGAACAGAGGTTTCAGTCGGGGCAGTTTTGATCCTCAGAAGTTTGTCATTCAAACATCACATGTTCTCACTTATTTATGGGGTTTAAAAATCAAAACAATGGAACTCGTGGACATAGAGAGTGGAAGGATGGTTACCAGAGGGTGGGAAGGGGAGTGGAGGGTTGGGGGAGAGGTGGGATGGTTAAAGTGTACAAAAAAAATAGAATATGAATAACACCTAGTATATGATAGTCTAACAGGGGGATTATAATGAATAATAACTTAATTGTACTTTTTTTTTTTTTTTGAGAGTAGTCTCGCTCTGTGGCCCAGGCTAGAGTGCAGTGGTGTGATTTCAGCTCACTGCAACCTCCGCCTCCTGGGTTCGAGCGATTCTCCTAACTTAGCCTCCCAAGCAGCTGGGATTACAGGCATGTGCCACGACGCCCAGCTAATTTTTGTATTTTTCGTAGAGATGGGGTTTCACCATGTTGGCCAGACTGGTCTCCTACTCCTGACCTCACGTGATCCGCCTGCCTTGGCCTCCCAAAGTGCCGGGGTTACGGGCGTGAGCCACCTCTCCCGGCCACTATTGTACATTTTTAAATAACGAAAAGAGTGTAATTGGATTGTTTGTAACACAAAGGATAAATGTTTGAGGGGATGGATGCCCCATTCTCCATGATGTGATTAGTTCACATTGCATGCCTGGATCAAAACATTTCATGTACCCTGTAAATATATATACCTGCTATGTACCCACAAAAATGAAAAATTTAAAAATTTTAAAAATCGAAATTTATCATTGTGTAGCGACAACAGTGACAGCAGATTTGGGGTTGCCACACTGGGCAGGGAGGGAGAGGATGCTGCTGGCATCTAGTGGGTAGGGGCCAGGGCTTCTTATAAACATGCTACAGTGCACGGGACAACTCCCAACAATAAGGAGTTATCCAGCCACACATGCCAGTGACACTGAGGCTAAGAAACCCTGATCCAGAGGATGGTGAAAATAATACTGGATGATAAAGTTGTGAGCTTTATTTTACTTTATTTATTTTTTGTATAAATAGGGTCTTACTATGTTTCTTAGTCTGGTCTCTAACTCCTGGTTTCAAGTGAGCCTCGCACCTTGGCCTTCCAAAGTGCTGGGACAACAGGCATGGGCCATCACGCCTGGTCCTGTTGCAGTTTTTAAATGAGATAATTCATGGAAAGAATGATGCATTGTGTCAGTCCTCTTCTCTCTGGTCTCACTCACAGTAAAAGCTGTACTTCTATGAACTGCAAGGCCCTATGTGACCTGGGTGGGCCCTGTTACCCTTTGATTTCACCTTCTACCACTTGTCACCTTGTCCACGCCACTCACCTCCATTCCCCATGCACCTGAGCACACGCCTGCCCTAGGGCCTTTGCAATTGCTGCTCCTGTGTCTGAAACACTCTTCTTCCAGGTGCCCCATGGCACACTCCCTGACCTCCTTCGGCTCTCTGCTCAAATGTCACCTAACTAGGGAGGACTTCCCTGGCCACCCTGTATTCCATAGCAGTAGACTCTGATTGTTAGAGTTTTCTCGGCCCCACACTGCTTGCTTTCCATCTGAATCCACTTAGCCCCTTCAGCCTCTGCTTCCTTTTGGCAGGTCTTGTTCTTTCATCTGCTGTGGAAGGTGAACCACAGTTGTGCATATTTGGCCTGTGAAGTGTATATTCCTCTTTAACAGAGTTTGCAATTTTTTTTTAATATCAAAGGTAAACACGATTGATTTTAGAGATAGAACTTTATACAACCAAACCTTAAGTATCCACACAAACTGACAGAATGCTGTAAATTTAGCTTAGGAATATGCCACTCTGCTTATATTTTAATGGGAAGGTGACTGTGAAGTCCGTACATGCAGCAAGGGCTCCACACAACATAAAGCGGTTGTTAGGAAGGCCTGGACTGATATCCGCTTTCCTGAACTGGCCTCTGATGGCTGAGCAGTGTTCTGTGCCTTGCTCACACTCGAAGATCATGGTCAGGCTGTGGCAGACACTCAGTTAGGGCAGAGGTCCCCTGTTTTCTCTGATTGTAGCTCTCAAGTTCCAATAGAGTCCACATTGGCTGGCTCTTCCCTCAGGTCCTGGCTCATGCATCTCTCAACAGATACTTGCAGAGAATGGCTGCTGTATGCCTGGCACATTCTAGGCTGTGGGCTGTAGCAGTGAATGAAAGGCAAAAGTTCCTCTCCTGGAGTGCCATTGTGAATAGAGTGCTGGGGGATTGAAAGCATCGTGCTTGACTCATCCCTATTTTTAATACTGCTTCTGATGAGACGGTAGCTAGGCAGTTGTAATTTGTCCTTCTTCTCTTTTTCTTTCCAGATGTCCTCAATGGAACCATAACGTTTTTGCCTTTGGAAGAAGATGATGAGGGGAACCTAAAGGTTAAGATGAGCAATGTGTATCAAATTCAGCTCAGTCATAGCAAAGAAGAATGGTAAGAGCTGGACAGTGGACTCCTAGTTTTATGGTTTCCATTGAGGATTTCTTTAGGTAGCCAAAGGATTCTGGGTTGCCAGGGCTTAAGGTCCTGTCTCTGAGGTGGTTATGGTTTGTAGGAATGCAGTTGCTAGCTTATGTGCCCAGGCCATGTTGCTCTTCCTGTTGGTGCCTGG
This sequence comes from Homo sapiens, assembly GCF_000001405.40. Classification (NCBI taxonomy): domain Eukaryota; kingdom Metazoa; phylum Chordata; class Mammalia; order Primates; family Hominidae; genus Homo; species Homo sapiens. Next base: position 8,446,769 of record NC_000004.12, read on the forward strand.
CCTCGAGTCTGGGTGGTCACAGCCTGGCTGGGGTTTCTGATCTCTACCTTCCCTGTGGCTGTGATGATCAGCAGCCCTTAGCATTAGCTCTGAAGTCAAACTCAAATTTCTTTATTGTTATTGTTATTATTATTATTGAGACAGTCTTACACTGTTGCCCAGGCTGGAGTGCATTGGTGCCATCGCATTTCACTGCAACCTCTACCTCCTGCATTTAAGTGATTCTCGTGCCTCAGTCTGCACAGTACAGGCACCCACCACCACACCCGGCTAATTTTTGTATTTTCAGTAGAGACGGGGTTTCGCCATGTTGGCCAGGCTGGTATCAAACTCCTGACCTCAGGTGATCCACCTGCCTTGGCCTCCCAAAGTGCTGAGATTTCAGGCATGAGCCACCAAGCCCAGCCTATTTTGTTATTTTTTATGACTTAGTAATGGGGAATAGGTGATGGTTCCTTCTGTAGTAAGTATTCAGTGATACTTATTATAAAGTAGCGGTTTAATAAGCACCCTTAATTCCATATGGTATTTGGGCCTGTATAGAAAGTATAAAATTTAATTCATACCGTTTGGTATTTTTAAAACGAAAAAGTCAGAGGAGGGGTGAATTCATTCATGACTTGTCAGCTGATATTTTCCTGAGTGCCACATCCAAGCTGTACTTTCCGAAACAGTCTTGGGGATAATGTCTGAGTAACTGGAATGAGTTTGCCCGGGGCTTCCTAGAAAGCAGAGGGATGTGGCGAGAAGAGCATGGGCTTCCCACTAGCAGTGTGGTCTTGGGGATGTGCTCTACCTCCTGGCCCTCTGTCTACTCACCTTGAAATGGGTTTAATCATTCCTGAGCCTCTGAGGAGGTGGCAGGGCTGGGCCTCACATGGATCTGTTGCAGCCTTCGTGCTTGAAAGGGGTGCTCAGGCCCTGTAGCATGAAGCCCTTTGAGAACCATCCAGAGGTTGCCCCGAGTTGTCAGGGGATCCTGCCCTGAGGTCCCTTCCTGCTAGCATGCCCTTGTTGGAGAGTGAGGAGTGAGAGCAGACACTAGGAGAAGCCATGCTTACCTGTGCCAGGCACCTCTGTGCTCGGCGATGCTGAACTGTGTGCCCATTAGCCAGAAAGTGGTGCCTGTCTTGGGGGCAGTGGGCACCTGGTGCAGGGCGGGGTTGCAGGAGGTGCTTGGCATGTGCCTGCTGCGTTGGAGTGACTTTCATTGCTCTTTGACAAGCTACTGAGGACGTGGCTGCTGCTCCCATCTTCCCAGGGTGGCATTTCTAGTCGGCATCGGAGTGACGTTCACTGCTCTTTAACGAGCTACTGAGGACGTGGCTGCTGCCCCCACCTTCCCAGGGTGGCATTTCTAGTCATAGCCTCACCGGGCCGCTATTCCTTGCAGTCTCTGGGCACAGGTCACACTTCAGGGGCCAGATGTACTGCCTTCTGAGTTGAACACAAATGAGGGGCTCCACTGTCGATGTGCGTGCTTCTTCGCAGCTGGATTCATTTTCGGCAACATTTGTTGTGTGCCCAGCATGTGTTAGGGCTGGCACGCAGCGGGAAGTGAGTCTCCTGGGGCAGTGGAGAATATCTGCTCCCATACTAGGTGGTGTAGGGAGGAAAACTCAGCCAAGCAGGACTGTGTCCCCTCAATAGAAACGGCAGAGTGTGGCCGAGGTATGTGGGAAGGCCTCTGAGAAGGGACATGGAAGAGAGGCGGATGAAGGAGGAGGCCGTATGGACCTCTGGGGGACCCTGGGGAAGAGCATGAGGCCCAGGGAAGAGCGAGGAACGCCCCTTGGGCAGAATCTCTGCAGCGCGCAGGGGCCACCAAAGTTAGTGTCAGGCCCAGCAGGAACGCTTCTGGACTGAGCAGGACAGACCTCACAGTCCCGAGCAGGGAGCTGGGCCAGGGGAAAGGTTCAGACCCACTTTGGGGTTGACTCTCTGGAGAATCTTCTGGAAGTGACTTGTGTCCCTCTAATGCACCGTGGTGGCAGAAAACCTGGAAACCACAGCTCTCACCAGACGGACCACTTGCCATTGTCCCCTCCAGTGGGGCCATGCTGCTGCCGCGCCCTCAGCACACTTGTGAGGCCCTCCGGCTCTGCCCCGCTCACCCAGTGGCTGGGATCTGCTTGTTCTTAGGAATGTCCGTTGAATGTCACTTTTATCGTAGCTTTCTCTCATCTGCCCAGCAAACTTAATGCCCTCCCCTTCCCTGTGCTGCCCCAAACGCAGCCCTTGGACAGTGTATTGTTATCTGGGTTTGTATCTGTCCCGCCAGTCCTCCCAAGGATTGTGAGCTTTTCCTCATTTATTGAATGCATCCATGAACAGTGCCTGCTATGTGTCAGCACTGCTGGGACCTGGGGGCGGAGCAGTGAGCAAGACAGACAGAAGCCCCCCACTGTCATGAACCTTCTGATGGCAGAAGACATGTGAAAGACAAAATAAGCCGGCAAAATGCACAGCAGCCTTTATCTCTGTGGCTGAGCACTTCGCCTTCTGGCAAGTAGCTATTCGGTGAGCCAGTATACTCATTTGAGTTGCACCTGTGAAAATGGTAAAGAATAGAAATGTTAGGAAAATCCTTGGACGCTTAGACTCTGGCTCCTTGTGCATGAAGCAGCAGGAGAGAGGCCTTTATTTGTTCAGCCGCCTCAGGGGCTTCGCAGTGTGTAAATATATCCTTAACAAAGTTTGCAAGAAAAGAGGGATTCTCTGTGCTTTTTACATGTTTTTCTCTATTAGATGAAAGTTCTGTAACTAGTTCTAGTTCGTTTTATGTTTTTGGTAATATAGATGTCTTAGCTTCTGTTTTCTTCATTAGGTAAATAAATAGATAATTTTAAAATAAGAATTGAACATATCTGTGCTTATTCATATTTCTCTTATTTTTAAAGGTTCATATCTGTTTTAATTTTCTGTCCAGAAAGATGGCATTCAGATGGAATCGTGTATCCCAAACCCACGTGGCTTGGAGAAGAGTTGCTGGCCAAGTTGGCCAAGTGGTCTGTAGAGAACAAGAAGAGTGACTTTAAAAGCACCCTTTCCCTCATCTCCATTATGAAGTATAGCAAGGCTTACCAGGAACTTAAAGAGAAGTATAAGGAAATGGTTAAGGTAATTCTGGTGGAGAATATCTGATTTTTCCCCCTTCATGATTTTCTTTTCTTTTCTTTTCTTTTTTTTTTTTTTTTTTTTTTTTTGCGACAGTCTTGTTCTGTCACCCCCCCAAAAAAAAGGGCCAGAGTGAAGTGGTGTGATCTTGGCTCACTGCAACCTCTGCCTCCCGGGTTCAAGAGATTCTCCTGCCTCAGCCTCTGGACTAGCTGGGACTACAGGAACATGCCACCACGCCTGGCTAATTTTTTGTATTTTTATTAGAGATGAGGTTTCACCATGTTGCCCAGACTGGTCTTGGCCTCCCAAAGTGCTAAGATTACAGGTGTGAGCCACCGTGTCCAGCTCACCCTTAATTTACATGAGGTAAAATAATCAAACTCTTCCAGGTAAAATTGTTTTTCCTGTTGCAGGCTGTACTTTGACATACTTAGGGGTGCACACAACAAAAACATAGACAGATATATAATGGAAAAGGATTGATCTTTACTTGTATATTATTTGTTTTCAAGAGACCTAAAGGGAAATATTTAATTGAAAAGTAATGGAACCTTGAAAAAAAAAATGGCTAAATTACCATAATTCTTTGTATAAACTTAAATATATTTTAAGAAAATATGTGAAAAGTTAAAATACAAAAGAGCAGTTCCCAAAAGGAGATACATTTCATAATAACATGTGCTTAAACTTTCTATCTAAGATGTAAAAACAGTATAACAAGAAACATCTGTGTTGCGGGAAGTCAGGGACCCCGAATTGGGGGCGGGTTCCCCCAATACATCTGTGTGTTTATGCCCAGCTTAAGGCAGAAGGCATTGCTGGTAGAGTCAAAGCTACTTACTATTCTTCCTAGTTCCCATCTTCCTCCCCGTCCTAGGAGTAACCACAATTTGTCATTTCCATGTTTTTTTTTTTTTTTTTTTTTTTGAGACAGGCTCTCACTCTGTCGCCTAGGCTGGGGTGCAGTGGTGCAATCTTGGCTCACTGGAGACTCAACCTCCCGGGCTCAAGCGATTCTCCCTAGTAGCTGGGACCACAGGCAGATGCTACCATGCCTGGCTAATTTTTTGTATTTTTTGTAGAGACAAAGTTTTGCCATGTTTCCCAGGGCTCAAGTGTTCTGCCTGCTTTGGCCTCCTAAAGTGCTTGGATTACAGGCTTGAGCCACTGCCCGGCTTCCATGTATTTTTTTAATCAGTCACGTCTTGCTCTGTAACAAAAGCACCCCAAAGGTCACAGGCTTAAAGCTGTGACCTTTCATTATTGCTGAAGCACCTGTGGGTCCCCGGGGTTGGCTGACTGAGGCTGGGCTCCCTCCCACATCCTGGCCTCGTGGTCCTTTGCCATCTTGTTAGCTATTTGGTACCGTCCAGAAGGTACTTTTTATGTTTTTCCAGCTTTTGAAATTGTTTCTAGTGGGATGGTTCATCTGTATTGTCTAAGGCGCTGTGACTGGAAATAGAAATTTCAACTTTTAACATTGGCCATTGGTTTTTCCTGTTTTGCCTAATGCCAGTTCTGAACATGACTAATTTTAATAATGAGAGCTCATGTTTGCACAGCTAGTGCTTTACAGTTTTCAGAGCACCTTGATTATCCTGTGTGTTAGTTGAGGCATGGCTTTATCCCTGTTTGACAGGTAGGGCGACAGCAGCCACTGATGGACCAGGGGCTGGAGCACTGGTCTCCTAGTTTGTGGCTCGCGGCTCTCCCTGCCCTAGTTTCACTCCCACGCCTAGTTTCCTTGTTTGTTGCCCTTATCTGCATAGACAATGAGCACAGTGTAGCTAAGTGTTTCCTCTGTGTCCACTGCCTCAGCTAAATGCCTTAGGTACATTCTGTTGATTGTGAAATCTTGCTTTGGATTGGATTGTTCTTGGCATGCCTTGTTTCTTTATGTAAATCTTTTATTGTAAGAAACCAGTTGTGAATTCCTGCCTTTGAGCTTATGTTTCCTATTTTAGTGTACGATTAGTCCAGTTTGATTTATGCTTTATAGGGATACTTAAAGTATTGGGAAATGGTGGTGGGGAAACCGAACAATTTATGTTTGCTCTTGAAACTGTTTTAGGTGTGGCCTGAAGTCACTGATCCTGAGAAGTTCGTGTATGAAGATGTGGCTATCGCAGCATACCTGCTGGTAAGGGTGTAAGCGACCTCAGCTTCTCTGGAGTGGGTGGAGTTTGCTACAGGCAGATGTTCCCTGTAGTGAAGGACATTTTCCAAATCCATAACTGCCGGTGCTCACAATTCTGCTGGCCAAGGTTGGTTTCTCGTGTAATGGTTTGACTTCATGTGGTCCTTTTGATGCGTATACAACAAGTTTGGGTTGAAACTTGACCTCGGGTTCCAACTTGACCTGCAGGCGGAACTGTACGTCCACACTCAGCAGTCATCGTGGAGGCACCGGCTGGCACAGGGAAGCACTGAGGAACACGTGTCTTCCGGCCCTGGCCTAGAACCTTCTAGCCCTTTCCTCAGCTGGCTCGCTAGCTGGCTACATTTGGACATGCCCTCTGATTTAATCATCTTGGTTTACTTATCTATAAGAATGTTTAGAGTAGGCTGGGTTTGGTGGCTCAAGCCTGTAATTCCCAGCACTTCGGGAGGCCGAGGCGGGCAGATCACTTGAGGTCAGGAGTTTGAGACCAGCCTGGCCAACATGGTGAAACCCTGTCTCTACTAAAAATACAAAATTAGCCAGGCGTGGTGGCAGGAGCCCATAGTTCCAGCTACTGGGGAGGCTGAGGCAGGAGAATTGCTTGAACCCAGGAGGCGGAGGTTGCAGTGACCAGAGATTGCATCATTGCACTCTAGCCTGGGCGGCAAGAGCAACACTCCATCTCAAAAAAAGAAAAAAAAAAAAGAATGTTTAGTGTAGATGATTTCAAGTTTCCTTTCACTCAGAGTTTTCTTTGACCAGTTTGTGTCTAAATTATTCTTGCGTAGAGTGAATTACCACCTGACTTTGTTTTGTTTTTCTCTTCACTTAGATTCTATGGGAAGAAGAAAGGGCTGAGAGGAGACTAACTGCCAGGCAGTCCTTTGTGGACCTGGGATGTGGAAATGGCCTCCTGGTCCACATCCTGAGCAGTGAGGGGGTAAGGCCCGGCTCCATCACCTTTTCTGGTAACTTGTCCAGAGTTTCCTCAAGTCAGGCACAGGGTTCACTGACATCTTTTTCTGCTGATACAGCCTGGATTTGGAGTCAGCCAGCTATCAGAGTAGGTAGAGACTTATAAATTTCTGTTAATCTGATAAACAAACAGCTCCTAAAACAAGGGAAACGTGGTGATCTCATTGGACCTAAGAGGAAGTCCCCGGGCCCCGGCATGGACCTATAAAATGACAGGCTTTGGGTAGCATGGATGTTTTTTTGCTGTCAGATTTTTCTTTTGAAACCCACCATCTCAAGGAGCTGGAGGGAGATAAAAAGCAAGGCAGGTTCTGCACTTGAGAAGCTTCAGGCCAGGCACGGGGCTCACGCCTGCAATCCTAACACTTGGGTGGCCGAGGCGGGTGGATCACTTGAGCCCGGGAGTTTGAGACCAGCCTGGGCAACATAGTGAAACCCCATCTCTGCAAAAAAAAGAAAAACAAATAAGAGAAGCTTCAGTTCTGGCTCGGACGGCCAGTCATGTATACACAGACAACAGTATGGAACAGTGTGGTGTGTGGTACTGGGTTTTGCCCTTATTTTCTGGATGTTCAGCTGATGCAGTGAAAGCACTCTTGGGCTGAGAGCGGCACCTGCCCAGGTAGCACGGTCAGTAGGGGTGGGTGTCTTGTGCCTGGAACTTCCTGCCAGCAACTTATACCCCTCCTGGTGCGTCCAGCGCGTCAGGTGCCATTACCCCATGATATGATGGCCAGCTTAGCCACTTCCTGCTAGGGGGCAACAGCTGGAACCTGCAGCCCAATATTGATGGTTCCAAACTGATTATCTTCCTGCTATGCTGTACTGTACAGTACTGTACTGATAGGCTGCGCATATTTGTCTACACCTGTAAGAGCTTGAAATGGTTGTTACAATGCCCTTTTTCAAGTGTGTTATTAAAGAATGAGTTTCTAATCATAATACCTATAAGCTGGTTGTGGGGGTGGTAGTGTATCAGGTGGCAGCTTGGTAGCTGGTACCTGGAGACAGCTGGGAGGTGTCTCGTGCACCCCTCCTCTTCTGCAGGCTTGGCAGAAATAAGTTTGCCCTATGAGAGCCAATGAGTGTGGCCAAGGTGCAAGAAGAGCCAGCAGCTGACCTTGACTGAGAGCAGAGAATTGGCTCACGTTCTCAGGTGTGCTCCCTGGGGCACTGGCCCTGGAAATGTTCCCACACTAAAGGCCACTGTGGTCACTCAACTCCATGTCCCATCTTGAACTCCATGTCCCATCATAATGACCATTAGCGCAGTACACCTTCTTACCTGCCTTGCAGGGGTGTGGGTATCTGTTTTAGACAGCTGAGAAATTCTGGTGTCATCCATGAATGCTAATGACACACTTGAAAAAGGGCACTGTAACAACCATTCCAAGCTCTTAGAGGCGTAGGCAAATATGTGCAGGCCATCAGTACAGTACTGTGCAGTACAGCAGCAAGAAAATCAGCTTGGTACCACCAGACTGGGCTGCAGGTTCCAGCTGTTGCTGCTAGCAGGAAGTGGCTAAGCTGGCCATCGTATCACAGGGTAATGGCACCTGGTGCGCTGGACACATCAGGATGGGTATGAGTTGCTGGCAGGAAGCTCTTCTCTTGCCCTTCGTCCTGCTGGCAGTGCCTGCAGAACTTTAATGTGTTCTTGCTAACTTATTATGAAGTACTAAGGTTAACCTTTGATTTCTAAAATTAATTTTTTCAGCATCCAGGCAGAGGGATTGATGTCCGAAGAAGAAAAATCTGGGACATGTATGGACCACAAACTCAGTTAGAGGTACCGTCTTTATTACGCATGCCCTTGATCTCAGCATGGCTTAGCTCCCAGTGGGAATTGCTGTAATGAATGTGTCTCTTTGTATAGGTCAAGCAGACATGCTGATAGTAAACCTTCACATTAATCTAAGTGCTCTGAAATTAGAGAAGAGAAAAAGAGACATGAAACTAGACTTCACAGAACCTTCTGGTTAAACTGACTGAAGGGCGCTGACCTCCAGGCAGAAGTGCTGTCTCTCCCTGAGTTTGTTGGTGCCGTTTGTATCTTGTGTGGGGTGCTCCCGTGCAGCCTTGAGGTGGGGGCTGTGCCCCGTGCATTTTGCGAAGTCTTCTCCAAGGCCTCCCAAAGGCTGCTCGTTCAGTCAGCAAGCAGTTAGTACCCTGCCTGCCAGGACTGCGCCAGGGATGGGGACACCTGCAGATGAGCCACAAAGGGCGGTGGCTGTGCCAGGGCTGGGATAGAAGGTTTAGAGGGCTGTGGGGACTCAAAGGAGGGGCTTGACCCTACTTGGGGCCTCTGAGAAGGCTTCTTGGAGCACCCCCATGAGCAAGTGGAGGCAGCCAGGTGCCCAGCACGGAAGCGAGATGCCCCCTGGCGGGATCACCTCCGGGCACACAGATGATGTGTAGGGCAGACTGTGCAGTCCCACGTAATTTCTCTCATATCTTTGGGCCAGTCCTCTTTACCCTTGACATTTCCCTTTTTTAGGACTTGAAACAGTCTCACTTTTCTTAATGCCCCTACCCAGAGATAATCACTCTCTTTTATTTAGGGAAATCAATATGTACACATTTACAGTTTTAAAAAATAATATTTGTGACCATGGTGTATACGGAACTTTGACCCTGGCTGCTTCTGCTCATTTAACATCCCATTCTAGGCATTTTCTGAAGTCTTTGACAATTATTTGCAAGCATGTTGTTAATGGCTGTACAATGTTCCATTGAATTGTAGGTAACAACAACACAAGTACAGCTGGCCCTTGAACAACACGGGATTGAACTTTGTGGGCCAGTTTTATACAGATTTTTTTCAATAAATACATTGGAAAATTTTATTGGAAATTTGCAACAATTTGAAAAAACTGACAGATGAAATGCATAACCTAGAAATATTGAAAAAAATTCAGAAAAAGTTAGATATGTCCTGAATGCATTAAATATACGTACATACTAGTCTATTTTACCATTTACAACCATGAAATACATACAAATCTATTATAAGAAGTTAAAATCTATCAAAACTTACACAAACCCAGACTGTATGTGGTGTCATTCTCTGTCAAGAGAAACGCAAATGTAAAGATGCAGTATTGAATCATAATTGCATGAAACTAACTGTAGTCCATTCAGTGCTACTGTAAAATTTCCTGGTCACTGCTCGTTCCTACTGCAGTGAGCCCAAGTGTTTCAAGTGCCCAATTAAAATGCTGTGTGACACCGATCACCTCTGTGGCACCAGCTCATTCCTCCAGTCAGTTGCATAGCCTAGTGAAACGTGATCTCTGGTATTTTTCAACGTGTTTGGTGCAATACTGTAAACCTCGAGTAGCACTGCAGGACCCATACACAATGCCACTGGTGATGCTGGAAGTCTCCCAAGAAGCAGAGAAAAGTTACGGCATTAGAAGAAAAGGCTGAGTTCCTTGATATGTCTTATAGATTTCAGTCTGCAGCTGCAGTTGCCCACCATTTCAAGATAAATGAATCCAGTGTAAGAACTGTTGTTAAAAAAAAAAAAAAAAGCAAGAGAGGGAAAGAAATTTGTGAAACTGTCACTGCAGGTACACCAGCAGGCGGGTGTATTCATCTCATATTTAGAATGCAGCTTTGATATGGTTGCAGGATTGCTACAAGAAAAGCATACATACAGACTCTAATATGATTTGAGAAAAGGTGAAGTCATTATATGACAAAGCAGAAAGAAGGTGAAGGTTCTAAAGCTGGAGAATTTAATGCCAACAAAAGATGATTTGATAGTTTTAGAAAGTGACTTGGGTTGTAAAAATATCTAGATAACAGGAGGAGTAGCTTTAGCTGACCAAGAGGCAGCAGATGAGTTCCCAGATGCCATTAAGAAAATCACCAGAGAGGCCAGGTGTGGTGGCTCATGCCTGTAATCTTAGCACTTTGGGAGCCCAAGGCTGGAGGATCGCTTGAGGCCAGGAGTTCAAGACCAGTCTGGGCAATATAGCAAGACACCCGCCCCCCCCCCCCAACTATCTCTACAAAAAATAAAACATTGTAAAAAGAAAATCATCAAGGAGAAAGGATGTCTGCCTGAACAGGTTTTTAATGCAGATGAAAGTACCCTATTCTGGAAAAAATGCCAAAAAGGAGAGAAGTAAGCCCCAGAATTTAAGGCAGGAAGGGACAGGCTAGGTCTGCTGTTCTGTGCAAATGGAATCAGATTTATGATCAGGACTGCCCTTATCTGTAAAGCTGCTAAGCCCAGGTCTTGAAGGGAAAAGAGAAACACCAGCTGCCAGTCACTTGATTGTACAAGAAGGCCTGGGCAGCAAGAACTCTAGTGTTGTTTCATCAAGGCTTTGTCTCTGAAGTCAGGAAGTACCTGGTTAGTAAGGGACTACCTTTTAAAGTTCTGTTGATATTGGACAATGCTCCTGGCCACCCAGAACCTCTTGAGTTAACACCAATGGTGTTGATGTGGTCTGCTTGACCCCAAACACAGCTTCTCTTTTCAGCCTCTAGATCAGAGAGTTACAAGGACCTTTAAGCCTCATTATGCACAGTATTCAATGGAAAGGATTGGATGCTGTGGAAGAGAACTACAAGAGAGAATATCATGAAAATCCTGCAAGGATTTTACCATTGAAGACACCGTCATTGCTACAGAAAAGGCCATGAAAGCTACCGAGCCTGAAACAAATTCCCGCCAGAGAAAATAGTGTCCAGATGTTGGCCTGACTTCACAGGATTTATAGCAGAGCCAGTCAAGGAAATCATGAAAGAGTTGTGGATATGGCAAAGGTGGGCGATGAAGGGTGGAAGTGTCATGCCTGACTTCACAGGATTTACAACAGAGCCAGTCAAGGAAATCATGAAAGAGACTGTGGATATAGCAAACAAAGGCAGGAGATGAAGGGTGCAAGATACGGATCTTGAGAAATTCAAGAGCTAATAGACTCCACTCCAGAGGAATTAACTACAGACGACCTGATGGAGATGAGTGCTGCCAACCCAGCGCCAGATGATGAGGAAGAATATGTAAAAGAGACAGTGCCAGAAAGCAAATTAACAGACAGTGTGGCAGAAGGGCCCTGATTATTCCAGACTGCATTTGACTTCTTTTATGCCATAGACTCTTCTGCGATATGCACTGAAACTAAAGGAAATGATGGAAGAAGGATTGGCACTGATAGAAACGTTTTTAGAGAAACTAAAAAGTAAAGCAGACAGAAATTATGATGTATTTCATGAAGTTACACTGAATGTGCCTGCCTCTCCTGCCTCCCTTCCACCTCCTCCATGTCTTCCACACCTGAGACAGCAAGACCCGTCCCTTCTCTTCCTTCTCCTCCTCAGCCTGCTCAGTGTGAAGAGGATGGGGATGAAGATCTTTGTGATGGTCGGTCCACTTCCACTCAATGAATAGTAAATTTTCTCTTTCTTATGATTTTCTTTTCTTTTCTTTTTTTTTTTTTTTTTGAGACGGAGTCTTGCTCTGTCGCCCAGGCTGGAGTGCAGTGGTGTGATCTAGGTTCACTGCAACCTCTGCCTTCCAGGTTCAAGCAGTTCAGCCTCTCGAGTAGCTGGGATTACAGGTGCCCACCATCATGCCCAGCTATTTTTTGTATTTTTGGTAGAGATGGGGTTTCACCATGTTGGCCAGGCTGGTCTCGAACTCCTGACCTCAAGTGATCCACCCACCTCGGCCTCCCAAAGTACTGTGATTACAGGTGTGAACCACTGCAGCCAGCCACGATTTTCTTAATAACATTTTCTCTAGCTTTATTTTAAGGATATAGTATATAATACACAAAATGTGTTTTAATCGACTTTTATGTTTATATTATTGATAAGTCTTCTGGTCAACAATAGGCTATGAGTAGTCAGTTTTGGGGGAGTCAGAAGTTATACATGGGCCAGGTACAGTGGCTCACACCAGCAATCCTAGCTCTTTGGGAGGCCAAGGCATGAGGATCACTTGAGTCCAGGAGTGCGAGACCAGCCAGGGCAACGTGGCAAAATCCCATCTCTACTAAAAAAAAAAAAAAAATTAGCTGGACATGGTGGCATGCACCTGTAGTCCCAGCTACGCGGGAGGCTGAGGTTGGGGGATCACCTGAGTTTGGGAGGTTGAGACTGCGGTGAGCCAAGATTGTGCCACTGCACACCAGCCTGGGCGACGCAAGTGAGACTCTGTCTCCAAAAGTTATACATAGATTCTTAACTGCATCTGTAGGGGTTCAGAACCCCCAACCCCCACTTTGTTCAAGGGCCAGCTGTATAGTAATAAAAACTGACAGTCATCCAGTGCTGTGTGTGGATGCCTTTCTAAAGGTAAATGTATTTTATGTACAGTAACTTACCATAATCCGCACAACAGCACTGGGAGGTTGATTCTCTTATTATCCCCATTTTACAGGCGAGGAAACCGAGGTACCCTTGGGGAGGTTAGGTCAGCCATGTGTACGGCAAGCGGTGAAGGCAGAATTATTTACTCAGCTCTTCTGTTCTTGACCATCTGTTTTCAGATTACAAATTACACTACATAAATCTTTGTGTGTAAATCATAGTCCACTTAAAAAATATTTTTCCTACCTGGACTTTAAAGATTTTCAATACATATTGCCATAATGCTTTTCGAAAAGGTCCTACTTCAGATATGCTTCATTTCAGCAAGAATTCTGAGCACTACAAGAGATGCATCCAATGGGAGAAAAAACAGCTGTACACATTTATCACATATTTGAGTGTCCCCTACCTGCCGGGCACTCTTAGGTGCTGACGATTTAACAGTGACAAGAGCCCCTGCCTTTATGGTCATGGGAAGGGGTGGGAGGCAGACACACAGCCAGTGTGTGCAGCAGGTTCGAGGGTGGTGGCAGGTGCTGAGGAGGAGGCTGGGGGTGTTGTGTAGTGGCCGCCGCTGGAGAAGAGAACAGAACAGAGGCTGGGCCAGGGTGGGCTACAGACATCAAGACACCCGGGGGTCTGGGCCTGACAGCACATCTATTCCACGCTGTCAGCCAGCCCTGGGCACTAGAGCCATGTGACCGTGGGGTTAAAGTGCACTCAGATCAGTCAGATCTTGGTCAAGAGTAGCTTGCTTCTCCTGGTACTGAGGACAGAGAAAATGACTCCCTAATGGGAAAAAAGTCATGAGTAGCCCTCAGGAGCCGTCCTAGGACAGGTTATAGTATAGTGGCTCTGTGGGCGTGGCCTCACTTTCCCAGGGTGGTGTGGGAGTGGCCTCTCCCTCTGGGTGTGACTGGGTCACAGAGCCTCATCTGCCAGAGGGCAGAATGTTGTTTTATGAGATGAAAAAATGTTGACTTTTCATCATGGAGAATGTCAGGAATATACAAAAGTAGAGAGAGGAATGTAGGTACTCCATGCAGTCACCCAGCCAGCTGCAAGGATTATTCTTTTCTCTATCACTTACCCTCAAGCAGCTCCCACTGTTATTTTGAAACAAATCTCAGGCATATCATTTCATAGAAATAGAAAATCAAAAATAAGTAGAAAAATATTCCAAAACTATTTTTATGTTTTCTGTTGGCCTCACTCTTTTTTTTTTTTTGAGAACTATCACCCAGGCTGGAGTGGTACAGTGGCGTGATCTCGGCTCACTGCAGCCTCCACCTCCCAGGTTCAAGGGATTCTTGTGCCTCAACCTCCCGGGTAGCTAGGACCACAGGCGCGCACCACCACTACGCCTGACTAATTGTATTTTTAGTAGAGACGGGGTTTTGCCATGTTGGCCAGGCTGATCTGGCTCTGGCCTCAAGTGATCCACCTGCCTCGGCCTCCCAAAGTGCTGGGATTATAGGCATGAGCCACCACACGCAGCCCCCCTTTTATTTTTTTGGAGACAGGGTCTCAATCTGTTGCCCAGGCTGGAGTACACTGATGTGATCACGGCTCACTGTGGCCTCAACCTTCTGGACTGAGTGATCTTCCCACCTCAGCCTCCGAGTAGCTGGGGCCGCAGGTGCACACCACCATGCCTGACTAATTTTGTGTTTGTTTTTTGTTGAAACAGGGTCTTCCTATGTTGCCCAGGCTGGTCTCAAACTCTGGGGCTCAAGTGATCCTCCCACCTCGGCCTCCCACAGGGCTGGGATGACAATGAGCCGCTGCGCCGGGCCAGGGTGCTTACTCTTTGCTTGTACATTTACTCTTTGCTTTGTTTTACAGTGATTGGCAGTTGCTTGTCCACTCATACATTACATTAGGAAATGTTTTCAAAACCTCAGGTTTGAGGAATGTTGGTAATCTAGCCAGTGCACTCGGGAGGCTCTGCAAATATGTGTGTAGACTATAGACTCTCACACATGTCCCAGAATCGGGCTCTAAACTTGGCTATGAAGTTAATGATCAAAGCTAAAGCAGTAGTGGTGTGGTTGATTTCAAAATTCCATGTGTCCCCAGGTGAAAAAGCACCTTTGGGTAGGAAATTCAAGCAGCAGTGAGTAGGCCATCTGTGTAAGCCCAGACCCTAGGGAAGAGCTGGCTGCTGAGGGTGCCCCTTGGAGAACGGGCGGAGGCTCTAGTTCTTTAGCTGAGGTTTCCCAGCAGCCTGCATCAGACTTTTCTGTAGGGTCATCTGACCTGGGGAAGACCCTACCCCGAGCACTTAGTCAGGAAAGGCCTGCTGTTGAGAGTTCTGTATTCTAATCAAGTGTGTAGGTTTTTTCCTTGTTACCTCCCAACCTTCAGTCTCGGTGCTAAAATAGCCATGTTTATTCTAGTGTTAAATAAATGCCAGGAGTTCTGTCATGCTTTCTGCCTTGGAGGAGCATGGCCAGAATGAGGGTGGTTCCGTTGACGTGCACATGGTGTTTGTGGATTTTCTAGTGAATGATTTCCTTCCAGCTGCAGTTGAGTGGTTTCCACGAACAGGTACAATCTAGAAAGTCAAAGGCCAGGCGTAGAATATAACTTTTTTTCTTTCTTTCAAAAACCTCATTTGATTGCAAGCAAGAGAGTGTTAAAAAACTAAAAACAAAACACCTGTTTATAACAACAGCCTGGTGGTGATCACAAATTGTCTTAATTGTGTGAACCTGTATATGAAACAGGAATATTGGAATTTGCTGTGTTCAAAATGCCAGTGAAAAGTTCATAAAAGCCGGGTGTGGTGGCTCACGCCTGTAATCCCAGCACTTTGGGAGGCCGAGGTGGGCACATCACCTGAGGTCGGGAGTTCAAGACCAGCCTGACCAACATGGAGAAACCCCCGTCTCTACTAAAAATACAAAATTAGCCAGGTGAGATGGCGCATGCCTGTAATCCTAGCTACTCGGGAGGCTGAGGCAGGAGAATCTCTTGAACCAGGGAGGCTGAGGTTGCAGTGAGCCGAGATCGCACCACTGCACGCCAGCCTAGGCAACAAGAGCGATACTCCGTCTCAAAGAAAAACAACGGCTGGGCGTGGTGGCTCATGCCTGTAATCCCAGCACTTTGGGAGGCCAAAGCAGGTAGATCACGAGGTCACGAGATCGAGACCAGCCTGACTAACATGGTGAAACCCCATCTCTACTAAAAATACAAAAATTAGCTGGGTGTGGTGGCGGGTGCCTGTAATCCCAGCTACTCAGGAGGCTGAGGCAGTAGAATTGCTTGAACCTGGGAAGCGGAGGTTGCAGTGAGCCGAGATCGCGCCACTGCACTCCAGCCTGGTGACGGAGCAAGACTCCGTCTCAAAAACAACAACAACAAAACAAAACAAAACAAAAAAACTTCATAAAACAGGTGGGGCTTTGATATCTAGTGCTGTTGGCAAGATAATATAAAATATGATTATGGTCTTTACTAAATGTCAGTTATGCTTTAATTTATTCACGCCATTTAAAGAGACAGATGGGCAAACTTAAATCTAGAATGAGTGGGAATCAAGAATAAATAGTCCCAAAGGTTTGATATTTCTGTAGATCATACGTATACCCTTGAACAATACTATTTTCAGTATTTTAACATCTATGTAAGTAGAAGCACATATGCTTATTGAAGAACCAGAGAGAGACAGAATTTCAGTTTTAGTTTTTTACTTACCATGTCTGTAAAACATTCTTGTGTTATAGTTTTGCTGTTAGAAAGAATAGCCTTGAAGAGTGAGTGTTCTCAGAATGTCTTCCCCATTATGATCAGGGAATAACTTCTGTTCACTTATCTTGGGGACTCATCCTACCACTGGAAAATTAAGAAGATTTTCAATGGTTGTGTGGTCTCTCTTCCCCCTCTCTCTTTCCAGTTTTTACTGACAGAATTGCTATTGAAACTGTTGATTTCAGTAATTAGTGATGGCCTGCTGATTATCAGAAAGGGTAGGGTGCCTATTTAAAGTTCTTAAATCATAAAAGCAAGCTGTCCTCAGCTTAACTGCAGAATTTGTCAGAATGGTTAGAGTGCCTATTCAGGGGGATCTTAATCACTTTCTGACAGTTTACAAAAGGTAATAGTCTAATGGTAAAGAATTTCGTGTATTTACATATGTAAATTCTCTGTCTATTCATAGACTTGGTTTCCTAGATTGAAAGGCCTGTGAGGTTAGACCCCTGTGTTGTATTACGCCCTTAAATCACCTTCAGACCTCTCTGCCTTCCATTCACTTCCTCCGAAGCCATTGCTTGCTCCCATGCTCTGCCAGAGGTGAAACCGTTCCGTGGCCGTCTCTCCTGGAGCTCCTTCTTATGCCTGTGGAAAAATCAGCTTTTAAATGATCCAAAGGCGATTAGCACTCAGAAAAGTGCTGTTAGTTTCTCCGGTGATTTCCCTAAAAGTTGCCAGCATTTCTTGCCCTCTAGGCAGACCTAGGGAGGATACATTGACTTCCCCGCTCTTCCCCGCTCTTGGTCATGCAGCAGGTGAACTGCGGCTCTGCGCTGTGTGACTCCAGAGCCTGTACCCTCCCGCCATGTCCTGCCCACGCAGTAGCTCTACAATGATTCACAAAACATTTCGTCTTGTTTTGTTATTCCTTTAGGAAGATGCAATCACACCCAATGATAAGACCCTTTTCCCTGATGTTGATTGGTTAATCGGTAACCATTCTGATGAACTCACACCATGGATACCTGTCATTGCAGCCAGGTGAGAAGTAGAGGAGTTATCAGGTGAATGGCTGGGGAATGCTTCATCTTCTAAACAGTGGTGTCCAAAAGGGTAGCCACTAGCTGCGTGCAGTTGTCAAGCACTTGAAATGTGGGTAGTTCCAATTGTTGAAATGTTTGCTTATTGCCTGTATTGGGTTAAATTTAAAATAAATTCCACCTGTTTTATTTTACCTTTTAAAATATGACTACTGGAAAATATAAAATTACTGAGATTGTTCACATTATATCTCTGTTGGCCAGCACTGATTGGCACTGTGATTACTTCTACGGTATTTATATCCGGTGTCAAAAGAGGTGTCCTTTTTGGAAGTTTTTTTCTGAAAACATGAGGCTTTGCCTTTAAAGGGGAAATCTACCCATCGATAGACCCTCTGCAGCCACAGTTGCCTCCGCACGGGGAGCTGTGTGTGTCCGAGAGACTTGGTCACGAAGCAGGTTGTGCTGCTCCTCGTTGACGTTTCGTTGCTGAGTCTCCTTATCTCAGATTCTTCTGAGCTGTTTTCATTCTCAAGGAGTAACTAGGTGAAAGATCAGGTCTTCGCTCAGGCTTCGTTGTGCTTCCCTTTAACCGTTCCTATTAAAAGCTGACGTCTTAAAGTACTTCAAGAAGTTTCAGATGACCCTTGATAACAGGAACTGTGGAAAAAATCATTTTTATAAAAGTAATTAGATTCTATTGAAAAGATATACTATGTTGCTTTATTTCTAGAAATTAACTTGGGGAAGGCTGTAATTCATCTTTTAATATGAAAAACAATATTACACAGCCACAAAGAAAAGGAAATCATGTCCTTTGCAGCAACATGGGGTGCAGCTGGAGGCCATTATCCTCAGTAAACTATTGCAGAAACCAAAAACGAAATGCCGCATGTTCTCACTGATAAGTGGGAGCTAAACATTGAGTACACAGGGACATCAAGATGGCAGCAGTAGACACTGGGGACTGCTGGAGTGGGGAGTGAGGGAGAGGGCAGAGTTTGAAAAACCCCCTGGTAGTTACTATGCTCACTGCTTGGGTCATGGGGTCTGTCTTACCCCAAACCTCAGCATCTTGCAGTACACCCATGCCACAAACCTGCACACATACCCCCTGAAGCTGAAATAAAAGTGGACATTATATGCAACAAAAAGAAACAATATTGGCCAGGAACATCACTTCCCTATTTTGCCCTGATATGCGATTGCCGTGTGGCTTTGTTCCGAATTTCCTTGACTGCGTCTGCTCAGGATGCTTGACCCTGTGGTTGTTGGTTCTTTTTGAAGGTCTTCCTACAATTGCCGCTTCTTTGTCCTCCCCTGCTGCTTCTTTGACTTCATTGGAAGATACTCCCGGAGGCAGAGTAAGAAGACTCAGTACCGGGAATACCTTGACTTCATTAAAGAAGTGGGCTTCACCTGTGGGTTTCACGTGGACGAAGACTGCCTCAGGATTCCTTCAACCAAAAGAGTATGTCTGATTCTCATGTTGTTCTAGGCGGTGTGTCGGTGTTCAGATGGAGAGCTCAGGGCTCTGCCACAGAGCCATGAACCATGCTGTAACGTTCAAAATGTTCTAGAACGTGCCGGTGCTGATTTCTGTGCCTCTGTCACTGATGAGGCCCAGAGGCTTGTTCTGTCCCATGGTGCCCTCCTTAAAGGCACCCGGTGCTCCCTCCTCCAGGCCTGCAGGAGTCCTCGCCAAGCCCTCCTTGCCTCTCCAGAAGCTCTGAGTGGCCCCAGGGGACCTGCCCAGAGGAGGCCTCAGTGTGGCCTGTGGCTGACCTCCCTGTGGAAAGTTCCTGCTCCTTCAAGTCGCAGATAATTGGCTGCGATTGAAGTGTGTTTCAGAAGTTCACAGTGATTTCCCATTTTCTCATTAAAGGCCTAGTTCATTCAGATTCACCTGAAATGTCATTTGGGCAGAAGTTGGCCCGGGGGCTTTCTGTAAGCAGTGGGACTGTGCCTCTGACCTTTGTGTGGACAGGGCAGACTTATGCCCTCTTGCCGCTCCAAAGGCTTGACCTTTTGAAAGTACCGTGGAAGTGTTTACAGCAGCTCACCTATGTCTCTGGTAACTTTATTTGACAAGACTGTGGCTGGCAGACAGTGTGCTTTTAAAAAATAACCCCGTCGTGTCCAGGCCACAGAATTTGATGGCTGCCTTAGCAAGAAAGGGCCCAGCTGATCTGAGTGAAGCCTCGGCTCTGCTGCTGCCCGTGGTGCACTCGGGCTGATCGCGGAGCTCCGCTAAGCCTGTCCTCACCTGTGAGACCAGGAGGAGGCTGCCCGGGTCTCTGTGGGGGCTGGACAGGATGATGTCTTCAGAGCCCACAGCGGGGAGGGCATGTTGTGGGCACTCGCTGGCCGGCTGCCGTCATAGCCGTGCACCAGGAGCAGCGTTGGCTTGTGGCACAGGCCTCAGGGCCGCTGGCGCTGTCACTGCCCTGCTACCGTGGGAAGTTACCTTAGGACTCGCTGCTGAACCGTCCCGTCATCCTCTGTGTCCTCTGTTTTTGGCAAGTCTTGGTCTTCTGAGTTCAGAATTGATTTGGGGAAACTGCTAAAGTTTGGGTCCTCTAGGCGGGTCCGAGGAGCCCGTGGCTTTGATTTTTGCACTTGCTTCTCCATTACTAATTGGTAGAGACCGTGGACTGTCGCTTCATCTCTCTGAGCTTCAGTTTTCTTATCACTGGCAGGTTTGGGGATCGAATGTAAGAGTGGATGTGAACGTGCTTTGTCATTTTTAAAGCAGTTCACACACAGCACATGTCTGGTGGGGACTGGGTGTGTGACAGGCACTGAGAATTTAAAATCCCGCTGGAAGAGCTGGGGAGCAGAGGTGTGGCTGTCACGTAGTGAGGAGGTCGGCTTCCTTATCACCCGCGCCTGGCCTTGTAGTTGATGCCTGGAGAGGAAGCCCAGAAATGAGGTGCCCTTGCTGGGGCTGGGCAGGGCCTGGTTGTCCGGAGGGGACTGTCTGAAGGGCACCCTCCATCGGGGTGTGCGGCAAAGGGAGGCAAGCACGCATGGAGCACCTCTATGGCTCCAGGCCCTCTGCGCAGCCCCCGTATGCACTCGCTGGCTCTGGCAAGGTGGGGACAAAGCTGCCTCCCTTCCCAGCCCCTGGGGCACTCTGCAACTCTGCAGCGTTACCATCAGCATGTGCCCCCGCCGGGCGGCCGAGGGGTGGAATGAGGGGCGGCAGCGGGAAACTAGGACGGTGCGGCTGCCGGGCCCAGGAGTGTGGACTCTTGAGTTTAGGCGCCTTTGTTAGATCTTGTGAAGGTCCAAGATCTAACAATGATGAGAGGGAACCATGGGCTCTTACTGTTTTTTTAATTTTTAAGTTACTTATATTGGTGTCAGTTTTTATTTTGTATTTATTTTTATTGATTTATTTATTTTGAGATGGAGTTTTTGCTCTTGTCACCCAGGCTGGAGTGCATTGGCACAATCTTGGCTCACTGGCCTCTGCCTCCTGGGTTCAAATGATCCTCCTGCCTCAGCCTCCTGAGTAGCTGGGACTACAGGTGAGGGCCACCACGCCCGGCTAATTTTTGTATTTGTAGTAGAGACGGGATTTTGCCATGTTGGCCAGGCTGGTCTGAAACTCAAGTGATCCGCCTGCCTTGGGCTCCCAAAATGCTAGGATGATAGGAGTGAGCCACCGTACCTGGCTGGTGTCAGTTTTTTAAATCAGGATTTTTTCATGATAGACATTGAAAACTTGTGATTTGTACTCCAGGATGAGAGAATTCCATGGAGAACGTTGAAATAGACTAGCCAGCTAAAATACTTGCTTTGCTTTCTTCAAACGCAGGTCTGTCTCGTTGGAAAATCCAGAACATACCCTTCCTCCAGAGAAGCTTCCGTGGATGAAAAGAGGACTCAGTACATTAAGAGCAGGCGGGGCTGCCCTGTAAGCCCACCTGGCTGGGAGCTTTCCCCTTCTCCACGCTGGGTTGCTGCTGGCAGTGCTGGTCACTGTGACGGTCAGCAAGCTCTGGACGCCAGGGTCGGGTGTGTAACCAGGGCCTGGGCCGCTGAGCATGGAGCAGGGCCCCAGGCTGAAGGACCCTGGCTACCTGGATTTCATCCCAGAGAAAAGGCTGAGCGTGTGAGGAACTGTGCCGCCCTGCCACGAGATTTTATTGACCAAGTGGTTTTGCAAGTAGCGAATTTACTGTTAGGTGGAAAGCAATTAAACACAAGAAGTTCTCGAAATGGGAGTTTGAAGACCTGGAATGGGGGAGGTAAGCTGTCCACCATCTTAGGGAGGGGCTAGCACGCTCCCAGGCTTGAGGGCAGGAATTCACGTCTTCAGAACCGACATGAAATGGTGTGGCCCTGTGACTACACACTTTGAAAAAGCCATTGATGGTGGGTGCATAGGCTCTCTTCAAGCAAATTCTTTAAAATTTTCCAAATAGCTCTTATAAACATAAAGGACTTTGTTATTTCCAGGGAGTGACAGAGTTTGGACCCTTAATTAACTTTTACCAAACATGCAGGTTTAGGGGCTAGAACTACTCATTTTCAATCTAGAAATTATCCAAAGAGAAAACAGGTTACTGAGTGCAAGCAAAATGCACTGTCCCCTTGAGTATGTGGTAAGATTTGGAGCTGTTGTGATTCGATAATTTAATTCTCTTTGAAATCCCCAAAACACAACAATCATCCATGGCAAAAGGAGAAAATTACATCGATTGTTCTCATGGGGTGAGTGGTGTGCTGAAATTATGTTCTCAGGTGAGTGGTGTGTTGAAATTAACGGCATTCAGAGAGCCAGCCAGGGCTGTAAGGACCTCGCCTCCTTCCGGGCAGGGATGCTGCTTGGCCGCCAGAGGGTGGTGTAGAGCTGCAGCCAACGCCTGGCTTCTCTTGCAGTTTTGGGAACTGGAGAAGAGCACGGAGCCCCATCCCCTCCCGGCCCCTCCGTCGGTGACTTCTGCCTGGCTGCGCATTTGAGGGAAACCCTTCTTCTCCAGGCTTTGCTTTCCTCACCTATGAATGTTGGGACAAAATCATACCCGTTTCCTTCTTCATCCTTTGTCCTCTTGTACCATGTGTACGTGGGATGGGACCGGGCCATGGAGCATAGACGGCCCCTCCAGAAATCATTCGAACCTGATGGTACCTGGTCAGCAGAGCCTCTAGCCATCTGGCGAGAGTGGCCCTGGCTCAGTGGCTGATGGGGCCGACTAGCTGCAAACCACCAGGCACCGTGGGGCCTCTGGGTTGGCCCTGCTGACTAAAGGCACCCTGCTGTGGTGGGGCTGGAGCACAGAGGAAGAAGGCTGAGGCTGGCAGAGCATGGAGCCCACCACAGGCAACTGGGACCCAGAGCCCCAGGGACATCAGTGTGGTCTGAAAGTTCCCACGTGCAGTAAACAGTGACAGTTCTTGAGTGCAGTTTGACCTTTAAATTCCCAGGAGATGACGGGCACACAGATGTCAGCTGTGCCTGGGATGGACGGCTTTCGGTGGGTGAGGAGGAAGGAGGAACAGACCTGGAGATGGAGAGCGGGGATGGGTGAGCGGTGGGCTCAGTCCTGCCTGCGCCTTGGAACTTGGGAATCAGGGCACCTAACAGGCTCTGGACCCCCGTCCCCTCCAGATGGGTGTCCGTGGGTCTGGGGCTTGTTAGGGACTCTCCACGTGGCCTTGGCCTCTCAGCCCACTGCCTCCCTCCCGCCCACAGGCGGCCTTCAGGGCCTTTGGTCGCCCCCACCCAGCCTGTCCTCAGGCAGGCACCTCTGCGTTTCTGTGCCTGTGGGCCATGTGTGGCTCTGTCTCCAGGACCTCACCCATCCTAGCTCGGCGTCTGTCCCTGTGGGACACTGCTGAGAAATAGGGTAGGAAAGGGCCCTGCCCTCAAGAGGCTCCAAGTCCTGCCTGGCTAGGAGTCAAGACCGCACACGTCAAAGGATGAGAAACCAAGAGGCCGGATATGCCAGGCCAGGAGGCACCCATGGCTGAGTGTGAGATTCCCTGTTATGGAGTCCATGCTGGGCCAGAGCCGGGGCAACAGGGAAGGCTGACTGGGACAATATGTGATCTTTTTTAAAACACTCCCGCTCCTCTCAGAATGGATTTGAGACAGCCGAGAGGTGGACTCAGAAGGTTGGCCAGGCTGGGTGGGCAGGATTCTCGCAGCAGCTGCGACAGCGGCTGCCAGCACCAGGCTCCTGGGTCAGGAGTGTGGTGTCCTGATCCGTAGGGGTCTGACAGGCTCAGCTGCATACAGACAGGCGCCGTCTCCTCCGCTCTCCTGCAGCTTGGGAGGGTGTGGATAAGATGTGAGGTGCAGCACCTGGCAGATAGGAAGTTCCTGGCAAATACATGCAGGAAAACCAGCTTTCATTCATATCCAATTTGATGTTTTGGTAATAAATGACTTTAATGTCACCAGGTTTTCTGATTAGAGCATTTTGAAATACCTGCAGGCTCTCAAAGCAGAAATTCGAATGGGAAAGAGACCATCACTGTGGTGTCTGTGCTGTTCCTTTTTTTAGTGCCTAGCATGGCCTTGCTGGCCACCCTAGAGCCGGTAGCGCCAGGCTGGCTGCCCCATGGTTGGAGCAGCCACTGGGAAGGCTCAGGCCCCAGGCTTGCCAGCTTGGCCTTCCTTCTTTAGTCTGAGAAACCCTGGCTCCAAACAGCCACCCCCCTTCATGGGTCACCAGTGAGAAGAGCTTGAGGTGACCACCCAGAGCAGGCAGCATCACCTGACGCCTGGCCCTGTGCGGGCATGGGGCATGTGTGGGGCTGCGTCTTGTCAGGCTGTGCCACCTTAGCTGGGTGGGGACGCCACGGCCCTCACGGTTTGGTGCGGTGTGGTGTGGGTTAGGTGAGATGGAATCGTCCTTCGTGCTGGAGTGCATAACGCGTGTGAGTGTATGGAACTGAAATGGACTGTTTCTGCCTGTGTGACAGGTTCGTAATATTTTGCTGTTGTTTTGGGGAAAAAAAAAACCCGTTTTTCCACAGAGAGCCTATCTCTGGCAGAAGTAGCCAACGAGCTGGACACGGAGACCCTGCGGAGGCTGAAGCGGGAGTGTGGGGGCCTGCAGACGCTGCTCCGGAACAGCCACCAGGTGTTCCAAGGTACGGAGTCCGCCTCTCCCCCGCCGTTCTTTCCTTCTTTTTCCCCCTTTTTTCAGTTAAATAATGTTTTATTTTAGAGTGGTTTAGACTCACTGAAGAATCTGACAGAAGCAGCAAGTTCCGCGGTGCCCCACCCAGCTCTGACGTGGGTGGCATTTGACCTCAGGGTGGGACGTGGGTCACCCCGTTCCCTCCTTGCTCCTCTGGACCTCGTCCCATGCGATGTCCCCAGGCTGGTCTCTCTCCCCCTATGCTGTGCTTGCTGACGCCTCAGCTCCACTTGCTCCACGCAGGACAGAGCAAGTCGGGTAGCCGCTGGCCGGTCCCCTGTTGGCTGGGGGTCATTGTTTGGCGTCATCTTTAGCTGCTGCAAACTGAAAGCATCCTGAGCCACAGAGCCAGGGTGGGGAGTGGGAAGAGTGAGCCCTGCCCCACAGGCGGAGGCCTGGACTCCTGTGGCCCTCGCCCCACGGGCCTGGGCAGGCGGAGGTCCTGGTACCCAGTTCCCCTGCTCCCCAACGCCCTGTGACTCCAGGACTGCCAGGGTATGGGGAGGCAGGAGGGCCCTCCACCCGCTTGTCCATTCACTCAGCCCGCAAAGCAAGGCAGACACATCCCTGGCCTTCTGGAGCCGGTGGTGCAGTGAGGGAGGGGGGAGATGTAGCAGGTGCTCACCCAGGTGCCAGTGGTGTACACACTTCCATCATCTGCAGCTTCCAGGTGTGCACAGAGGGGGCAGGAACAGGGCAGGGAGCCATGGTTTACCAGCGCCAGCGGCTGGGGAGTTTGCCATAACTTGCTTTGTGGCGCTTTTTTTTTTTTTTTCCTCTTTCTGTAAGTATTTTAAAGCAAATTCTAGCTAGCATGCTATTTCACCCCTAAGTACTTCCACGTGCATCTTTAAGAATAGTAGGTGTCTTCTTGTGTCACCACCATGCCCTAAGCACACATTTCTGTGAGTTGTGATGTGCAGGGAGAACTGGCCTGGCCCGAGTGGGCTCAGGAGGGCTTTACTTAGGAAATGACACTTGAGCTGGGCCTGGAAGGAAAAGAGGAGTCAGGAACAGAGAACAGCTTTAGGCAGAGCGAACAGCATTTGCAAAGAGCCAGGGTTGGGAGGAGTAAGAGTGGGAGCTGGTCGGGTTACAGCCGCCATGACCAGGAAAAGGACTGGGCCTCTGATGGGTAGGGATGACACCGAAGTCACAGTGGGAAGGAGTGGCCTGGCTTACACCCTAGCTTCTGGGTCCCCTGCCCATGAAGTAGCCGTGGGGATCAGGTGCAGTACAGTGTCTGGCTCTCTGGGTGTGTGAGAGAGCACAGGTGTGTGTGCCATTCCTCATGTGTACACAAGAGTGCAAGCGTGTGGGTTTGTGCACACACACACACTGCCTTTGTGTGCCTGCCTGCTCCTGGAGAGCTGAACTTGGCTTTCAGCTGAACTGGCCTCTCTAGGTGAGAGCTGCTGTTGGGTGGGGGGCCGGTGAGCATGGTTGGAGCCTGTGTTTCTCGGGGCAGGCGCAGAAGCGTGTCCCTGAGGCTGCCCCCAGAGTAGACACTGGGCCTGCAGTGCTGGCTGGGCTGGGCCTGCTGGCTGGGCTGGGCCTGCTGCCTGGAGTCTGCTCTTCCTTGCATAGAGCTTTAGGCAGTTAGAATACTTCCCACCTCCACGGGGCCTCTTTCTGTCTTTCCCAACACTTGTTTTTGTTGGTTTCCTGAAATACTGTCTTTTTCACCCATGATGAGTCTGCTTGTATGTCAGTGTTTTTCTGTGCAGGTCACCCTGGGGGGGCAAACTTGTTTTTGGAAACGCTTCTGAGTAGGAGGCCTGGGAATTGGGTTCCAAATAAACATTCTCCTCCAGTCATGCGAAAACTATGCTCTGAAGCTGGGTCTTATCTCTGTATGAGGTTTAGGTTTTGTTTTAAGCTAACGTGGCTAGTCTCAGAAAATGTTTATGAGAGTGAGGAATTGGAAATGTTTCCAGATGGCTTCAGGTCAGCCAGCCCTGAGCATGACCCATGAGGGCCACAAGGGCCAGCCCTGCCTCTGTCCCTGCCCCTTCCTGAGGCCGCCAAGGGGCGGCGCGCTGCATCCATGCTGGCTGGTATGGAGCCTGGCACCGTGCTGCCGGGTACACGCGGGGCCTCATCTCATCCTGCACTCATGGCAGAGCAGGCCTTTCCTCCTTGAACATGTAGACAAGTCTCAGAGAGGTCAGTGCGCCGGCCCGATGTCTCCCAGTGAGTGGAGAGGCCACGCCACAGTCCGGGCCAGGTCTGACCCAGCACTGGCACCCCTGAGCCTATGGCATCATCCGAGGACTGTAATCCTCAACCCGTTCCTCAGAGCAACTTGGTGAAAGGGAGTGTCTGTCTGCTGTCAGAAGCAGTGGTGGAGATGGCGGCTCCTGTGCTGAGGTAGAGTCCCAGGGGATGCGCACGGTAAGGAGGGAGGAGGCGGCAGGAACTTGGGTGGAGCAGACTGTGGCTCTGTGGTTCCATTTCAAAATGAGGAGCACATTTCCAGAGGAGGAGAGTCTTTCTAGCTGTTGGTTGTCTTTCTAGCTGGCTAGAGCAAGTGCCTCTGGAAGGCCGCCCCTTCTGGCACCTGGCCAGATGGGGGCTCAGGTGTTAAGAGGGGCGGCCGGGAGCTACCTGCCATGTCCAGGGTTGTAGACACGGGGAGTGGGTCAGTGAGGCTGGGCCAGCCTGGAGCCTGCCTGCGCCGTTCGGGAGCCTCATCTCTATCATCAGCGCCCGCTCCTCAGTCCTTAGACACCCTGCAGGTCCTGCTTCCAAAACATGGTTGGGTGTGCTCTTAACTCCGGAGCCGCGTGGGAGGGCCTGCCGCCAGCTGGCCTGTCACGTTGTGGTGGGGAAGGGGGTGCCGAGGCTGGCTCTGAGGGGAATCTGTACTCAGCCTTTGGCCTCAGTGATCCCCCACCCCCCATTCTCTTGACAGGTCAGGGCATCAGGCCAGAGGCCCCTCACTGTTTGGGATCATGGGGAGTTGGGGGGAAGCTCTGGCCCCTGGGGCTCCTCCTGAGCACCCTTTAGAGGGTTCCAGGTCCCTCAGTGGCCAGGATGTGCCCTTCTGTGCTGCGCCAGGAGGTGCTGCTGTGGGGACATGGGCAGAGTGTCGCGGGACTGCCTTAACAGGAGACTTCAGGTTAAGAAACCTCAGCTCCAATGTTGGGAGGCGAGACAGAGAGGCAGCCGTGGGAGGGCAAACAGGGTCAGGCCTGGCCTTGGCGGTGCTTCCAGCCAGGCTGTGAGGGTGAGCCCCCAACTGTGGCGCCGTTCTCTGGGCTCATTTCTCTAGTTTCAGGGGAAACTGTAAAACATCAGTCTGTCAAAAGCACACAGGCTCGTTATTGCCACACACAAGGTGATTTGAAGGCAGAATTCGAGCTTTAATTCCTACACTTTCAAGTTCTCTTTGGAAGTCGGTGAGCCAGACTTCCTCACTGAGGCTCCTTTATTCCCCCGAGCCTTCTGTCGTGAGCGGTTTCCTAGCTTCCAGCGAGAACCAGGAAGGAGGTGGTTGCTTTGGCCATGTTTCACGGGGAGTTGTTGGATTCCCACAAGGAAACGGCCAAATGGGAGCGTAGGGGGGTATCTCGGCCCAATTTGGGCGGCGGGGTCAGGAGGCAGCCTAGAGGAGGCCTGCGAGGCCTGGGACCCAGGTGACGAGCGGGCCCACAGCAGCCCTCTCCTGGCCCCACCCCACTCTGATGTCCCTCCAGCTCCCCAGTTTGGAGATCAGCCCTGGCCATTGGGTCCCAGTGGCACTTTCAGAGGGGGTATCTAAACTACTGCACATAGGCAGGTCCCCCTTCGTGTTCCTGTTCCAGAGCTCATTGGCCTCTGTTACTCCACACTTGCACCTGGAGGGGCTCCGGTTGGGAGGCGCATGTAAACCCAGTGCACCGGGACGGCACCAAGGAGCAGAGGCTGCCCTGCACCAGCCCCGTCCTTAGACTGCGTGGAGGGACCTGCGCCTTGCCCCTCTTTCTGCCCGTAATGCTGACACAGTCCTCAGAGGTCGGGGCTGCAGCACAGATGTTTTCTCGTGTTTCGGCTCTCACACCGTGGTCCCTCCTTCCTCCACTCAAGTGATCCTTCTAAAATGGTGGCTCTGCAGGACCTGCCTCTCAGCCAGAGGGAAGGTCGGTGGCCTCAATGATGAGGCCACAAGGGACCCAGCTCTGTCCTCTGCCCTCCCCTCTGGCTGTCCCTCGAATGTGGCCAGTCCTGGTGCAGTCTGTCCTGGGACACTCGGGTTTGCTGCTGCTTTGCCTAAAATGCTCTTCCTGGGTCTGCGCAGGGCTGCCGCTCACTTCCCGCAGGGCTCACCTTCCCCGGCCTTGCCTGAAGACACATCCCATACCTCAGTCACTCCCACTGGAGGCAGACTCACTGTGACCAGCAGGAACTCTAGGCTGTGTTCCGGTTGTATCCCTGACCCTGGATTGGCACCTCCCGTGGCGTGGGAGCTAAAGAGAGGCTGGTGAATTAAGGAACTTTCAGGTTTACTTCTCAGTGTGTCTTCTCTGTTCCAAACCACAGTTGTGAATGGGAGAGTTCACATCCGCGACTGGCGAGAGGAGACACTGTGGAAGACAAAGCAACCGGAAGCGAAACAGAGACTGCTCTCTGAAGCCTGCAAAACCCGCCTCTGCTGGTTCTTCATGCATCACCCTGATGGCTGCGCTCTGTCCACGGACTGCTGCCCGTTTGCCCATGGGCCTGCGGAGCTGCGGCCACCCCGGACCACCCCGAGGAAGAAGATTTCATGAGCTGCATCCTTGCCAGCCGAGGCCTGGTTGGGGAGGCCAAACCAAGGAGAGCTTCCCCAGCAGTCGTCAGTGCTGTGGTCTCTGCTCTGGCTGTGTTTCAGCCCACCTCCTCCCAGCTTTCTCCACATCCTCACAGTGATGAACCGTATTTCATAAACATCACACGCCAGAGAAGCCACAGTTACTCGGAAGCCCCCAGCTGACTGCCTGGCTTGTTTCAGATGCAGCCGCTTGAAACGTGCGCAGCATCTTCATATCATAAAGATTGTGCACGGATCCTTACAATGTCTCCTGGGGGAGAGCGGCTGAGGCTGCCTTGCACAGGCCCTTCCCAGGGCGCTGTCCGACGCCTGCCCCACCATGTCCACATCTGTGAAGAGGATGGGGCTCCTCGAGAAGTAAGACCGTATCTGCCAGCGTTTCTCACCACACTGGAGAGCAGCTGCTCTGGAGCAGGGATCCACCAGATTGGTATTTTTAAAAAAGGTGTCAGGCTTGCTATGTTGAGGTTGTTTTTAGAGTTACAGAGAATAAAAACACTCATAATTTCCTGACATGGGCCACTCTAAGTGGCATGAAAAAAAAATCCTAAGTGAATTGTTGACAGGGCTTTAAAAATGTAAATATCACAGATGACAAAGGTAAGACCTACACCTTCCTCCCTCCTCCATGAGACCCTCTCCCCAGAAATACTGCAGCAGTCCTTTTTAGTCCTTCCAGAAAAAAAAATCCTGATTTGTTTCTCTTTTATTTTTATGAAGTGATAGGGTCTTGATCTCTCGCCCAGGCTGGAGTGCAGTGGCAAGATCATAGCTCACTGCAGCTTTGAACTCCTGGGCTCAAGCCATCCTTCTGCCTCAGCCTGTCAAGTGACTGGGACTGTAGATGCACGCCACCATGCCTGGCCAACTTTTAAAATTTTAGAGGCGGGGTCTCGCTATGTTGCCCAGGCTGGCCTTGAACTCTTGGGTTCATGCAGTCCTCCCACCTCAGCCTCCCAAAGTGCTGGCATGACAGCTGCGAGCCATGGCGTCTGACCCCCGATGTTTCTATTTAAAGTTATTTCTATGGTTTTATACAAAAGGTCACATGCAGTCCACACTGTTCTGCCGTTGACTTTCTGCAGTGTACCCTGGTGCCTCTCCATTGGGTATATCTGCCTGATTATTGGCAGCAGCCGTGTGGCATTCCGTGGCAGCGCCGCACTCATCACACCTGAGCAGTGAGAATAAATGGGCATCTTCTCTGAAGGCACCTCAGCTCTGCAGCACCACGGGGCGGCGCTGCCACGGGCCCAGACCCTGCCCTCTGAGTTCCAAGTCAGTCCCAGAGCGCAGATCCCAGGCTGAGGATGTGCCAGGAGGTGCCTGGCCCTGGAAGTGTCCACCCTTCATCTTACTGGGAGACTGGCGCTCCGTGGCCCTTTGGGGCAGGCCCCAGTTTGTCGAGCAGCTGCAGCTCTGACTAGTGAGGCACAAGGGAGCTCTGCTGAGGCCTCTGGGGTCCCCACGCTGGGAAGTTCTCCCTGCAGGGGACACCTGGTGTAGAAGCCCCGAGGGAGCAGCCAGGAGCCCAGCACTGAGGGTGGTGGAGCAGGTAGATGGAAAGAACTCTCTTCCCAAAGACAAGCCGCAGAGCCGCATCCCTTCCCCAGCCCCTGTGTTAGGCCGTGAGGCATCTTCCTGCCAGGCTGCACCAGGGCTTTCAGGTTTTGTTGCTCAGCACATCCAGGGTCATGCACTTCAGGACAAGCCACCTGATGCCCCTCGGCCCCCCAGTCCTGCAGCCTCGCTGGAGCTCTCCCTGCAGCAGGAAGGGCTGAGGCCAACCACAAAGGGGCTTGGGGCGACATCAAGGGATGGCAGAGCGAGAGGGAAGTGCAGGGAGCCTGGCCCAGAAGACCAGCCCTGCCGCCGCCTCCTGGAAGGGGCACACCTCCTGAGCTAAGCCCAGGATGCCGCCCAAGCCTCGGGGCCTCCCAAGGTGTCCCCCATGCCAGAGTGTGTGGCCTCTGCCAGGCCCAGGATGGCTCCAGGTGGTTGGACTCCCATTTCCTCTCCCCTTCCCAGGTCTTTCCCAAGCCCAGAGCCCCTGCTTTAGTTTTCCAGTGTGGGGAGACAGGAGAGTGGCCACAGAGCCTGGTTCTGCGCTTGGTGCTGCTGGACTCCAAACCTGGCTCTGGAGCTGCAGTCCTGGTGAGGGCGGTGGCCCTGGGGAAGATGAGCTCCCCAACACTTGTTACGGCAGTTTCCAGTCACAAGCCGCAAGGACACAGTCTCAAAGGAGCATCAGATGGGGTTGGGGGCATGTGGGGTGGCCCTGGCTCTCCCAGGTGGGGTCCTGCCAGGCCAAGAGCTATGCTAAGTGGGGCCCACCATGGCCATAGGCCCCTCCGTGTCACCTGGCATAATCAGCTGGTAGAAACAGCCCTTGGGGACTACATCACCTGACCTGATCTCCAGGTTCCAGGTACCATTTCTTACTGCCCCCCAGCAGCACTGTGCCCCTGTCCACAGGTCATGTGACTGGGTGTCGGGCACGGTTCCCTTGCAGCAATGAACAGTACATCTGTGGATGAAGGTGGGCAGATAGAGGTTTGGCGGGGGGTGGAGCGGGGCACTGATCATGGCAGCCTGCTGTGGCCAGCCCCAAGGGCTTCCCGGTGACTTCTCAGAGCCTGAATGTCTCCCCTGGACAGGTGGGATCGAGGGAATGCCATGAAGGTGGGCATGAGGGGGAATCTCGCCAGGGGTACAGTGCGTCTACACTGCTTTTCAGACTAGTGCCACGCAGGCACTAGGTCTCACTGGCTGAGGGGCAGCCTCTGTCCCCAGGCGCCGCGACTTGCCCCATCTGCTGCAGAGGAGGCCCACCTGTGGTGAGCATTGTGGTCTTGGGGCCTGCAGGCGCCCTTGTGGAGTTACCATGGTGACCGCAGCCCCTTGGACTGGTGCTGGGGATTCAGACACCAGGTCACGTAGGCCTTGGCTCGTGGCATGGCCAAGCCCTGGGGTCTGTCGGGGTTGGCAGGGCAGGCTTCCTGGAGGAGGGGCTGAGGCCGCGTATTCTCCCTCTCATCCTGCCATCCGCTGCGGCTACTCTCCAGGGCCACAACTGTCACAGAACGAGGAACCCGGGCCTTGTGCAGAAGAGCCTTGTGTAGGTGGATTGAGAAGAGAGTCCCAGAGGAGAAGCTGAGCCCTCTGCTGACTTGCCCCCAGCTCATTTCTGCTTGACCTTTCCTTGTTGCCGTTTTTGCTTGGAAACTATATTGTGGACCTCATCATTCTGGGAAAAGGTGGTTCACGAGAAAGCACAGTCATGTGTCAATTAACAGTGCAGATGCATTCTGAGAAATGCGTTGTTAGGTGATTTCATCATCCTGCAACATCAGAGTGTGCCCCGCGCTCATGGATGAGACAGCCTGCCCCACACCCAGGCTGTGGGGGACGGGATGGCCTGTTGCTTCTGGACCAGACGCCTGCACAGCACATTAACTGTGCTGAATGCTGTAGGCAGTTGTAACGCAATGGTAAGTGTCTGTATCTAAACGTAGAAAAGGTATAGTGAAAATATGATGTAAAAGAGAAAACATGCTTCAGCTGTGGAGGGCACATGCTTCAGCTGATTGGGGCCTGTGGACAAGGCTGTGGGTGTCCGTGAGGGAGAGGGAGTGCCTCTGAGGCCCTTCTGCAGGCTGGATGAACAACACACTTAGGCCACACTCAGTTTATACTAAAAAAATGTCTTCAATAACACATTCACTTGAGCTTTTTTCTAACTTGTTAATTTTATGAATTTTAAAAACATTTTTGACTCTTTTTTAATAACAGCTTAAAACACACATCGTACAGCTGTACAAAAATATTTTTCCTTTTTTTATTTTGTTTTTTTGAGACGGGGTCTTGTTGTGTCACCCAGGTTAGAGTGTAGTGGCGCCATCTCGGCTCACTACAGTGAGCCTCAGCCTCCCGGGCTTAATTGATCTCCTGCCTCAGCCCCCCAAGTAGCTGGGACCACAGGCACGTGCCACCATGTTGCCCAGGCTGGTCTTGAACTCCTGGACTGAAGCGGTCCTCCTGTTAGGGGTGGCGAATATTTGAGTTGTCAGTGGTGAATTCACATGGGTCTGCAGCAGCCTCAACTCTTGCCTCCTTGGAAGAAAGAATTCATCTGAAGAGCATAAGGCGGAAAAAGGAGACTGAGGCAAGTTTCCGAGCGGGAGTGGAAGTTTATTAAAAAGCTTTAGAGCAGGAAAGAAAAAGTACACTTGGAAGAGACCCAAGCACGCACTGTGGAGGTGGAGTGCAGCATTTGACCTTTTGACTTGGGGTCTTATATATTGGCGTACTTCTGGGGCCTTGTGTCCCTTTTCCCATGATGCTTTCCTTAGGGTGGGCTGCCTGCATGCACGGTGCCCTCCTTGCACTCCGGACGTGAGCATTCGCAGTGGGTTTGTGAAGTTGTATGTATGTTTGCCTGAGGCTGCTTCCCTTTTCCGGTAGGACGCCCCCAGAAGGTCATACTCTGCCATTTTGTCTCTTAATGCGCTTGCTCTAGCCCACTTACCCAATTCCTGAGATTTTATTGGAAGCCGCTGGTGAGCAATTTCAAGTGCCTTTATCTATTGGGAAATTGCCTCTCCCTGGCGCCTGCGACCAATGATCATTTTTAGACAGCCAGTGTAACAACTGTGGGACCATCACCTCAAGGACTAAACTGATTTTTTATCTTGCCCAAATTCCTATCTAAGGGGTCTGGGGAGTCCTGCCCTGCAAATCAGAAATTCTCATCAGATGGGTTTTATTTAACCCTATATATTATGACTTACTTTCCAACCTGACCCTGGCATAACATTACAAGTCAAGGAAGAAAAATCAAAGTAGTTTACCTCAAAATGTGTTTAACCATATTTTGAAATGACCCTACAAAGCTGTTTTGTGTGGGGGAAAATTTGCATCTGTAAAGAATCTCTGTTAACATAGCTAGATCTTTTTCTTCCAGACCCTCCCAATCCTGAGGAGATTAAAACTCTAGCACCTTTTGAAAGATCTGAATAGGAAACAGTTGTCATCTATTGTCTCTAAGGGCAGCGACTATTAGACTTCAAAGAACTTTGGTCTCCACAATCTTTATCTTAACTTGAACATTTCCTTTCTATCAATCCCAGGTCTTCAGACAAACTCAACCAATTGTCAACCAGAAAATGTTTAAATTCACTTGTAGCCTGGAAGCTTCCCTCCCCTGCTCCGACCTTTGAGTTGTCCCGCCTTTCTGGACCAAACCAATGTATTTCTCAAATGTATTTGATTGATGTCTCATGCCTCCCTAAAATACATAAAACCAAGCTGTGCCCCGACCACCTTGGGCACATGTTCTCAGGACCTCCTGAGGACTGTGTCATGGGCCATGGTCACTCATATTTGGCTCAGAATAAATCTCTTCAATATTTTACAGAAAACAAATACTTTACAGGGATCTACTCTCTTCGTCGACAACCTGATGCTCAGTCACCTGACATTCCTGGTGGGTTGGGGTAGCCCTTTCCTGTCCCGCTGCTGCCTGCCTACCAACCTACTATGTCACTCCTGCCTCACCCTCCCAAAGTGCTGGGGTTACAGGCAAATATTCTTTATATTATATCAGCTTTTCTCTTTATGCTTTTTTACTTTTAAACTTTTTTGTTAAAAATGAAAAGAGAAACACACACATTAGCCTAGGCTAGGCCTACACAGAGTCAGGATCATCAATATCACTGTCTCCCACCTCCTCGTCTTGTCCCATCAGAAGGTCTTTAGGGGACTAGCACACCTAGGGCAGTCACCGCCTGTGATAACAGGGCTGCTTTCTGAATCCATCCTGAAAGCCCTGTCTGAGGCTCTTCTTGAGGAATTGTCACTCTTTTCAGAAACATGGCCATGGTGATGTGCTTGGTTTCCTTTTTTCATCATAGATTTGCCTGTAAGCAGATAAGGCACTATGAACATTCCTGTCTATGAAAGAAAGCCTTCCGTGTTGAGGTCTATGCTTCAGACTTGTTAAGGTGCGTGTCGAGGTCTGCAAAGCTTTTGCTAAACCCTTCACTGTAAATTTTCTTGGGGCTCATCTTGTTTTTCGCCAGTTGCCTCTTCTCTTGCCCCTTGTTCAGCTCTGCGTCCCTCTTCCAGTTCCAGCAGCTCATTTGTCAGTTCTTCAGGAACCGCCTGGAGGCACTCCTCAACGGCATCCTCCTCCACCCTAGACTGGAGTTGTTTGCCGTCCTAGCCACAGCCGTGTTGAGTTTTGCAGCCTCCTCATCCTGGGCAAATCCTTTGAAGTCCTGGGTGAACTCTTGCGTGTCCTCCTCTGGATGCCACTCACGCACACCTTGGCAGGCACACCTGGGTCATCACCCCTTTCATGAGCGTCCGCGTGAAGAGACCACCAAACAGGCTTTGTGTGAGCAACATGGCTGTTTATTTCACCTGGGTGCAGGCGGGCTGAGTCCAAAAAGAGAGTCAGCAAAGGGAGATAGGGGTGGGGCCATTTTATAAGATTTGGGTAGGTAAAGGAAAATTACAAAGGGGGTTTGTTCTCTGGCGGGCAGGAGTGGGGGTCGCAAGGTGCTCAGTGGAGGTGCTTTTTGAGCCAGGATGAGCCAGGAAAAGGACTTTCACAAGGTAATGTCATCACTTAAGGCAAGGACAGGCCATGTACACTTCTTTTGTGGTGGAATGTCATCAGTTAAGGTGGGGCAGGGCATTTTCACTTTTGTGATTCTTCAGTTACTTCAGGCCATCTGGGCATATACGTGCAAGTCACAGGGGATGCGATGGCTTGGCTTGGGCTCAGAGGCCTGACATTCCTGCCTTCTTATAATAATAAGAAAAATAAAATAGTGTTGAAGTGTGGGGGCGGCAAAAATTTTGGGGGGGGTGGTATGGAGAGATAATGGGCAATGTTTCTCAGGGCTGCTTCGAGTGGGATGAGGGGCGGTGTGGGAACCTAGAGTGGGAGAGATTAAGCTGAAGGATGATTTCGTGGTAAGGGGTGATATTGTGGGGTTGTTAGAAGAAACATTTGTTGTGTAGAATTATTGGTGATGGCCTGGATACAGTTTTGTATGAATTGAAAAACTAAATGGAATAAGAGAAGGAGAAAAACAGGTATAAAAGGTCTAAGAATTGGGAGGACCCAGGACATCTGATTAGAGAGTGCCTAAGGAGATTCAGCATAGTCCTGCCAGCAAAGATTATTTATTTACTTCAAGAGTTAAGAGTAGCAGTTTGGGGATAGCACCAGGAGATATCAGCTGTGATGGCTTGGAGAAACAGTGTAAACTGGCAGTGTAAACAAGAGCAGGGCATGTATGAGTAGTTGAGAACGGTGAATAGGAATATGACTAGACAGAAGATAGTAGGGTTGACAAGTTTTTTTGGGGGGGGGCACGGTCTAAGTTGGTCTGGTGTCTGGAATGAGACTGGGGCCTAATAAAAAGGAGCGTCTATACAGGAGCTCAAATGGGCTGTACCCTGTAGCATTCTGAGGACAGGTCTGACTTCTGAGAAGGGAAAGTGGTAAAAGTATTGTCCAGTCCTTTTTAAGTTGGTGGCTGGGCTTGGTGAGGTGTGTTTTTAAAAGACCATTAGTCTGTTCTACTTTTCCTGAAGACTGAGAACTGTAAGGGATATAAAGGTTTCACTGAATACTAAGAGCCTGAAAAACTGCTTGGCTGATTTGACCAATAAAGGCTGGTCTGCTATTGGACTGTATAGAGGTGGGAAGGCCAAACTGAGGAATTGTGTCTGACAGAAGGGAAGAAATGACTACGGTGGCCTTCTCAGACCCTGTAGGAAATGTCTTTACTTATTCAGTGAAAGTGTCTATTTAGACTAAGAGGTATTTTAGTTGCCTGACTCAGGGCATGTTGAGTAAAGCTAATTTGCCAGTCCTGGGTGGGGGCAAATCCCTGAGCTTCATGTGTAGGGAAGGGAGGGGGCCTGAATAATCCCTGAGGAGTAGTAGAATAGCAGATGGAACACTGAGAAGTTATTTCCTTGAGATTTCCAGGATGGAAAGGAAATGACAGGTTCTAAGAGGCGGGCTAGTGGCTTGTACTATAGCATAGCCTGCCTTTGCTGGTGTGTGGCGATTAGGCCTGGTGGAACTTCCATCAATAAACTAAGTGTGATCAGGGTGAGGAACAGAGAAGAAGGAAATGTGGGGAAATGGGGTGAACGTCAGGTGGATCAGAGAGATACAGTCATGAGGGGCAGGTGTGGTATCCGGAATAATGTGGGAGGCCAGATTGAAGTTGGGGCCAGGAACAATGGTGATTGTGGGAGACTCAACAAAGAGTGAGTACAGCTGAAGGAGCCGGAGAGCAGAAAGTATATGCGTCAGGTGTGAGGAAGAACATAGATTTTGGAAATTATGAGAGCTGTAGAGAGTGAGTTGAGCATAGTTTGTGATTTTAAGGGCCTCTAAAAGTATTAGGGCAGCAGCAGCTGCTGCACAGAGACATGATGGCAAGCCTAAAACAGTAAGGTCAAGTAGTTTGGACAAAAAGGCTACACGATGCGATCCCGGTCCTTGTGTAAGAATTCCTACTGCACAGCCCTGCACTTCAGCTGTGTGTAATGAAAAGGGTTGGGATGAGTCAGGGAGAGCTAGAGAGGGGGCAGTTTCTAAAGTTGTCTTCAAGGAACAGAAAGAGGAGTGGGGAAAGGATTTAGGATCTATGGGGTCAACTAGGTTTCCTTTTGTGAGTTTATATAATGGTTTTGTTAGGATGGCAAAACCAGGTGTCTAAAGGTGAAAGTATCCAACCATGCCCAGGAAGGAAGGGGTTGTTTTGTAGAAGGGTTGGGGTTTGAGAGATTAGTTGGACATGAGCGGCAGGGAGAGCACAGGTGTTTTTATGAAGAATTATGCCGAGATAGGTAACAGATGGAGAAGAAATTTGAGCTTTGGAGGGGGATACCCGATATCCTTTGGAGAATAAATGCTGAAGGAGCAGAAGTGTGTCTTGTTGAGAAGATTCAAAGGAGGGGCTACAAAGAAGGTCATCAATATATTGAATAAGGTGAGAAGCAGAGGGGTGGAAATAAAGTAAATCATGAGAAAGAGCTTGGCTGAAGTAATGAGGGCTGTCCCTGAAACCTTGAGGCAGCACAGCCCAGGTAAGCTGCTGGGACTGATGGGTGTCAGGGTCAATCCAGGTGAAAGCAAAGAGAGGCTGGGATGAGGGGTGCAGGGGAATAGTGAAAAAAGCATCTTTAAGATCAAGAACGGAATAGTGAGTTGTGGAGGGAGGTATTGAGGACAAAAGAATGTACGGGTTGGGCACCACAGGGTGGATAGGCAAAACAATTTGGTTGATAAGGCGCAGATCCTGAACTAATCTGTAAGACTTGTCCGGTTTTTGGACAGGTAAAATGGGGGAATTGTAAGGAGAGTTTATAGGTTTTAGAAGCCCATGCTGTAGCAGGTGAGTGATAACAGGCTTTAATCCTTTTAAAGCGTGCTGTGGGATGGGATATTGGCATTGAGCGGGGTAAGGGTGATTAGGTTTTAATGGGATGGTAATGGGCATGTGATCGGTTGCCAGGGAAGGAGTAGAGATGTCCCATACTTGTGGGTTAAGGTGGGGGGATATGAGAGGAAGATGCGAAGGAGGCTTTGGGTTGGGGAGAAGGGCGGCAATGAGATGTGGCTGTAGTCCAGGAATAGTCAGGGAAGCAGATAATTTGGTTAAAATATCTCGGCCTAATAAGGGAACGGGGCAGGTGAGGATAACTAAAAAAGAGTGTATAAAAGAGTGTTGTCCAAGTTGGCACCAGAGTGGGGGAGTTTTCAGGGGTTTTGAAGCTTGGCTGTCAATACCCACAACAGTTATTGGGGCGAGGGAAACAGGCCCTTGAAAAGAAGGCAACGTGGAGTGGGTAGCCCCCGTATCGATTAAACAGGGGATGGACTTACCCTCCACTGTGAGAGTTACCTAAAGCTTGGCGTTGGTGATGGTCCAGGGGGCTTCCAAGGTGATCGGGCAGCGTCAATCTTCAGTTGCTAAGCCAAGAAGATCTGGGAAGGAGTCAGTCAGAGAGCCTTGGACCAGAGTTCCAGGGGCTCTGGGAGTGGCTGCCAGGTGAGTTGAACAGTCCAGTTTCCAGTGGGGTCCCGCACAGATGGGACACAGCTTAGGGGGAATCTCGGGCTGCGGGCATTCCTTGGCCTGGTGGCCAGATTTCTGGCACTTGTAGCAAGCTCCTGGGGAAGGTGGTTCTGGAGGAACGCCTGGCCACTGCGGTTTAGGCATTTGGAAGTTCTTGTGTGCTGGAGATGTGGCTGGGGTTTGTCTCACAGTGGAGGCAAGGAATTGCAACTCAGGAATATGTTGCTACTTGGCTGCCTCTATTATTGTACACCTTGAAGGCGAGGTTAATTAAGTCCTGTTGGGTTTGAGGGCTGGAATTTAATTTTTGGATTTTTATTTATTGGATTTTATTTATTTGGATTTGGATTTAATTTTGGATTTTTATTTAATTTTTGGGAGCAGATAGGGTAATAAAATGTATATTGAGAATAGACGGCCTTCTGACTTTTTAGGGTCTAGGGCTGTAAAGCGTCTCGGGGTTGCTGCCAAACGAGCCGTGAACTGGGCTGGGTTTTTATATTTGATGAAAAAGAGCCTAAACGCTATCTGATTTGGGATAAAGAAAAAGGAGCATTAACCTTGACTATGCCTTTAGCTCCAGCCACCTTTTTAAGAGTAAATTGCTGGGCAGATGGGGGAGGGCTACTCACGGAATGAAACTGTAAACCGGACGGGGTGTGAGGAGGGGAGGTGATAAAAGGATTATAGGGTGGAGGAGTGGAGGCTGAGGAAGAATTGGGACCTAGCTCAGCCCGGCGAGGAGCAGCCCAGGGAGGAGGGGAGAGGTCAGATGGGTCTGTAGAAAAGGAAGATTAGAAAGACTCAGTGACGCTTGGGGTTGGGACTGAGGGGACAGGCGGGAGGGAAAGAAGGAAGGTTTGGGACGAGTTGCACTGGGCACAGAGACTAGGAAGGGACTGATGTGTAAAAGAATGCCTGGACGTCAGGCACATCAGACTGTTTGCTATTTTATGACAAGAATTATTTAGATCTTGCAGGATGGAAAAATTGAAAGTGCCATTTTCTGGCTATTTGGAACTACTGTCGAGTTTGTATTGGGGTCAAGCGGCATTGCAGAAGAAAATAAGGCATTTAGGTTTTATGTCAGGTGTGAGCTGAAGAGGTTTTAAGTTCTTGAGAGCACAGGCTAAGGGAGATGGAGGAATGGAGGGTGGAAGGTTGCCCGTAGTGAAGGAGGAAAGCCCAGAGAAAAGAGAGAGTAGAGACAAGGAGGGAAGGGGTTCGGGGGTTCTTACCCTCCAGAAAAGCGGGAAAGGGGTCGGATCGTGGAAATAAGGGGTTGAGGTGCAGAGATAAGAGGTCGGGGCATGGAAATAAGGGATGGGGCGCAGAGATAAGAGGTCGGGGTGCAGAAATAAGGGATTGGGGTGTAGAGGTAAGAGGTCGGGCCATGGAAATAAGGGATCGGGGTGCAGAGATAAGAGGTTGGGGCATGGAAATAAGGGATTGGGGTACAGAGATAAGAGGTCGGGGCGTGGAAATAAGGGATTGGGGGTTCTTGCCCCCTAGAAAAGCGGGACTTACCACTAAGCGTGAAGGAGAAGGGGTTGAGGGGTTCTTGCCCCTGCCTCAGAAAAGCAAAAAAGGGGTAGAGACATGGAGAGAAGGGGTTGGGGTACTTACCCCTCCCCCAGAAAAGCAGGACTTGCCACTAAGGGTGAAAGACCAAGGCAGGCGTCCATGAGTGGTCTGACACCTCTGAAACCTGGGTGAATAGTCAGAGAGGCGTCCCTGCAATGATTAAACACCAAGGGAAGGCTGCCTTCCCTAGTCTGTGACCGGCGCCGGAGTTTTGGATCCACGGATAAAACGTGTCTCCTTTGTCTCTACCAGAAAATGAAAGGAATTGAAATTAAGAGAAGGGAGAGATTGAAGTGTGGTGCCAAGATTGAAAGGAGAAAGAGGTTGAGTGATAGTGAGGGAGGTTGGAGAAGAGAGTAAAAAGAGGCCACTTACTGGATTTGAAATTGGTGAGATGTTTCTTGGGCTGGTTGGTCTGAGGACCTGAGGTCATAGGTGGACCTTTATCATGGAGCAAAGAGCAGGAGGACAGGGGATTGATTTCCTAAGGGAGGTTCCCCGGTCCGAGTCATGGCACCAAATTTCATGAGCGTCCGTGTGAAGAGACCACCAAACAGGCTTTGTGTGAGCAACATGGCTGTTTATTTCACCTGGGTGCAGGTGGGCTGAGTCCAAAAGAGTCAGCGAAGGGAGATAGGGGTGGGGCCGTTTTATAAGATTTGGTTAGGTAAAGGAAAATTACAGTCAAAGGAGGTTTGTTCTCTGGTGGACAGGAGTGGGGGTCGCAAGGTGCTCCGTGGGGAAGCTTTTTGCCTCAGGATGAGCCAGGAAAAGGACTTTCACAAGGTAATGTCATCACTTAAGGCAAGGACCGGCCATTTACACTTCTTTTGTGGTGGAATGTCATCAGTTAAGGTGGGGCAGGGCATTTTCACTTCTTTTGTGATTCTTCAGTTACTTCAGGCCATCTGGGCATACACGTGCAAGTCACAGGGGATGCGATGGCTTGGCTTGGGCTCAGAGGCCTGACAACCCCAAGCTCAAACAAGGTTTCTGGTGCAGCCCTAGATGCCATCCTTCCACAGTTGCATCAGTGCCTTCTCGGCAGACTCTTCAGCTGAAGCTATAGCCCAGGCAAAGGACCTCCTCAGCCAGGAGGACTTAAAAGCTGCTATGAGTGCTGTGTCCATGGGATCAAGGGAGTGGTATTTGGAGGGGGAACCACTGCGACGAAGGGAGGAAAATCACCAGTAAGAGGAGGATGTGTGGGAGCAGCACCACCCACAAGCAAGATCTTGAAAGGAACTGTGTTACCTGGCAACGCAGAAGGGATGAAAATCACCAGTAAGAGGAGGATGTGCAGGAGTAGCACCACCCACAAGTAAGACCTTGAAAGGAACTGTGTCATCCGGCAACTCAGGAGGGCCTCTTGGAAGAGGAGTGGGCTATTCCTGACTGCCTGGCTCCTGCAGTGCCCTGGCCCCATGTGCTCACTGTTTCGCTTGAAGGCCCTGGGGCTGTCATTGCATGGGATCACATTCATAGCCTGCAACATGGCCACCAGGCAAGGCTGGTGTCCTGTCCTTAAAAGCCTGGAAACCTGGCATTGACTTGGCCTCCTTATGGATGACAGTGAAACACCTATGCAAAAATTCTATCAGTGAGAAAATGATGATGGTGAAAGAGATCTGAGCTAACCCACCCCCATCTTACCTTTCCCTCAATTATTCCTGGGCCATAGGGCTGGGCTAACTTTGGAAGACAGGCTGTAGTTTTGTTTTCGTTTTGTTTTGTTTTGTTTTGTTTTGTTTTATTTGAGATGGAGTTTCACTCTGTCACCCAGGCTGGAGTTCAGTGGCACAATCTCGGCTCACTGCAACCTCCGCCTCCCAGGTTCAAGCGATTCTCCTGCCTCAGCCTCCCGAGTGGCTGGGATTACAGGTGTTAGCCACCACGCCTGGCTAATTTTTTGTATTTTTAGTAGAGATGGGGTTTCACCATGTTGGCCAGGCTGGTCTCAAACTCCTGACCTCAGGTGATCAGCCTGCCTTGGCCTCCCAAAGTGCTGGAATTACATGCGTGAGCCACCACACCCGGCCTAGGCTGTAGTTTAAATTATAATAGGCTTTGCCCCAAACTCAACTGCTTTTGTAAAGCTAATGGAAGGCCGTCAGACTGGGGGAGGAGAGGAGTCCTGCTAAGGCACAGACATGAATGATTGCCAGCCATTATATCAGAGGTTAAAGACATGCAACTTCCCCAATTACTCCTGAAAATAGCATCACTATTGTAGAATCCAAGATTGGCCTTTTGAGATATGTTTTCAGATTTTTTGCATGTCTGACACCCATGGCTCCACTTGGACCCGTCAACCCCTGCTCCTGTGGCCCCCACAGAGGCAATTCAGCCCACAGGAGGACAGCTTTGATCCTGTGTGATTTCATCTCTGCCCAACCAATCAGCAGCAGGCACCCGTTCCTTGGCCACCCCCA
Organism: Homo sapiens; assembly: GCF_000001405.40. Taxonomy (NCBI): domain Eukaryota; kingdom Metazoa; phylum Chordata; class Mammalia; order Primates; family Hominidae; genus Homo; species Homo sapiens. Next base: position 8,490,171 of record NC_000004.12, read on the forward strand.
CGCCTTCCCCGAAACTGCCTTTGAAAAACCCCTATCCTACAAGCTTTGGATGAGAATGATTTGAGTAGTGACTCTGTGTCTGGAATTGGTGGGTTCTTGGTCTCACTGACTTCAAGAATGAAGCCACAGACCCTCGCGGTGAGTGTTACAGCTCTTAAGGTGGTGCGTCCGGAGTTTGTTCCTTCTGATGCTCAGATGTGTTCGGAGTTTCTTCCTTCTGGTGGATTCGTGGTCTCGCTGGCTCAGGAGTGAAGCTGCAGACCTTCGCCGTGAGTGTTACAGCTCTTAAGGCAGCGCGTCTGGAGTTGTTCATTCCTCCCAGTGGGCTGGTGGTCTCGCTGGCTTCAGGAGTGAAGCCGCAGACCTTCGCGGTGAGTGTTACAGTTCTTAAGGCGGCGCGTCTGGAGTTGTTCATTCCTCCCCGTGGGCTCGTGGTCTCTCTGGCTTCAGGAGTGAAGCTGCAGACCTTCGCGGTGAGTGTTACAGCTCATAAAAGCAGCGTGGACCCAAAGAGTGAGCAGTAGCAAGATTTATTGCAAAGAGCGAAAGAACAAAGCTTCCACAGTGTGGAAGGGGCCCCGAGCGGGTTGCCACTGCTGACTGGAGCAGCCTGCTTTTATTCTCTTATCTGGCCCCACCCACATCCTGCTGATTGGTAGAGCCAAGTGGTCTGTTTTGACAGGGTGCTGATTGGTGCGTTTACAATCCCTGAGCTAGATACAAAGGTTCTCCACGTCCCCATCAGATTAGTTAGATACAGAGTATCGACACAAAGGTTCTCCGAGGCCCCACCAGAGCAGCTAGATAGAG